>NC_000002.12:11543779-11850535 GCF_000001405.40 Homo sapiens
TGTGTTCTCAGCACCTCGTGGGCCTCGGTGTCCATGTTCGTGTGCAGGGGTGTTGAACCCCTGATGTGTGCTGCTGGGTGGTGTGAAGAAATGGGTATTGACGCCCGTCTGTGAATGGACCGGGGAGTGGGGAGGAGTTGGGTCTGAAGGGTAGGCAGTACACGGAAGCTGTGGCTTTATTTTTCTGAGCAAAATGATGAGTGTACAGCACCCAGGAGCACCCAGAGCCAAGTGTTATCTTAGGAAGTGAGTTCCAGCCCATTCTGGGACTCAGCGCTGTTGTTGACAGATGGAGGCTTCATTTAGACAGAGGTGCCTCATTGCATGATTGGTAACAGGTGGAGTGAAGGGACCTCAGAGAGGAGTAGGAAAATCATTCAGACCCCGATTTTAGTTGGATGCTTAACCCCTCTAGTCTGAGAGCCTTTTATTTATTTGTTTGTTTGTTTATTTTGAGATGAAGTCTTGCTCAAGTTGCCCAGGCTGGAGTGCGGTGGTGTGATCTCGGGTCACTGCAAGCTCCGCCTCCCAGGTTCACGCCATTCTCCTGCCTCAGTATACCGAGTAGCTGGGACTACAGGCTCCCACCACCATGCCTGGCTAATTTTTTGTATTTTTTGTAGAGGCAGGGTTTCACCGTGCTAGCCAGGATGGTCTCGATCTCCTGACTTTGTGATCTGCCCACCTCGGCCTCCCAAAGTGCTGGGATTACAGCCGTGAGCCACTGCGCCCGGCCGAGCCTTTTAAGAGAAATCCATTTTTCACCTGTGGGCAAACTTTTGGCTGTTCTATTCTAAGGAGGGAAGAGGAGGGGAGGGGTCGCTCTAAGGAGAGGCCAGGGCAAGAATGTTTTCCTTGGAATGGGCTGGAGCCAGAAGGCTCCTGCTCTCATCCCCAGGGAAGGGCCCATGGTGCTGAGGGTGCAGGTGGAGGAGCCAACGCTGGCCGCCTGTCTGTCCTGCCCCCCTGTTTGCCTGCTCACCTCCACGCAGGAGATGGGTCTGCAGGCCACATTCTTAGAATGCTCTTGGGTTTGTTTGTGTTTTTTTAATTGAGACAAAGTCTCACTCTGTCACCCAGGCTGGAGTGCAGTAGTGCGTTCTCAGCTCACTGCAACCTCTGCCTCCCGGGGTCAAACGATTCTTGTGCCTCAGCCTCCCGAGTAGTGAGGATTACAGGCGCCTGCCACCATGCCCAGCTAACTTTAGTATTTTTGGTAGAGACAGGGTTTCACCATGTTGGCCAGGCTGGTCTCGAACTCCTGACCACAGGTGATCCACTCGCCTCGGCCTCACAAAGTGTTGGGATTACAGGTGTGAGCCACCGGCCCGGCCTGCTCTCGGTTTTCTTTGTCTGGCTAGAAATGTGTCTTTTTAGATGAGGCTAAAAAATGTGTCCCGGGCTGGAGGGCAATGGCACGATCTCGCTCACTGCAACCTTCGCCTCCCAGGTTCAAGCGATTCTCCTGCCTCAGCCTCCGAGTAGCTAGGATTACAGGCACCCGCCACCTCACCTGGCTGATTTTTGTATTTTAGCAGAGACGGGTTGCATCATGTTGGCCAGGCTGGTCTCGAATCTCCTGACTCAGGTGATCCACCTGCCTCAGCCTCCCAAAGTGCTGGGACTACAGGCATGAGCCACTGCACCCGGCCAATCAGCAACTTTCTATGGCAGCTCCCCTTTTGGCAAAGCACCATGACAAAAGAACCCAAGGCAATCCTTTTCCTAACCCAAAGTTTGGAGCATGGCTGGACAAGTGAACACCATTTTTAAAAAGCAACTTAAAAAAAATGCATCCTTTTCTGAAGGAAAAGGGATTAATCTTTCCAATGAATCTTTGCTTTCAGTAAAGCATACTGAGGGCCATCATTGGACATTCTAAAATTGTTCCAAATGTGTGACCTTGGACAAGTCACTTGAATGTCACCCAGCCTCAATTTCCTAATGTGTAAAATGAGAACCACGTTACCTAAGTTTTAGGACTGTGATGAAGATGAAGTAAGGTTACAAATGGAAAGCAAGAAAAATCTCTGCACAGAGTGATCCTGACAGATAGCAGCTGTTGATTATACTTAAAATGTTTGGGGTTTGTGTCGCTAAAGAAAATAACAAAGATAGCCGGGCGCGGTGGCTCACGCCCGTAATCCCAGCACTTTGGGAGGCTGAGGCGGGTGGATCACTTGAGGTCGGGAGTTCAAGACCAGCCTGACCAACATGGAGAAACCCCATCTCTACTAAAAATACAAAATTAGCCGGGCATAGTGGTGCACGTCTGTAGTCCCAGCTACTCGGGAGGCTGAGGGAGGAGAATCGTTTGAACCCAGGAGGTGGAGGTTGCGGTGAGCTGAGATCGTGCCACTGAACTCAAGCCTGGGTGACAGAGCGAGATTCCGTCTCAAAAAATAAAAATAAAAAAAAATAACAAAGATGTGAAGACAAAGAATGCTTTTACTTCCCACGCCCCCTCCCTTCATCTGCAAAACCAAGACAATAATACTTTTGTCATTGAGCTGTTGGAAGAAAATTTCCTGGCACATAGTATACAGGAAAGAAATATTGGTTTTCTTATTCCATTCATACTCTCTTTCAGTAAATAAATACACACATATATATGTATACAACATATGTCCTTACTGATTTATAAGAACATGGACCACATGTTTTTATATGCTTATATGTGGTTTATGCATGCATGGACCACAGTATATATTATTTGCCTTATAAAATATATACATACATACTTGAAGTGAATAGGTAGATGAGCTATAAACTGAAGTTTTGGTATTTTTTATGTGCTCACTTGGAATACAATGTTGTAACATACAAGCTCTGTAATAGGGACTTTACAAACTTTCTCAAGTGGTTCTGGGAGAATAGGTAGAACCTGTTCTTGAAATAATTGCAGGACTTTCTTGGCTCCCAGCATGATGAAAACCCTGCTCTGCTCAGGAGCGCATCTCGCTTTTTGTGTGAATGCAGGCTTAGTCTCCTTAGGCCAAGTCTCTAGTGCTGTCCTTTAGAACTTTAGAGGAATGCCTTAACTTTCTATAAAATCAGGAAGTGTCTTGTCACTACTAGAAATGGCACCAGAAAGTAATGATAATACAGATTTATAACTCTGAAAGTGAGGATGTCTGAGAATTTTACATTCTGCTAGTTTAAACTTTTTTTTTTTTTTTTTTTTGAGATGGCTTCTCACCCTGTTGCCCAGGCTGGATTGCAATGGCGCAATCTCGGCTCACGCAATCTCTGCCTCCTGGGCTCAAGTGATTCTCCTGCCTCGGCCTCCCGAGTAGCTGGGATTACAGGTGTGCCACCACGCCCAGCTATGTTTTGTATTTTTAGTACAGATGGGGTTTCACCATGTTGGCCAGGGCGATGTCGAACTCCTGACCTCAAGTGATCCGCCTGCCTCGGCCTCCCAAAGTGCTGGGATTACAGGCATGAGCCACCGTGCTCGGCTGTGCTAGTTTAAATTTCTTAACACTACTTTTCATGGAAGAGATTCTTTGGAGATCGGCTTTTAATTCCAGACCAGGCACTAGCTGTGTGTCTTCAGACAGGTCCAACCTTTCCAAGCCTTATTTTCTTAGTTTCTTCATATGGGATAAAAGTAGGGAGAGAAATATCTAGAAGACAGGGTTGTTGGCAGGATGAAATTAGATAATTCTTCACACGTGTCCTTCCTTTAATATTGGTCTGCAGTCTACCATGATCTTCAGCTTCTCTTCTACTGAGATTCCTTATAATGCCTGTCATTCTATTCTTCCCTGCCTTTCATTTATTTTTAAAATGTAATCATCGTTTTTCAAAAATTATAAATATACACACAGTCTAAAAGTTAAATTATAAGCTTTAAAATGAAAAATGAAAATGAAAAACCTATTTCTATCCCAATTCCTGCTTCCTAGAGACAACCATTTTTAAATTGACGAAATTTAAAACCATTTTTAAATTCTTTCCTTTTTTTCTTCTTCTCTGGAATTACCTCTTTATTTCCAAATAACAACTGGTGTTGCAATTTATTGTTTGTGTCTAGGCCATCTTTTCATTCTTACTGTAGAATATGAGAATTTAGCTTTCTTATAGCTCTTTCCTTCTACCCCAAGAACACACTGTTAGCTGGGTGCAGTGGCTCACTCCTGTAATCCAAGTGCTTTGGGAGGCCGAGGCGGTAGAATTTCTTGAGCCGAGGAGTTTGAGACCAGCCTGGGCAACCTAGCAAGACCTCTGTCCTTACCAAAAAAAGCTATCTGGGCATGGTGGCATGTTCCTATAGTCCTAGCTACTCAGGAGGCTGAGGTGGGAGGATTACTTGAGCCCAGGAGTTGAGGCTACAGTGAGCTGTGACTGCACCACTGCACTACAGCTGGGCAACAGAGCAAGACCCTGTCTCCAAAAAAAAAAAAACCCACCACACATTCTCACATGCACACAGCCAGACATGTGCACACATGTGCACATACCCAAACATATGTGCACACACATGTACAGCCAGACACATGCACACACGTGCACATACCCACATATGCACACACACGCACACACCCAGACACGTGCACACATGCATATACCCCAACACAGATGCACACACATACACACACCCACATACATACACATACACATGCCTTTCCCTTTTCTCATTCTTCCAAAATAGTTATATCAAAACTTTGTTTGAATCAGCACTCACCATAGACTTACAGTGTGAGTAACTAAAATTTCAGGCATTGTACATCTTATTCTTCCTGCACCTGTCAATAATACATCCCCATATTCTGATAGAACTTGTAAACTCCTTTCAATATTATTGAACACATCAGATAATTAAATCTGTTGCCCTGTTTTCTTCTTGGAGGCCTCCTTCCTGGAGCCTTCTGTCCCTGCTCCAGTGTGGATCATTTAGCTGTTCTCATCATCACCTTGTGAGTCCCCTCTCCTTCTACCCTCTGTTGGATCCCCCATCCTGGCCCCCTGGCTTCACAATTGTTAATTTACACCACTCCCCAGTAGTTTCTTGAGAAAGTGAACTTGGGAGATAAATTGCTTTGAGATTTTGCATTTCAGAAAATGGTTTTACTCTACTCTCACTTTGATTATTATTTTTGTTGAGTATTCTAGGTAGGGAAAATTTTCCCTTAAAATTTTCCGGGCATTATTTCATTATTTCCAATGTCCACTATTGCTGTTGAGAAATCCAAAGTCATCCTGATTATTTTAAGCCCTTGAATGTGACCTGTTGTTTCTTTACCTGTTTATCTCCAGGGTTCTAAAATTTCATGGATGTGCCTCCATGTGTATCCTTTTCATTTGTTGTGCTGGGCTCTTGATTGGTCCTTTAAATCTGGAAATCTATGTTTTTCAGCTCTGAAAAATATTCTTTGGGAATCTCATTTTCTCCTTTTTCTTTATTTATTCTTCTAGAACTCCTTCTGGGCCTCATGGATTGATCTTCCAGTTGTCTTTTTTTCCCCCATGAACCCCCAAAGAGTTTATTTTCTAATAGAATAAACACATTAAAAGGAAACATTAAAATGTTTTCTCTTTGTGGGTATTCGGTGTCTGATAAGTCCTTTCCTCGGTAACGTCTCAGTTGTCCTACTTTAAGACGAAAAAAAAGAGAATGGTTAAATGTATAAATAGGAGCCACATTAATGAAATGTTTCAGAATAGCCTTCAGTGTGGCCAAGAGTAGCTATTTTTGTCTCATTTTGGAAATAATATGGTAGGAAAATGACATTGAAAACTACTGAAAAAACTTCAGCTTAATGCTATAGTTGTCCTGTTATGCAATAACAAAATCATTTCAATTTTCTTCTCTTTTCCATTCTTTGTATCTTGATCTTCAACTTTGCCTTGTAGCCCTTCTAGTAAAGTTTAAATTTCTGTTATTGTTTAAACAGTTTTTAAGAATTCCTTCTCGTTTTCTCCATGTTTACTTTTTATAGCATTCTGTTCTTGTTTTGTGGATACATCATCCCTCTGAAGATATTAACTGTGGCAGATGTGTTTCCTTTGTGGTTTTTGTTTGCTCTCTTTTGTCTCTTTGTTTCTTTTAGTGTCTACCTTTTATGTTTAAGGATTTTCTCAAAAGCCTTGTGATGCTGATGATCTTTGGATGTCTGCTTATTTTTAAGTCAAGCATAGAAAGTTGCTGATTGGCCAGCTGTGGTGGCTTATGCCTGTAATCCCAGCACTTTGGGAGGCTGAGGCAGGTGGATCACCTGAGTCAGGAGATTCAAGACCAGCCTGGACAACATAATGCAACCCCATTTCTGCTAAAAGTACAAAAATTAGCCAGGTGAGG
Source organism: Homo sapiens (assembly GCF_000001405.40). Classification (NCBI taxonomy): domain Eukaryota; kingdom Metazoa; phylum Chordata; class Mammalia; order Primates; family Hominidae; genus Homo; species Homo sapiens. Next base: position 11,550,084 of record NC_000002.12, read on the forward strand.
TGGCGGGCGCCTGTAATCCCAGCTACTCGGAGGCTGAGGCAGGAGAATCGCTTGAACCTGAGAGGCGAAGGTTGCAGTGAGCGAGATTGTGCCATTGCACTCCAGTCTGGGAAACAAGAGCGAAACTCTGTCTCAAAAATAATAATAATAAATAAATAATAAAAGAAAGCTGCTGGTTGACTGCTGGGCCTCACAGAAGGTGATTGGATATGGATCTGTTATACTGAGTACCCCCAATTTTCAATATCTGTCCATCCTTAAGCATGATTGCATTTTAGGGGAGCCAAATGGGAGAAAAGGAATGAGAGAAGGGACATTGCGTCATTTGAGTCAATTTCCCTGTTTTCACCCTTGCATCTCATATCTGTTGCCAGCTATGTCCAAGAGTCCAGATTCTCTTTGGTTTAATTTGTCCTGAGTAAACTTCCAGACTTCTGCAGAGAAGGGGAAAGGGCTGCTCGGGAAGGGAGAGGGAGTCCTCCCACTCTTCAGCCCTACTTTTCACCTTGTTGCCTGGAATTCCCAAGCCTTCTCTGGGTTCTGTGCATTTGAATCAGTTTGCTCCTCAGGAGGCCTCACCCAGTTCAGGACTGGGCTTGGAAAGGACACTTTCCAAATCTAGCCCTACTTCTCGTCTGCTTTGAAAATGCTAACTTTTGTTGGCATATCTTGTCTGCCGTGATTTTCTCTCCTGTCTCTTTGTCTTTGGGTCCTTATACCTGCACATTCCTTCACTGTCCTTCTAGTGAGGTTTTGAAGGGACTAGAGACAATGCATGTTCTCCATCTGTCCCATTTCACCAGAAGCCTCCTCTCCTTTCTTTGTCCCCGCCTTTAATAGTTCCTTATCTTCCTTGAAGCTTCTGCCCTGCACTTATTCTAGTTGAACTTCAACTCAACCTAAAAATTCTCATTCTACCCGAGTCCTCTAAAGGACACAGATTTACTGGTACCATGGGAAGAGAATAGCTCAGGTCAATGTCCCAGCCACCTAGAGCATGTTGAGCTAGCTCACTGTTGCCACTTCAAACTGACCTGGGTCAGTTGGCTTCATCTGGTCAAGCCCATGGTGCTTCTGGGATCAGAAGGGCCAGTGGAAGTTAGGTACTGGTGCTGTGATTTGAGCTGACATGGAGCTATGTTTGAGGTTGATATGGTGAAACAAACCCACATCTGATCACCTCCCATGAAGCCCACCAGGCAACCAGTTGAATCTCCACGTAGAGAGTTTCCAAGCAACTTTTTGTGCCTCACTCTTAAAGATAAGCAGATATCAAAGGTCCTATTGAAAGAGTGTCTGCCCGGCCTCCTGCCTGCAGGTCTTCCCTCCAGTTTTATCCTAATCATTTCTGTCTGATTGACTGGCATTATCTTTACTATCATCGGTCTCTAGCTCTGCGGGTCCAGGGAGTGTCTGTCGCCTATACAATGTCTGATTTTCACCCTTGGGTTTGTTTTTGTTATTCTATCACTGTGTCATCTTGTAAACCATTTACTCTTAGGCAAATGAACTTACTTCTTTTTCTAGAGTATGTCTGTTCCCTTGGAGTTTTCGTGCCTTTGCACTCTCCTGTCCCTTCCTCAAATGCTGTTCTTAGTTTTTTTTCCAAAGACATCCTACTCAGTGGTCTAGTGGTTAGGATTCAGCGCTCCCACCGCCGCAGCCCGGGTTCGATTCCCGGTCATGGAACCAAGAAGTGGAGCAGGACGAGCCGTGGCCAAAAATATCCTACTCAGCCCTCCTGGCCTGCTTCCAGTACCAGCCCCATTGTAAACCAAGTTCTCACTGATTTCTCCCCTCTTTTAAGTTGTAGCACTTATGGACAATAGTGCTTTTTTGTCACTTGTCATTTATAATCTGAAATTCTTTTCCTGTGAATGCTCAGATTTAACTAGAAATTAATGATTACGCACTGACTATACTCCGTCTCTCTTACTGTCCGTAACGAGCAATCAGTTTTTCTAAGTGCCCATTTTACAGTTGAGAACACCAAGGCCCAGTGATTAAATCACTTTGCGTGGGGTTGCGCATGCTGTTTACAGACTAGTACAGCCAGGCTTTTGTGCATTAAGGTGAAGGCTGTTGTTCGGCCATCATCACTGCCCTGATGGGCACTGCTTCAGATTCTGTAGTTGAAGAGCATCACACACCAGCCTGGAGAGAAGCTGGTCCAGGCCTTGGAATGCAGGCGTTGGATGTGATGTGTTAGGGCGTGGAAGAAATCCCACAGGCAGTCTGCAGAGTTGAATAACTGCAGCAGGGATCTAGCAAAGAGACCACGGACAGAGAACGAGTGGTCAGGGCCAGCCCAGGGAAAGAAGGACCATCCCAAGGAGGCCTTTGATAGGTGTTGTCTCCACTCCATGCGGCATTTGGGAGGATTGAAGCTTTAGTGTGTGACCTTGAACTAGGCTCTTCCCTGTCTGGGTCTTTAGTTCTCCACTGGTCAAATGACGGATTCCAGTGGGTCAGAGAGCTCCAGATGTACCTCCGCGGCAGGACCGGTCTGGCCCAAACCTTCCTCACCCAGCAGGTGTGGCTTTGCAGTCAGGGTCTGTCTGTAAGATAGAGCACTGCCATGGTATCTAGAAAGTCCCCACACTGTTTGGTTGTGGCCACAATGGAATAACAAAAAGAGCCGCAGTTGGCCGGGCGCGGTGGCTCACGCCTGTAATCCCAGCACTTTGGGAGGCCGAGGCGGGCGGATCACGAGGTCAGGAGATCGAGACCATCCTGGCTAACACGGTGAAACCCCGTCTCTACTAAAAATACAAAAATTAGCCGGGCATGGTGGCGCACGCCTGTAGTCCCAGCTACACGGGAGGCTGAGGCAGGAGAATGGCGTGAACCCGGGAGGCGGAGCTTGCAGTGAGTCGAGATCGCGCCACTGCACTCCAGCCTGGGCGACAGAGCGAAACTCCGTCTCAAAAAAAAAAAAAAAAAGAGCCGCAGATTTGAATACTGTTGCAATGCCTCCTCATTCTTCTTTAGTGGTATGTACTTATTGTTCTGATGTCAAATGCGTCATTTGGGATAGGGAGTGGTATTTATTTTTTCTTTCACTATTTGCTTACAGACATTAAAACTTTGATGTTTGTTTAGGGCTATAAAATAAAGTTTTAATTTTGTGAGTATGAAAACTTTACTGGGCGGGCATGGTGGCTCATGCCTGTGGTCTCAGCACTTTGGGAGCTCTCTTGAGCCCAGGAGTTCGAGACCAGCCTGGGCAACATGGTGAAACCCCGTCTCTACAAAGAATGTGAAAATTAGCTTGGCATGGTGGTATGTTCCTGTAGTGCCAGCCACTTGGGGAGGCTGAGGTGGGAGGATCAGAGGTTGCAGAATCGAGATCATGCCACTGCACTCACTCCAGCCTGGGCAACAAAGTGAGATCCTGTCTCAAAAAACAAACAAACAAAAAACCCCACTTTTCTATGCTGTCTTGTTTTTAGCTTCTCTGTCTCTTTCTCCATCTTTCCCCCATTCTATTTTTTTTTTTTCAGCAAGCGTTTCTGCCGGCTATGTATCTCTAGATTCAAATGTATCATTTATAAAATGGGCTTCATCATACCTCTTCCATGGGCTACCATGTGTGTGAAGTAGGGAGTGTGCCCAGTGTCTTGCACGCAGTGGCTGGACAGTGGATATTATTTTTCCTTCTTCATTTTTATTGCCCCGTCTACATCAGGCCTACATGTCCCTTCGCTGCTGGAGTCTCCTGGGTGCCAATCAGCTGTGAGGTCAGCTGAACAGGACCTTGGGCAGGGAGGGTCTGGATGCCCCGATGTGTTCTTTCTGTCAGAGGACATGATTCTTCAGGGGCTCCATGTAAAACGAGTCCACCTTAAAGCTTCTTCCTGTGTGCCTTAAGCTCTATAGACAAAGATGCTATGGAAACAGAGGGCATTTGGGATGTTATTCGTTGGTGGCAGCTTTAAACACACCACCCTGAGTTGAGAATAATGCAGGTGTCCCCAAATGTGGCTGGCAACCCCTCAGTCACATATTAAAGTCTGCCACAGATCGAGAAAAAAGGCAGACAAGAGGACCCTGCAACCTCTTCTGCTCTCCTGTTAGGTTACTCCGGCTGCTGACCTCTCTCTTTCAGGAGCACTTTCTTTTTGTTGGGGCTAATTCCTGAAGCAATCTTCCCACAGCTCATTTCCCCAGGCTATAAGCAGAGGCTGACCAAGGGGCCCTGTGGTCAGAAGTTATTGCCACAAGCAGGAAGTGGTTAATGCCTTCCATTTACTTTTAGTTGGAAGAGGAAAGGCTGAATCTTTCTTACAATAGGGGCGGGAAATCAACGTGACTCTACCAGTTATTATACCTTCGGGAGGGAAAGCAGAACTCTTTCAGGGCATGAAGGATGACATCTTGAAGCTACTCTGCCACCAACAGAACAAGGACGAGGGGAATTTATTACACATGGCTTGAGTTAGAGTGAATGGGAGATCTCGCTTGACCGATGAAGCCAGTTTCATAACTGGTCTGTGTGCAGTAATTGTAGATGAAGGCAGGAAACTGCTATTCTGTGGTCATTTCAGTGCAGGCATCTGGTGCCATTTTGTATGTCAAATGTTACTTTAAAGATGAACAGGCTAGTAGACAAGAGACATACAAGGATATAGAACAGTTGAATAATCTGATTGATTTCCTTTCATCCCTTGTAGAGTTTACGAATGTCTTTTCTCATATCTGTAAAACTCCAGCAGGTATATGTCAAAAAGAAACCCTTAACAAGTTTCAAAAGTAGAGTTTCTAAAGACCACAGTCTTGATTATAATCTATTAAAAACTGGAAATAAATAATATGAAGCTGAAGTCACCCCCCATTGCTGTCTTGACTGTTTAAAAATTAAACACACACTCCTGTATAATTAACGGATCAAAGAGGGAATCAGAGGGAAATGATAAACTGTCTAGAAAGAAATGAAAAGGAGAACACTTCATACTAAACCTTGTACCATAGCAAAGGAGGTGCCCAGAGAATAACGTATAGCCTTAAATGTCTTCGTTGTTAATGAAGATGAAAACTAAAGATGACAATAAAGTAACTATTTTGAAAAGTTTGGAAAAAGTACAAGTTAAACCAAAGGGAAATAAAGAGAAATATAACAAATAGCTAAATGTAATGAAATAGAAAATAAATGGAAAACATTATGGACATATACACATTTAAATGCCTGTTCTTGGGAAGGACTGAAAATAGAAATTTAACCCTATGTATGATCAGGGAGAAATGTCAGAACAAATATCAGCATTTTCACTCAATGGAAGCAGCCATTAAAATTGTTCTAAAAACATTTGCAAGAGGGTTGAGCGAAATGCTTATGTCAAGGAAAAACAAAAACAATAAAAATGTGTATTATAGTATGATTATAATTATGTGAATACAATCTCCCATCCCTTCCCATCTGCAAGTTCTGAAGAGAATTAAGTCTAAAACAATACATCAAAATACGTGAGTGGGAATGAAGTATTGATTCATGCTAAACAGATGAATCTTGGAGACATTGTGCTAACGTTAGATAGAAGCCAGTCACAAAAGACCTCGTACTGAATGATTCCATTTATACAAAGTATCCAGAATGAGCAAATCTATAGAGACAGAAAATAAATTAATTGTTGCCTCCAGCTGGAGGGGTTGGAGGGTTGCAGAGTGATAGGTCTGGGGTTTCCTCTTGGGGTGATGAAAGCATTCTAAAATTGATCGTATGATAGTTACACGACACTGTGAATATACGAAAAACCATTGAGTTGTCTACTTTAAGTGGTAAGGTATGTGAATTATATCTCAATTAAGTTGCTACAGAAAAAAAGTCACAGTGGTTCTCTGTGATTTTTGGGGGGATAGAAAATAAATCTCTTGGGGGATAGAAATGTCAGTGATTTTCCTCGTTTTCCCACTCCTCTGTGATTTCCAGGTTTTCCAGATATAATTCTGTATTACTTGAATCATGGAAACATTTAGTAGATTAAAAAACATTTTAAAGGAAGAATGAGAATAATCAGCCTTTTACCAGCAAAGACAATGGTGGGAGACCTGCTAGCCTATCTTCTGGGAAGGTGGGGGAGGCCGGCTCCTCTAATCCTCAAATCTGGGACTGGTTTTGGTGGATCGCTCATTTGCCGTCACTTACAAGAGTGTTGGAGGGCCATTCGTCTGCAGGTCATGGAAAATGAAACGTCATTCGTCTGGGAACTCTCAGGGGCAGGACCACATCTCTGGGAAAAGTGGGAGTCCTGTGAAACCTGGGGATGGCAAAAGAGGCAGCTCCTAGTGAAACAGTCTAAGAGGTGTCAGGCTCTGCTGAGTGCTAAATTAGAGAAAGCTGTTACTTATATAACTTCCTGTAATTGCCCGGCAGTAGCTGCAGCTGAGGACAGCCACCCTTTCTTCGTCTCTGCTGAGCGAAGGCTACACGGCCCTTCCTCCTTGCAGCTGTTTCACCTTCTACCTTGCGTGGAGCCAGGCTTTTGCACCGAATCTGAGATGCCATTTTAAACAGAAGACTCCATCCTCTTGAAGATGGGAAATTCTTACGCTGGACAGCTGAAGACGACACGCTTTGAAGAGGTCTTGCACAATTCCATCGAGGCATCCCTGCGGTCCAACAACCTGGTGCCCAGGCCCATCTTTTCCCAGCTGTACCTGGAAGCTGAGCAGCAGCTTGCCGCTCTAGAAGGTGGGAGACGCACGTTGCTTTTATCTGTGTATTTCTTTTATTGTGCGCAGTTAATGTTAGCACCAGAACTTGAAACTCTTTTCTTTATGTAGATAACGTTGAATCTAGCAGAAAAGAATTATTAGAAAAAGAAAACTGGGTACAAGTTCTTACTTTGGCTAAAATGTAAATAAGTTTCAGCCATAAAATTGCAAGAAGTAAAATTATTCATTGAATCAGTAGGAGAAAGGAAGAGGACAAATTGTTCTCAATCGGTTGTTACTTATGCTCTTATTAGAAGGTTTGACATTTTCACTTGGAAAAGCAAGGAATTTTAACATGCTTTTGACCCTCAGCAATATATTCCTTTTCTTTGTCCTGTGATTTGTGGCTATATCTTTGCAAAGTAATAGTAGGTATGAGAACTCTCAGAAACTTTTAAAAACCAAAAGCAAACATTATAAATTTAATATATGCCAAGAATAAACAACTAAATTCTCTTCGGGCATAGGGATGACTTTTTAGAGTTTATTTAATTATGCAGAGATTGAAATGATTGTTTTTTATAGCTGTGTGTTTTCATTTCAGAAGTAACCCCTCAGTGATCCATAGTATGAGATAGCTCTGTTATGGAAGTTCTTTTTGTAAGTTGATGTCTTTGACTTGAAGTTACCCGCAGACTTCTCTTAGTTATTGAAGTGAAAAGGGGCTATACTTTAAAACAAAAATTAATAAACTAGAATTAACGAAGAAAGCACTGAGTGAGCCAGGTCTTGTGCTGGGGTGGTCTTGCTGTGCGTGAGTGTGTATGTGGAAGGGGATGGTTGGGTTGGAGAGAATTGCACCTAGAGAAGAACGAGGTGTGGAGGTGCTTGTCTTCAAGGGGCCCCACACTGAGCTTGTGTGAGATCTGATAGTTGCTTATTCTAGCAGGAGGCATTTCTGTGTCATTGTTTAAAACATCCTTACTAAATTAACCTTGCAAATGGCCCTTCTAAACCCCTGGAAGAACTGGATGTGGGTCTGAGAGAAACTAGACTGTGGTCAAAACCATGCATTAGGAAAACCAAGAATTCGCTGGCATTCACATCAAAAGCACTGATGTTTTCTGGCATGGGAGACGTCACTGTGATTTTATGGGGAGCCGAGAAATGGCTGGAAAGTATTTTATGGACTGTTTTTGGCCAGTTGAAAGACTTTGGTGGAATATGAATTACCTGGTCATCCTCTACATCTATAGTATTGAAGAGCTTTGTGGCTAATTATGGATTAATAATAGTGATATTGATGGTAATGTTTATTTGAATGATACCTTAAAATCCACAAAGTGCTTTCACCTCACAAGCTGAAGTAATTGAATTCTGTGATTTGGGAAGATGGAAGGGTGGCTTGCTGGAAGCTTGAGTGACTGAGCAGCAGTTGCATACTCAGCTTTGGCCAAGCTCTGAGATAAAAAGGGGACAGACAAGGGCTTGAGTAGACTCAGGGCTGCCCACAGCGGGAGAGAGGAGTAGAAAGCCCTTTGAGGATTCCAAATTAGCTTTCCCTCCTGTTGAAAGATCTTGATAGTTGCTTTCTGCCCACCTTTAACTGGGAGGCTGTGTCTGACATTCCGACAGCTCAGGGTGCCCTTATCTGCTGTTGGACATGTGGCACTGTCCAGGGACAGCGCTGAGGCTTAAGCCTTCATTCCTCCGGTGCTGCGGTTGAAGGTTCCCTGCCAGCTGTCAGCCGGCTTGTCCAGCTCCACGTTGGTATGAAAACTGGAACAAGCCCTATGATTTTCCCATTTGTCCGACAAACAGAAGAGAGAAGTCCTCTGAGAGTTTGGTTTTCTAGTGCAGGAAAACAAGGGGGCTGATGGGGCTGGTGGGAAGAGACAGACTCTTTTTGGTTTGCTAAATGTTACCCTAAACCAAGCACTCAGCTAGAGGCCCTGCTTTCTGCATAGTCAAACCTGGTGCAGACAGGCTTATCCAGGCCACATCTCGTAGTGTCTGTTTGTCGGGGTTTCTTATCTCATTGCTGGCCTTCTTCAGACAATGACATTAAAGATGGTTTTTATGACCAGGGTGCTGGTATACTGAACACCCCTTGATCTGTTAACATTTTATGTATTTGTGAGGGGGATTTAACAGGAGTCTTATTACTTTGTTCTTTGAATTAGGGCTGTTAACCTACCACCTCCTTTAGGGGAAAAACCCTTACACATTCTTGATTTTTTTAAAAAAAGAGAGATCAACAAAACAGACACTGTCCAGCATTTTGGGATAAGTATTTATTCATTAAACAGGATGTAGGTAAAATCCTGTAGTCCCACCCACTTAGAATGCCATAGAGTTTCTGCTCATGGAAAGAAAACACAATTGCATGTCAACATTAAAAGCAGTAGCCTTGTACGGAATGGAGGGAAGCGGCGCTCCAGGCCCCTGAGTTCCTGTGTTTTGTTATTAGGATTCTAAGCTCCCAATCCAGTTGGTTTTGTCTAAAGCCATTTTAGAGCTCTCGTCCTGCCAGGAGACCTGGGTAAACACGGCTGGTTTAGTCTGCTCCCGGGCAGGAATGTCCCCTCGAGCTTGTTGCTGGCGGATCTTCCCATCACAGCCCCTGGAATATCTGATGTAGACCTTTGACTTTTAATCCTGCTTTCTTACTGACTGGATTTTGAGCTCTTTCTTTGACCTTTTGAGGCTTACGACCCTTTTCTTTCATGCCTTCTGAGAGTCTGAATTGCCGTTCTTAGCAGCTTGGCAGAATCACATGCAGGCATTCCCGGGTGTGCCCTTGGCTGCGACGGTGCGGGCCTTGGGGGCTGCTGGTTTTAGTTCTCCTGGGATGTGTCTCCCTTATTTCACTGATAGTTGGCATCTGTGCCATCCCCTCTGAGCCTCTGTGGTGCTGGCTTAGAGACCAGAGTCGATTTTGCAGAGTCTTCTGTGTCCGACATGGAGACCTGTACTGCCTTGCTGGCGCCTGGGGTCTGGGCATGACTCTTTACACCTTCTGCTAAAACCACGCCTGCTGTATGTAATGGCAGGAAGAAAGCATCTGAAGCAGGCTCAAGAGTGTGTCTCCCTCCCCACCCCACCTCTGGGTAATCTCTTCACACCTTTCCTACCACTCTGTGTCCTCTAAGCCCAGGAAATCTGAGAGATCAGGAGTTCCTGAGTCACCTCCTGCTGTGACCTTCCCAAAGTCACGCTTCCCACCTGCTGGAAACGTTCAGCTTCTTCTGCCTCTTGTCCCACAAGCCCGTTTGAAATGGTCGCCATTGTGAGGCCATGTTTCCAGTATGCTCTACCGTTTAATCACATCTGGAACTCCCGTGCAGCTCTGAGGGCCACGTTTTTCCACACAGACCATCAGAACTCCAGGTGACCTTAGGGTTTGTCTGGATTAACCACCTCATTTTAAAGATGCAGGATCAGATGCACAGAGAGGTTAAGTAATTTTCCTGCGTCCACATAGGCAGTGGCCCAGGCTAGTATGGAAACTTGAGCTCCCTGATTTCCAGTCCAATCTCTTTCTACTACACATGATTTCATCATTAACCTAGGTTGCTTAGCCCTCTGGATGGATGGACGGTGTTAGAGCCAAGTTAAGTGAGAGTTTGAGACTTGACAGCAAATAAACCAACACTGGAGGAGAAGACAAAGAAATAAGAAGCGGGCCGGGCATGGTGGCTCGTGCCTATAATCTCAGCACTTTGGGAGGCCGAGGCGGGTGGATCACCTGAGATCAGGAGTTTGAGACCAGCCTGGCCAACATGGTGAAACCCCATCTCTACTAAAAATACAAAAATTCGTTGGGCGTAATGGTAGGTGCCTGTAATTCCAGCTACTTGGGAGGCTGAGGCAGGAGAATCGCTTGAACCCGGGAGGCGGAGATTGCAGTGAGCTGAGATCGCACCATTTTACTCCAGTGTGGGTGACAAGAAAGAAACTCCATCTCAAAAAAAAAAAGAAATAAGCGAAGAGTGCCTGTATCCTGGCCCAGTGTGTTTAAGGATGTTCATAATGACCCTGTTCCCTGAAGAACTCTGTATGCTATTTATTAAATGACATTTAAAGATAGAGAAGTTGAGAAAGATTTTTACCCCAAATGTCTAACTTACAAGAAGTTGGCAGGACTAAATTTCAACAGCCTGAGATCCTGCCTTCTCCAGCAGTGCTTAGTGAATAAGGTACGATTCTGTGTACCCAGAGCCACTGGGCTGCCCAACACACAGTCATAATTAGCTTCCTTGTGGGGTGCCTAGAATACAGGGATGAGTGAGGGCACAGATCCTGCCTGCCGGAGCTGAGAGAATTTCATTTCCCTGTAGTGACAGAGTGTGTGTCCAGGGAGTTGCAGGATTTCCATGGCCACCCCTAGGCTCTCCTGACCTGTTCAACAGTGACCATTCCTTCTGAAATATTATTTCACTTATAAAAAGCTTCCTACATTGCTTCTCGGCCTTTTGGCTAAGACCAAGTGTAGTATCTGTTCTTATCAGTTTAAAAAAAGCTTCCTACATCCATACCATACCTGACCCTGTTATAGAATGGCTATTTGTATGTGTGTGTGTTTGTGTGTCTAGTAGTGTTTACATGCATTCTTCCCTTGGGGATATTTTTTTTTTTTTTTTTTTGAGACGGAGTTTTTCTCTTGTTGCCCAGGCTGGAGTGCAGTGGCGTGATCTCGGCTCACTGCAACCTCCACCTCCCAGGTTCAAGCAATTCTCCTGCCTCAGCCTCCTGGGTAGCTGGGATTACAGGCACACACTACCACGCCCAACTAATTTTTTGTATTTTCAGTAGAGACAGGGTTTCATCATGTTGGCCAGGCTGGTCTCGAACTCCTGACCTCAGGTGATCCACCTGCCTCGGCGTCCCAAAGTGCTGGGATTACAGGCTTGAGCCACCGTGCCTGGCCTACAGCACCTGGTATTCCCAGGTGGTCTCCCATCCAAGTGTTAACCAGGCCCGACCCTGCTTAGCTTCTGAGATCAGACGAGATCAGGTGCGTTCAGGGTGGTATGGCCATTGACAATGTGCCGTTTGACAGCTGTCTTGTATTGTGTAAAGCTGTTCATACTACCTATATTTTGTGTCCCAAATGAAGCAGTGCAGGTTAGGGGCAAGAGCATCAGCTTGGGCATCACACAGGACTGGGAACGTGTGGGCCATGCTGCTAGCACATAGTTGAATAGCTGTGGGCCAATTGCTGGATCTCTCTGAACCTCCATTTCCTGTTTTGTAAAATGGTCTTCATATGACACTATGGTACCATCTACACAAATATCTTTGGAACGCTACCATGTCCAGGCATTGCGCTCAGTCCTTATCAACCAATTCGATACATATTAAACCTCTAGTGTACGCGCAGCTGTGACAGATGGAAGAGAAATGAACCTGAATTTGGAGTCATGAGGCCCAGGTCTGTGTGCCGTGTGACCTTGGGTGAGTCATCCAACCCGAGCAAGCCTCAGCTTTTCCCTCCAGTAAAGAAGGTTGATAAAACCCGACTGACAGACTGTTTGTAAGGACAAGTTAATTTCGAACTAGCTAGACGTGCTGAGTGCTTGTTAAGGATGGGTGGAACCCATTCTGGATTAGTCCCATAGGTCCTGGGCTTGTTGAGCCTGAGAATGCAGGCAGAGGAAAGGCCCTGGGGGAAGCTCTGAGGCCAGACAGCAGCTGCCTTGCTCATCACTCTTCTTCCCGCATCTAGGTGGTAGCCGAGTGGACAATGAGGAAGAGGAAGAAGAGGGAGAAGGAGGGCTGGAAACAAATGGCCCCCCAAACCCTTTCCAGCTGCACCCTCTGCCTGAAGGATGCTGTACCACAGACGGTGAGCCTCTGCCAGCTCCTGGCCAGGCAGTGCCTGCCATGCTGCCCGGAGGCAGTGGCCAGGCGGGTGACTGGGCCTGTGACTGTGTGCTGCAGGGGTCCTCTTTGCTCTTCCTCTTTGCTTTCCCTGAGGTGTGAGCCATGCCCCTGGGCCCGCAGCAGGTGCTGGCCCGGCCTGCCCTCCTGAAACAGGAGCTCCAGAGACACCATCCTGGGATGCTAAGGCAGGCCTCTGTGCCACTCTTTGGACAGTCTCAACTTTACCAGTGGCTTGGGAGCCAGACATTCATTTTTCTGTGTTGGTTGCTTGGAACCTAGAATACATTTTCCCTACTCAGGCCTGTTTGCACAGCATATTGAACTCACAAGTGATTAGGAGGAATAATCTTTCTTTCTTTCTTTTTTTTTTTTGACGGAATCTCACTCTGTTGCCCAGGCTGGAGTGCAGTGGTGCAATCTCAGATCACTGCAACCTCCGCCTCCCAGGTTCAAGCAATTCTCCTGCCTCAGCCTCCCAAGTAGCTGGGATTATAGGCACATGCCACCATGCCTGGCTAATTTTTGTATTTTTAGTAGAGATGGGGTTTCACCATGTTGACCAGGCTGGTCTCGAACTCCTGACCTCAGGTGATCCACCCACCTCAGCCTCCCAAAGTGCTGGGATTACAGGCGTGAGCCCCTGGGCCTGGCTGGAATAATCTTTCATACCCATCAGTACGTCAATGTTGAACAGGCAGATACACATAATCTCAGGGACCCTGTACAGTCAGTAATGGTACAGTTTCACTGTTGAGGAACAGAGGCCTGGAGATGCTGGATGGGTGGCAGCTTAGTCCTGTGCTGAGAGCTTGTGCTGTGCACTCAGGCTTGGTGTACACCCCTGACTCTGCCACCCATGAGCCACACGACCTCTTTGCTAGTGAGTTCATCTGTCTGACACCATGTCAGTCAAGTGGGGAGGCCAGTTAGTGGCGAGAACATCAGCTTGGGCATCAGACACAACTGGAACGTGCAGGCCATGCTGCTTAGCAGATAGTTGAATAGCTGCGGGCCAATCACTGCATCTCTCTGAGCCTCTGCTTCCTTATTTGTAAAATGGTTTACATATGACACTATGGTACCCCCTATACAAATATTTCTGGAATGCCTACTATGTTCAGGCATTGTGCTCAGTCCTTAGTTATTTAAGATAACTAACTGGGTATTATTAAATTAAGCAGTAATTGAAGTAATTATTGAACTCTTTGCTCTGGAAATATGGAGATAAATGGGACGAGAGATCCCTGTTTGATGGGAGCTATACAGGAAAGTGGATACTTTGCACACAGTTGGGAGCAAGCAGGGGTGCATGGAGCAGAGGAGGGGCTCTAACGCAGGTAGAGAGTTTTGGGAAGGCTTCCTGGAGGAGGTGGCCCTTTGGGTTTTGGAGGATTAGTACGAGTCAGCCAGGAGACTGTGGAGGGGTTGGAGGAAGCTGGGAAGTTCCAGACAGAGGGAACAGCATGTGCAAAGGCTTAGTGGGTGAAATTACAGCTCATTTGGAGGAACTACTAGCAGATTATTTACGTAGGGGCCTGAGGTGTGGCAGAGCCAGGCTTGGAGGAGTGATGAGACGTGGTGTGAAGGCCCCATGTGTTCTGCCTTGGGGACTGGACTTGACCCTGAGCATGATGACTGGGAGGGGAGGGACTCGGCCCTCGATGGGCTGCTCTTCCAGGCAAGGGGAAGGCAATATGGTGGCTCTTAGTGAGGTAGGACTTATAGTGTCCAAATATTTAAAAGGCCACTGAATTAAATGGTAAGAGGTGAACTCTTCAGCCAGGCATGGTGGCACAAGTAGTCAAGTCCCAGCTACCGGGAGGCTGAGGCAGGAGGATTGCTTGAACCCAGACTTTGAGGCCAGCCTGGGCAACATAGCAAGACCCTATCTCTTAAAAAAATAAATGTTAAGAGGTAGACTCTCCATTGGTCATTAGATTTTCACATAATTTCCAAATAAATACAGTAAACACTGTGACTACTCATGGCCTACATCCCTCCAGCTCTTCAGAAGGCATGGACCACACTGGGCTGGGAGGGACCTAGGTCAGAGAGTTAGGGGACCCCCTGGGGATTGACCTTGACCTCAGGGAATTGACCTCCCTTTCCCAAGCCAATGCAAGGAACTGCCCTGTATTAGTCCATTTTCACACTGCTGATAAAGACATACCCAAGATTGGGCAATTTTCAAAAGAAACTGGTTTCCTAGACCCACAGTTCCACGTGGCTGGGGAGGCCTGACAATCATGGTGGAAGGTGAAAGGCACATCACATGGCAGCAGACAAGACAGGAGAGCTGGTGTGGGGAAACTCCCCTTTTAAAAACCATCAGATCTCATGAGACAAACTCACTATCACAAGAATAGCGTGGGAAAGACCCACCCCCATGATTCAGTTACCTCCCACCGTATCCCTCCCACAATATGTGGGAATTGTGGGAATTACAGTTTAAGATGAGCTGTGGGTGGGGGCACAGCCAGACCATATCATGCCCCAGACCTGGGAGTCAGCTTGGCCTCCCTTCCTGGTCCACCTCTCTGTAGCTTGCAGCAAATCACTCAGCCTCTCTGAGCCTCAGTTTCCCTATCTTCAAAATGGGAACAGCCACACTTTGCTGCAGGTGATGAGATGAGAGCTTTGCAGAGCCTGCCTCACTGGTGCCTGGTGTGTGGTGGTGCTGGCCCCATGCCTGCCAGCGTCTCCCCCACAGGTGTTGCTTTCTCCTGCCCCCGCCCAGGGGCACATGGGAAACCACAGAGCAAATGCATGGTGAGTGGGGAAGCACTGCACTCAGGAGGAAAGTCTTCATGACCTCCTGTAGAGCTCTGCTGGGAAGGCCTTGGCTCGTCAGGACTCCCAGAGAGGTCTCAGTCGGGAGCTAAAGCTACAGGAAGCACAGGAGATGGGGCTGGGTGTGCCCTTACCTGGGACAAGACCCTGGAAAAGCCTTATCCAAATTAGTCTCAGCTGGCTCTCTATTTTACCTTTCCCCTTGCCAGATGTTTGTAGAAATGTATTATTTGAATAGGAAATGTATTTACAAGCTCCAACACGCAAAAGGTTCTGAAGGGCATGGAATGAGAATCCCTGTGCTCTCGGCCGGCTCAGTGCCTGTGTCCTGGCCGCCAGTCCTCCCCATGACCCCCTAGCGGAAACTGACGCTATCAGATTCTCAGCCTTCGTTTTTCATGATGGCCTCTTTCTCATCCCCATAAAATGCAGCATGTAAAAAACATCAGAGGACCCTCAGTTTCTTGTGGATTTATCTTGTTTATGTTTCCGTTTGCCGTCATGTGTTTAAAATTTCTTCCTGTTGAGCTTCATTTGCACATTAATGTGCATCACATGGTGGCACCGATACACAAATAACGTGTGATCTGTGTCGTGGATAACTATGATTATATATATATATATATGAGATGGAGTCTCACTTTGTCACTTAGGCTGGAGTGCAGGGGCACAATCTCAGCTCACTGCAACCTCTGCCTTACGGGTTCAAATGATTCTCCTGCCCCAGCCTGACGAGTAGCTGGGATTGCAGGTGTGTGCCACTACGCCTGGCTAATTTTTGTATTTTTAGTAGATGGGGTTTCACTACATTGGCCAGGCTGGTCTTGAACTCCTGACCTCAAGTGATCCTCCCGACTTGGCTTCCCAAAGTGCTGGGATTACAGGCGTGAGCTACCATGCCCAGCCAACTAAGATTATAGTTCTATCTCTCAGGATTAATTTTGAGGTCAAGCACACCCAGGGGTAAGGGTTTCTCCTGAGCAGACCCAGAACGTTTCCTCCCTTTGCCCCTGTGACCCCGCTTCTGGGAAGCCCTGGGCAGCGTGTGAACCCTGTCCACCCCTCCTAGGGTTTTGCCAGGCCGGGAAGGACCTGCGCCTTGTCTCCATTTCCAACGAGCCCATGGATGTCCCTGCGGGCTTTCTCCTCGTGGGGGTCAAGTCCCCCAGCCTGCCGGACCATCTCCTGGTGTGCGCCGTTGACAAGAGGTTCTTGCCAGATGACAATGGCCACAATGCTCTTCTTGGTAAGTACTGCTTTGTCATCCTCTGTGGCTCCTTCTGCATGGGGTAGAGCAGGGTCAAGGGAGGTCACGGCGGGGGGTGGTGGCAACAGAGGGACCATCTTTGGGACCCCAGGCGCAGCATGCAGCCCTGTTTCTGTTTTTTGGTAGATGAGTTCTTTGTGGAATGGAATGCAAATGAGATGCATTTACAGTATGACTGCATCCCTGCAGAAAGCTCACCATTTAGCATTCATTTTTCATACATTTATTCCTCAAACCTCCTTAAGTGCCTGCTTGTGTCAAGAATGGGTGACAAACCCTGTCCTAGGCAGTCTCAGAAACAGCCTACAGAGGCAGAGGAGAATGAGGCCGAGTGTGTTGCTGCTTCCAGAATGTTCTGTCCTGAAGGACTGCCAGGCACCCTGTATCTGTTTTCCCCTTTGGTTTATCACTCATCTCTCAATACATGGTCTGTTTGTTTGCTTGTTTGTTTGTTTATTTATTTTGAGACAGAGTCTCTCTCTGTCGCCCAGGCTGGAGTGCAGTGTTTACTGTCTCAGCTCACTGCGACCCCCACCTCCTGGGTTCAAGTGATTCTCCTGCCTCAGCCAACCAAATAGCTGGTATTACAGGTGTGCACCACCACATCCGGCTAATTTTTGTATTTTTAGTAGAGATGGGGTTTCACCATGTTGGCCAGGCTGGTCTCGAACTCCTGGCCTCAAGTGATCTGCCCACCTTGGCCTCCCAAAGTCCTGGGATTACAAGCATGAGCCACCACGCCCAGCCAAGAGGTGGTCTTTATTACCCCAGTTTTATAGGTGAGCTTGGATCTGTTAAATTGCTCAAGGCCGCGTGAGTAAAGAGGACAGAGCCAGGATTCAAACCCAAGTCTTCCTGGCTCCAGATTCTACCCGGTACCATCCCACGTGGTCTTGACCATGTTGTGGTCAAGGTCAAGGTGGGGGAGCCACCGTTTTCCCTTCCAGCCACCGGCACCACTAGCCTTTGATCTTTCCAACAACCGCTGGCCCACTAAGGCTCTGAGTGCAGAGCTGAGGCCAGGCCTTGCCAAGCCTGGCTGCCTTTGCTCATATGATGTAATTGAGTTCTTACTGTGTGCCGGGCCATCACTCAGCAGGCTCCCCCATTGTGGAGTAAAATCTAGGGACACCTGAGGTGTGGACTGAGAGCCCGGGGATCTGGGTTCCTGCCCTGCATCTGCCCACAGGTCCCTGTGTATCCCCCTGGGCTTCTGCGTCCTCATCCATGAAGCGGGGAGGTGACTTCCACATGTGCCCTGGCCCTTTGGCAGTCTGTTCTCATCCCGTGACTGTGGGTCCGGCCCCTCCGTCTGGCCTGGCATCTTCTTTGGAGGAAATCTGGGCAGGAGGCAGGATTGGTAATAATCCACTTCAGATGTAGCCTCAGGAACGGTCTTCATGCAGAAGCAAATTTGATTGTGAGAATTTATGGGAAAAACTTCTAAGTTGAAAACCCCCACAATTTCTTACATATTTTCCATGAGTATAGACCTTGAAGCCTCCAGTTTTGCGCTTGATACAGTTCCAAAAGCTGGGAGGATAAACTCACTCCACGGGTAGTTACTGAGCACACTGTATGTCTGAGAAGCTGTGCAAAGGATGAAGAATGGAGAGAGGGGAGAAGAAAACGCAATGGTTCCTGCCACAGAGGCGCTGGGGACACACACGTGTGTGAACTCTGACACGAGGCAGGTGAATGCTCACTCGAGGGACAGCACCACTAGACAGTGATGAAGGAGAGAAAACATTTTGGCCAACTCTTTTGAGGCAGGCTCATGGAGTCACTGTAACTAGTTCTCTAAAACAGAACCATTCCAGAAAACCCACTCTAGCAAAGAAGCTGATGGAATAATTCAATGACAGACTGAACGCTTACGACAGTCGCCCAGGATGAAAGTGAGTACGCGAGGCCATGCCTGGTGGCCACCTTAGCGTTTGATCTGGCGGTGGCCGGGGATTCATCTGGATCCCACCACTTTGTGACTGTAAAGGAATTGCCAGGGTAGTAAATCAAGGAGGCTCTGCCTGTTGGCCCGCAGAGAGGAGGATCTTCCAGTTCCTTCACCACCAGCCCAGTAACAGAGCCAGCTCATCGAGGAGAGGAAGTGTAGGAGCTTTGTTAATTGCTTGCCAGAGCCATCTGAAATGGGTGACAAGGCCTGGTTGGTAATAACCATTGCTTTCTTCTTTTAATAAAATAACTTTATGCTCTCAGCTTGCATACTTAACACTGTTTAGGTTTCCTGCAATTAAGTCTGATGGCTATACAGGACAAGGTGGTCCGCTCCAGCCCTGCAGCGGCAGGGCTCAGTGCTTTTTAGTGATCTATAAAATACAGGCTGGGTAATACCTTGAGGGAAGCAGCAGTATTAGGAGACTTGTTTTTGTGACTTTTAATCAACTCAGGTATTTTATCTGAAAAAGCTGAAAGATTAAAATCTAGGTGTGTGTTTCAGTTTATTGCCCGGTAATTTATCTAAATGGGTTGACAGCTCAGACATAAAAAAGGAAAACATATTCCGCTAGATTGTTTTTTCTTAGATGGGAGTAAACAAATCCTTTGTTCATTCAGCATGCAAAGAATTCAGCATGCATTTACGGAATATATAACGTGAAATGAAAGCCTGGACCTTCAGTTACGTCTAGGGGCTGGGTGGGGGGATGCAGGCACACCAAGAATCAGCCTAGAAGTCCACAACAAACGACTCTGTCAGTAAATCTTACAATACATCCATGTGCGACATGGTCCAGCAGAGACGGTAAGGTGCTCCGGCAATCGGAGGAGCACACCGGCTCCCAGTGAGGATGGGAATGGGAGGATGTGGTATCTGAGTTGGGCCCTGAAAAATGAGTGGAATTCTGCCAATTGGAGAATAACAGCAACAGAAACCAAGCACTAATAGCAGTCGGCACTTTTTGAGCATTTATCGTGTGCCAGAAACTGCACGAAATAAGTTAAAATAGCCAATGCAGTGGGTCTATTATTATCTAGAGTTATATACAGAGATGAAGGCACAGAGAGGCTAACTGACTTGCTCAGGGCCACCCTGCTGTTTGAACCCCGAGGGTCTGGCCCTGGTGCCCAGGTCCTGGAGGATGAAGGGCATCTCAGCAGAGGGACCTCCCTGTACATGACAGCGTGGCACACTGGAGAGGTGGCGAGAGTGCTCTGTGGCTGGAGCGGAGGCTGGTGGAGAGCGTGGCGGGGTGGGGTGCCCAGCTGGGTTCTGCTTGGAAAAGGAGCTATTTTCAAACTATGGAAGTACAGAGTCTCATGGTATGAGGTGATCTAGCCTTCTTTAAAGGTTACCAACACGTGGCCAGTCTTGTTTCATTGATAATGTCCCCCTCTTCTCCCTTTCTGGGATTATTTTGAAACAAATCCCAGACATTGTATCACTTCATCTGTAAATATATCGGCAGGGCATTATCTCTAAAAGATAATGGGGCCAGGTGTGGTGGCTCATGCCTGTAATCCCAGTACTTTGGGAGGCTGCGGGGAGTGGATCACCTGAGGCCAGGAGTTTGAGACTAGCCTGGCCAGCGTGGTGAAACCCTGTCTCTACTAAAAATACAAAAATTAGCTGGCCGTGGTGGCACATGCCTGTAATCCCAGCTACTCGGGAGGCTGAGACAGGAAAATCACTTGAACCTGGGAGGTTGCAGTGAGCTGAGATGAAGCCATTTCACTCCAGTCTAGGCGACAAGAGTGAAACTCCATTAAAAAAAAAAAAAAAAGATAACGGCTTTTCATTAGAAATCCAATACAATTATCATATCTAAAAGATTTAACAGGTATTTAATATTATCAAATATTCAGGGTGTTCGAATTGTTATCTTATACTTTTTTTTTTTTAAAGCAATTGGTGCATTTGTATCAAGATCCAGACAAGGGAGTTCTAAAGCATTTAGTTGCTGTATCTCTTCAATTTTTCTTTATGTGTAGGTCCTTCCTCCCTAGTTTTACCCTTATAATTGATATTTTTAAGGATATTTAGAGTGTTAGATGTTAAATTTAGATGACTGTTTTAATTTGTGTTTTAGGAAGATCTCTTAGAAGTCAGATACACAATTGATTTTTAGGCAAAGGGAGAAACTGAGGCAGAAGAACTAGTTATGAACTTATTGCAGGATTCTAGAGGAGTACGATGGCCTGAGAATTATATGTTTCAAACCTCCCAACATCATACTATTTACCACCCCTGAGTGCTTCATCTTCCGCGGGAACACCTGGGACCCCTGCCCCACTTCCTGTCTCACCTGGAATCCTGGTACGGCTCCTTAGGCTTCCCCAACACAAGGAGGTCATTTCTACACTTGAGCTGGGGTTTGGCCAAAATACCAAGGCAGGGGCTCTGGATATATATATATATAAAACGTTGTTTTCCTTTCCCATGGTCTTTTCCTTTCTCCATCAAGGTGGGGATTTAAAATAATGTTCCCCAGGTTTTGTTTTTTCTTTTTTTCAATTAATATGGCACACAATGAGCCAAAGATGATCTTATTTTTGTCCCAAGTAACTGTTTATTTTCAGGCACGGGGAGGGTGGTCATTAGTTGCTAGGTATAGTGTGTGCTCGTCTGAGCTCATGAGCTTTCAAGGCTCATTATTTGGAAGGAACATAGAGTTGCTGTTCAGGCCCAATTTAAATCCCACTTGCCAGGATGTCTTCCTGGAATTGCCTTCCTAAATTACTCCTGCTGTTTCCTCATTCTTCTCTGCAGCACACTGTGCTGGAACAGCCAGTCCCATCTTGGCAGAGAAGTACTTCCTGCCTTGGGGCTGCAGGTTTGCCATCTATAAAGGGGATAAAGATGTACGCGGTACCTGACTGCGGTTTTGAGGATAACTCCGCTCTTTATATGATGATCTTTATAAACTCGAAAATGCTGCCCAAATTTGAGGAACTACTGTCGTTGCTACCGGTACTTCTGCCTCAATCATGGGATTATTTAATTGTGTCTGTTCCTTCTTCCTAACAGGGACCATTTCTTTTTTTAACCAAAAACAATACCCAATTAATGAACCATGCATTTTTTTTTTCTTTTTGAGACGGAGTCTCGCTCTGTCTCCCAGGCTGGAGTGCAGTGGCGCGATGTCGGCTCACTGCAAGCTCCACCTCCTGGGTTCACGCCATTCTCCTGCCTCAGCCTCCTGAGTAGCTGGGACTACAGGCGCCCACCACCACACCCAGCTAATTTTTTTGTATTTTTAGTAGAGACAGGGTTTCACTGTGTTAGCCAGGATGGTCTGGATCTCCTGACCTCCTGCTCCGCCTGCCTGCGCCTCCCAAAGTGCTGGGATTACAGGCGTGAGCCACCACGCCCAGCCGAACCATGCATTTTTAATCTATGTCTTGCCCAGAGCATGTGGTTTGTTTCCTATCAGATTTTCTTTCTAAACATATTTGTGCATAAAAGTATTTGTCAGATTTGCATTTTTTCATGGAGGGTTGATGACTAGGGCCAAGTGGCCCTCTGCGCAGGGACAGTGGCCTAGAGTAAGGCCCTTCTGAGCATCCACTCTCCTGGGAAGGCACTGGATGGAGGCATCAGGCCTGGGGGACAGGTCTGTGGCTCCCAGCTCTGGTGCAGTGGCTGTCAGCGAGATCTGCTTGGACTGTGGTTCTAGAAGAAAGGTCAGGTGCAGGTGGGCTTCTAGAGGCATCCCTGAGGTTTTGTGGGAGGACTCCTCTCTGCAGAGGGAGTGGCCCCAGCAGTAAACCTGGGCCATCTCCAGCCTGCTATGAGCCAAGTGCTCAGAGACCACTGGGTCTGAAGGAAGCCACCTATGGATGCTTCCAAGAAGAATCATGTCACTTTGGTCCTAGAAGGAGGCATAGGGCCGATTTAGTCATAGCCTTCCCTTTGATGGTTGGAACATGGAAACCCAGAGAAATGGAGCTGCTTCCTCCACATCTCACACTGTTGTGGGGGGCTATATATTTGCTCCCCTAGGGCCACATGTGAGTGTCATGACCCCCACTGTGCTCTCTCCTTCCTAATACACTTAGTCCAGGGTAGAGGAAGGAGGGATGCTTGCAGAGTGCCCCTGACATGTTAGATATCTCGTAGGCACTTAACCCGCATAGTGCTCCTACAAGGTGGGTTTTTGGGAGGAGATGGGTTCAAATCCTAACTCCAGCACTTTCTACCCTGTAGCCGTGGCTTGGTCACCCTGTACCATGGATGGGTTTCTGTTTCTCCCTCTGCCTTGCTGTTTTCATCTGTAAACTGGGACACTGCTACTGATTGTTTTGTTGGGCTTCATGAGGTTTAAATGAGAACGTTTATAATGTGCTTGGCACAGTGCCTGGCCCATGATAGGTGCACTATGAAGCCGCTGTTGTCGGCTTGTTGACAGACGGGGAAAGCAAAGCTCAGAGGTGTTAGTTACCTGCCTCACATCACCTAACTGTAGTTAGGATTTGAACCCAGGCCCCTCAGACATCCAGGCTTATGCACACTCCCTTGCAGGGGCTGGGGGAGTGGATGTAGTTGTCCTCTCAGCAGAAGGGGAGAGGCTTCCTCAGTGGCCAGCACACATAGCCGCCCAGGACGTGCTTGTTAAACAAATGCTACCTGCAGCTGCTGAACTAGACACAGGAAAATCACAGGGTGTGGCTGTGCGTGGTGACAAGAGTCGTGTTTAAGATGGACTGTTTTCCATGGTGAGGACACTGAAGGAAGAATTTCGATTCTGGATATCCACACCCGGCAGGAATTTGAGATTTCAGGCAGGATCCCATGCTTTCTAAGCCTATCATGTAAAGAAAACTTTCTAGACTTTCAAGTCCTAAGGTAGATTTCTGAAGAGAACGGCTCATTATTTTCCTCTTTCTCATGAACATTTTTGTTGCCTTTCCCATACCTTCTTGGAGGGTTGGCATTTCCGGTCTCTCCCAGGGCCGGTTGGGAAGCTGTCTGTGGTTTTCTTGGTTGGCCTCTGTGGCTATCTCTCCAAGACACCTCACAGAAGAGCAGCTGGGTCTCCTGACCAGAAAGTTTTTGCCAAAGCAGAAAAGCAGTTTGCTTGCTGAGTCCCTAAATGTTTCCTGTACCAGCAAGACCCAGGGTGTCCACCCTCATTTCTGAATCACAAAGGGCTCCCTGTGCTTCCCATCCCAGCGGAGGAGATGGAGACGGCCTCTGCAGCACAGCGACGGTCCCCAGCCCGTGTTTCTTATGGGACAGAGGCCTGTAACCTGCTTAGCTGTCTCTGGAGAGGTTTGACAGCCTGGCCTTGGCAAGTTGCTCTTAGTTTCTTGCAGTTCTGTTTCCTGTTCATCCATCTTTTTAACACCAGGCTTAGAAGCCCTTCCAGGGAGCTCTGAAGGTTTCTTCGGGCCTTGTTCTTAGGCAGCAGTTGAGCTGGGTTTATCTCAAGCGTCCCTAAGTTGGAGGTGAAGGAATAAACAAAGACATGAGGTTATTCCTTCAGAGTGCTTACAGAAACCCTAACAGGCTGTGTTTACAGTTACCCTGTTTCCTCTCTTCTTTCTTCCCTCTCGATGTTAACCGGCTGCCTGCCACGTGTTGGGTATTAGTCAGTACCTGTACACTGGCACACACACAGCTCACACGTGCAGTCATGCTGCGAGCTTAGAGGAATAATGATGGGAAAAAGACACAAATTTCAATCACTGGGATGTTCAGAGGCCCCTGAGCTACAGGAAGAGTCTGGAAGAAAGTGCCAGCCAGCCTTTGGGTCACAGAAGGCTCTTGGGAATAGGCGTCGGAGCAGGATGTTGAGTGAGGGCTGGAGGTGTACAGGTGGGGCCCCCAGAGGAAAGGATGAGCCTGTGGGTGGAGGGCAGTGGGAGCGGGCTGGGTTGAAAGGCAGGGGAGTCCAGCTGGGAATTAGCATATCAGAGGAAGGACAGGAATAAAGCTGGAGATGAAGGCTAGGGGGCATTGGGGCAGCCTCGGATGCCAGGCCTGTGGGTGAGAACATCATCCTCAGGCTGGAGTTGAATGCCACACTTTCTGTACCTATGGATTTGAACAATTGGCCTCTCTGGTTCTCTGATTTCACAAAGAAGGACTTGCCCTCCAGGTTGACTGGCTCCTGTGTCACTTGTGGGTTGAGATGAATGACAAGAATGGCCCTGGTTCCCTGTGAGTGTTAGTTCCCTGCCTGTCCCATGGAAAGCGAGCACATGGAGAGGACAGTATTTCATGCCAGGACCTTACTGTTTGTGCTGGCACAGAGGGAATAGGACTGTGGAAGGTAAACTATCCTGTAACTGTCCTATGGCGAGGCCAAGAGATCTGTCCTTATTTCTAACGCCTTTTGAGAAAGACTAGATGTGCTCAAAGTAGATCAGGGAGTCCTGTAGGCCTCTGTAATGTAGATGTCTTATTTATCTGTGGAGATGTTTTTAACCTTCACTAACTGGAGTTATTCTGAACACTAGCCAGAGACCTTAGGGAAACTGTTTTAGAGCAGAGTTACACACAGAGCCGGGTGGCCCTCACGGCCTAAGGCACGATGACCTTTGTAGACTTATCAAATGGAGAATATGATACATGAGTCTTAGCTTCAGCATCTCCCCAGCCAAAGACCTTTGAGCCCAAAGAAACCAGACATACCAGTGGGTGAAACAAGGCCGTCTTAAGATCGTTTAAATAAGAGCAGTCAGCCTGGGCAGAAGCCCAGTCTTCACATTTCTCATCTTAACCAACGCTCCCAATGCCTATGGTCTGAATAGGCTTTACAGTGTATGAAGGTCTTTTCAAGCACATTCTCTGGATTTTAATAGCTTCCAGGAGGTGGTTTGGTTGTTGCCACTGCGTAGGAAGCCTGCTTAGAGTCTCACAGCTGATGGAAGCCTCCATCACCTCCCAGAAAGTCAGTTGTAGGCCTGGTGCAGAGGCCAGCAGCAGCAAGATAGTCACATTCTAGCAGAGTGTCTCCATCCACTGGCTGCTAAGCCACGGAATTCACTCACCAGCATGCTGGCCAGATATTGTGAAGCGCTCCTGATTTCTTTTCAGAAACTCACGGGATCAACTTGATAGCAGGATGGAATTTTGGACTCTTAGGAGGTCTCCCAGTGTAGCCCATCTCACTAGTCACATTGCTTTGAGAGTCTGTAACTAACCCACCCCCACGGAAATAAGAGCCTGTCGCATCATTTCAGGTGCCTGATCTGTGTAGACAGTGGAATGGGATGGCTCTTGTCTTGCAAAGTTTGCTCTCTACATAGGTGTTTAAGTGGGCCCTCAAGCACGTTAAATCTTCCAAGTTTGCCCAGGCCCATCTCTATCACTAAGTCTTCCTGGTCCTCTTTCATTCGAGTTGAGGCCGTCTTCACCTCTGGGCTAGTCTAAGAGGGTGGGGTGCTTGCCTTGTGGCGTTCTCTGGCTGGTGGTGCAGGAAGTGAACCTTCAGAGTTTGGATGAACTCTGTCTTATTTGAAAAGGACCAGCCTGGCCAACATGGTGAAACCCCGTCTCTACTAAAAAATACAAAACAATCAGCTAGGCACGGTGGCAGATGCCTGTAATCCCAGCTATTCAGGAGGCTGAAGCAGGAGAATCACTTGAACCTGGGAGATAGAGGTTGCAGCGAGCCGAGATCGCACCATTGCATTCCAGCCTAGATGACAAGAACGAGACTTCATCTCAAAAAAAAAAAAAGAAAGATGTTTATGGTTTACTTCCTTCTCCAGGTTTCTCTGGGAATTGTGTTGGCTGTGGAAAGAAAGGCTTCTGTTACTTCACGGAATTCTCCAATCATATAAATCTGAAACTGACCACTCAACCCAAGAAGCAGAAACACTTGAAGTATTACCTGGTCCGTAATGCACAAGGGACTCTAACCAAAGGACCTTTAATCTGTTGGAAAGGCTCAGGTGAGCAGGTTGGCTGTGGAGGAGGTATGGGAGTGCTGGGCCCCCAAGTGGGCCGTGGTGCCTGTCGGTGTGATGCTGGGGAGAGGCCCCTGCATAGCAGCACACATCACGGGCAAAAGGCCAGGCCTATGAAATGGAAAATGCTCCTTTGCGTTACGGGCGTTAAGCTGGTTGACAGTGACAGTCTAATTGGATGGGATGTTTAAAAGTCGACAGAGGGCCAGTTGTGGTGGCTCACGCCTGTAATCCCAGCACTTAGGGAGGCTGAGGTGAGGGGATCACTTGAGGTCAGGAGTTCAAGACCAGCCTGGCCAACACAGTGACACCCTTCTCTACTGAAAATACAAAAGTTAGCCGGCCATGGTGGTGCCCGCCTGTAATCCCAGCTACTCGGGAGGCTGAGGCAGGAGAATCACTTGAACCTGGGAGGTGGAGGTTGCAGTGAGCTGAGATGGTGCCACTGCACTCCAGCCTGGGCAGCAGAGCACGACTCCATCTCAAAACAAACAAACAAACAAACGAACAAAAAAAAAACGTTGACAGAGGGCCAGAGTGTGCATTACCTCCTATGGCAAGTATTTGGGGCAGTGGTTCTCATCTCCCCAGATTGAGTGGTTCATCCAAGTGATCCTCAACCATGGGTGACTTTTGTCCCCTAGGGAACGTGTGGCCATAACTCAAGACAAGTTTGATTGTCATGACTGGATGGTGCCACCAGCATCTGGGGTAGGGACCAGGGTATGGCCGAATATTCTGCAGTGCACAGGACGGCCCCGAGCACAAAGAAGCCCCCTGCAAATGTCACTGGTGCCAAGGCTGAGAACCTGACTTAAGACAGCTTGGCTTGAACAATGCCCCACCCAAGCCCCTGAACCCTAAACTATGGCCAGAAAGACCAGCTTCACGTTGCTGGTCTCTGAAGAAGTGATTGGGATGCAGCTTTCAGAAATGTTGGGAGCAGGCTGCCCTCCCACCCTTCTTTGTCTCAGCTTTGCCCTTCATGGCCACAGTCAGCAACGCAGGGTGAGGAGGAGGCTGGATCCTCAGCGGCCTGCCATGGGTGGAGGGCAAGTCTGGGGTGTGAGGTGTCCCTCCCTTGTCTGTGTTTGTTCCCATCTTGTCTTCCGGACGCTCCCGGGCAGGTCCTGGGAGTAGAAGGAAGAGGCCTTAGGCTGGGTGGCTCTGGGCACGCCCCCCTCACACCCGACTCTTCCTTCCTCTCTGCTTTTCTTGTTTTGTTCAGTAAATGCCTCCTGAGCCCCTACTACTTGCCAGTCATTTCTCAGGCCCAGAGGCTGCAGTGGTTCTGCCCCGTGTGGGACCAGTTCACCGTCTTTGATCACCTGCTGGGTCCAAGCACCTCAGAGGTTCCCCACCTCACTGGCCGCTGGGGATGGCCTTTCCCAGAGGAGGAAATAAGGGTGGAAGATGGTATCATTTCTTTATCTTCAAGTAACACTCTCGTCTATGGCTACGGGTAGCTGTAGGGTGACTTATTTGTGTAATTTTTCCCTTTCTTCTAAATACTCACCATTGCTCCCACTCTTGACAACCAGAGCTGCCCCTTGGCACGTAGCCACAAGTAGAGAGTCGCACCCCTGCCCTGGCTTCACGCTGAAACAAAGACCAGGATGTGGTGGCAGCTTGTGTGGCTGTCTCCATAGCTCACTGTCCTGTAGGACACGTTCCACTCCAGGAACTCATTTCGTAGTTGTTGGAGAAGAGCGAGTTGGTTTTCACGTGTGCACCTTGCCCCCTTAGAGTTTAGAAGCCGGCAGATCCCCGCCAGTACTTGTTCCAGTTCCCTCTTCCCAGCCCTGGAGAGCACGGCTGCCTTCCCCAGCGAGCCCGTTCCTGGGACGAACCCCAGCATCCTGATGGGAGCTCAGCAGGCAGGTGAGGTGGTGGAGACACACCAGAGCTGCTAAACCCACAGAGCTGGCACTGTCTCCGATGTGTCCGGTTGACTATGCCGTCAAGCATTCTTCAAAATAAATCAGGGGGCTGTTATCTTTTTCTATAACACCTTTACTTTCATCTTGAATTTGTAATACTTTTCAACAAAGAATGCTAGGTTTTTCATTGGGAGTTTCTTTCTTCCTGTTTGATATGAAGTGGGATCCCCTGGTGGGGACATATGCAGGATCCCTCTGCAGCACCCCCCACCCCAACCCCCGCACAGCATAGAGCTCTCTATGTAAAGATGCTGAGTCAGGGTTTGAATGAATTGCTAGAAGGGGTGGAAAAGACCAGATTGCTGCCATTCACCCCGTGCTCAGCACTCCCCAGCTCCATGAATGCCTTGAAGTCCAACAACCACGCTGTGAGCAGGCGTCAGTTTCCACATTTTACTGATTGGGAAGGTGAGGCTCATTGAGGCTGGGTGCTTGCCTAGGACCTCGTGGGCCGGAGGAGGTGGAGGCAAGAGGTGACATTAGATGTGAACCCTGACGTACATGCTTGGCACTTCACCATGTTGCACAGACTTCCTAAGCATGGCGATTGTTATCACGGTGGACACCAGCCTTCCCGAGGACGCAGGAAGGTCGCTGGTTGTTTTCATGCCTCCTGCCCAGAGGGTCTGTAGAGGCACATTGGCCCTGGGAGGGAGCCAGTGCCCTTGTACCCACCTGGCCCATCCATCGCCTGGGCAGGGGACTGGGATGTACTCTCCTCCAGAGGCCCAGAGCTCCTCACTGCTTCCCCATGCCCAGGCCCCCAGTGCCTCTGCCATCATGGCCTGGAGAGCCTGCTGTTTTTGCTGTCAGGGTGCCTGGGTGTAAGCTCCAGTGCTGCTACCTTTTAGCTGAGTGATTTGGGGCAACTCAAAACCTCTGAACCTCCATTTCCTCATCTGTAAAGTTGGGCAAATCTCTTCTGTCTAATTTGTAGGGCAATTGTAAGAATTAAATAAGGCGATAGTATGAGCAAGTACTCCAAGCGTGTTACACACCAGGCACTGTTCCAGGCACTTTCTTCTGCTAACTCATGTCATTCTCACAGTGGCTCTGAGTTGCTACAGTGACCACCCCCATTTTCTAGATGAGAACACTGAGGCATAGGGAGGTTAAGTAAGTGTCCAGGGTTACACAGCTGGGAGGTGGTGGAACTGGCTCAAACACATGTCATCTGGCTTCAGAGCCAGCCTCTTAAACCCACAGGAAACATTCAGTGCTACTCCTGACCCGAGCTCTTTCCAGACCATTCTGGCTGACATGAGCAACTTAAGCAGTTCCGTCAGCCCCAGGAGACCAGAAGCCATGATTGTCCCCAGAATTACCCTTAGACCTGGGGAGTCCTGGGCCCTATGAACAGCCTGCGCCCAGGTAGCTGCAAACCCGACTGCTCTCCTGGACTCCAGATGTATTAGTCCATTTTCATACTGCTATGAAGACATTCCCAAGACTGAGTAATTTATAAAGAAAGTGGTTTAATGGACTCACAGTTCTACATGGCTGTGGAGGCCTCACAATCATGGCAAAAGGCAAAGGAGAAGCAAAGGCACGTCTTACATGATGGCAGTCAAGAGAGCATGTGCAGGGGAACTGCCCTTTATAAAACCATCAGGTCTCGTGAGACTTCTTCACTATCACGAGAACAGTATGGGGGAAACCACCCCCATGATTCAATTACCTCCCGCCAGGTCCCTCCCACGACACAGGGGGATTATGGGAGCTGCAATTCAAAGTGGAATTTGGGCGGGGACACAGCCAAACCGTATCAACCAGAGGTCTTGAGAGAGAAGGTAGAAGGAAGCAGAACAGTTTCAGGTGTGGTCCTGGAATTCAGGAAGTCCCCCGGTCCTTCTTTAACTCAGGCTGTGTGTCCAATGGGGTGTGAGCAGGAGGGTGCATGTTCCTGGGAGTGCATGTATATAGGCATGTGTTTGTGCATGTGTATGTGTGTACATGTTTGTGCATGTGTATCCTTGTGTGTAGGCAGAAGTGTGTATGTGTGTACACGTGCATGGGGGTGTGTGTGTGTATGCATGTGTCTGCATGTATCTTCTCAGTGTAGCAGAATCACTGTTGGGCATTCTGACCTCCTGATGAGACTTGCTGGGGAAAAGCTAGTTTGTGAAACTGCAAGGAAAATGATTTCCTCCTTGCCTGGCTCCCAGGGCATTCTTGTGAACTGACCCTCCTCTTTGCCTTCTATCTGTTTTCAGGACCAGCTTCTGATCACCCCTCACTAAACGCAGCAATGGGTCCGGCTGTTTTCAACGGCAAAGATTCCCCGAAGTGCCAACAACTGGCAAAGAATAACCTGTTGGCCCTGCCGCGACCATCGGCTTTAGGTAGCTCTGCCTGTCCTGGCCGTCCTGGGGATCCTGCTCTTCTTTGGGCCAAGGCCAGAGGGGGCATGGGAGCTGCTGGGCTGGGGCCGCTGAGCCTCCTGGAGTCTGATGTGGCTTCCATGAGAGTCAGGCCAGGACCACAGGTGCCTCCTGAGTCCGTGGGTCTGGGCCCAGGCCCTGGTGCTCTATGAGTGACACTTGGGAGTTACCGTATGTGCCAAGGAGCAGTGAGACACCTGTGGTAATGGCGAGTGACCTGTCCTATGGGCTGCACAGCTGGAGGATGGTAGAATTTTGGAGCAATAGTGGGCAGTGTGTTGTTGGGGAAGAACATGGGCTTCTGAATCAGAAAAATATGAATTCAAAACCTACCGCTGTCTCTTGTTAGTCAGGGGACCTTGGCCAAGTCTCAATAAATGTTTCTTCATCTGGAGATGAGAATTCTGCTCCAAGGGTTGTTAAGAGGGATGAGGTGCTGTATGAAAGGTCAGAGCACATCTGGCAGCTCACTAATCGGTACCGGCTGTTCTCATCCAAATCAGCCTCATTGCTGAGGCTCGTCTGCTCAGGGAAGGCTTCCTGGAGGAGGTGATAACTGAGCTGCAACTTAGAAGCTGGGGAAGCATCATGTAGAGATGGAAAGGGACAAAGGGAGCAAAGAGGGAATGAGGAGGTGAGGATATGGATGAGAGGGGTGAGTGAAGGGGCTGAGCAGACCTCCTGCCAGAGGAGGGTTTGAGGGAGCTGTGAACGGGCGGAGCAACCTGGGGACCTGCTCGTGGACTCCCAGTCCAGTGCTCTCCCCACCATGCTCATCTGGAGCCACATCATAAGCCATTCTCGTCTTTCTTTCCTCCATCATGCACTCAGCTAAATTGGATTTGAAGATCTAAGACATCAAACTGGAGGAGCCCTTAGAAACCATCTAGGCCAGCGCTGTTTTACAGAGGAGGAGACAGAGGTCCAGAGAGGCAAGGCAGGTCTCCATGCTCCCACTCCACTGTGCTGGTGGAGGATCTCCCTGGTGAAAATCTTGTGAATTGTCTAACTCTTCACTGAAGGGGCAAAGGTAGTTTCTGAACAGAATCCGAGGCCTCCCAACCAGCACCTCCATCCTGGAGTCCGAAACCCACAGCAGCCAAGACCCAGGCAGTAGCTGAGTCCCGTCCTCCGCAGCAGCCTAGCCCCAGGCAGCCTCTGCTTTCATCCAGGGACTGCTGCTTCTCTGCCGGTGCTGCATTTGGGGGCAACCCTGTGGCTGCAGAGCTGGACCTCTGGGGATGAGGATGCTGGGGATGCCACGCTGCTGCGGCCTCCCTTCTGGGCTGTCTGTGGACCCCCAGCCTCCACCCTGAACAGCAGGGAGATGAGGGCCTCCTTCAGCCCGGGAACCTGGGAAGGTGGCCTTGGGAAGCCTTCTGTGTGGGACTGACTGTATTTTCCTTGCCATGCTCCGTGGAGGGGTGTGGGAGATGGAGCTCCTCCAAATTGCCTAGGGGAACACGAGCCGTTCCAGAATCTGGCTCCAGCCCACCTGCCGAACCTCATTCCCTGCTATTTTGGCTACCCTGGGCAGTTGAGCTCCCCCACCCCCATGGCCCCATCCTCCTGTCTCCATGCTCTGTGCCTGCGTCCCGGCTCTGGGCTGCTCTCTCCACCCGCCTATTAAATCGCCTTTCTGAGGTTAGTTCAGGGGGCACCTGCTCTGTGCAGGAGGGCCCCCTGTGAGCTCACGGGGCTCCCAGCCGTCCCAGGCTCAGTCCCGCAGCCACATGTGGCCATCGGGGCCTCGGCGCTGTGCAGTTCCCGAGGGCAGCGCCTTGGTCATGTGCATCTTGGAGCCGCTGGTACCAGCTGCTGGGGAGCTCCGCCAGAGGGCATGACGCTGGCTGGGTTGAGTTGCGTTGAGCACAGCTGAAGTGTCGGAGTTCCTGGGCCTTCTCCTCTGCTCTGGGGAGAGAGCTCAAAATCAATTTTTAAGAAACTGCGTCTAATACCACATGGAGTTTACTGAAGCCTAGAGTCCTGTCACTCACTGGTTCGCAATGGAGAAGTGCTGCCCCCTGGGGGCGGGGGTAGGAAATGTTCTGGTAAAGGATGGATTTGTTGTCCCAGGCCCAGGGTCTTACTGGCATTTGGTGCTGGGACAGAGCGGGCAGGATGCACAATGTCCCGCACCAAACAGGCTACATAATGAGTCATCTCCAAAAAATGCCAAATAGTACCTCCCCAAGAGACATTTTGAGAAATAGTTGATCCACATTGGTACCATGGGAGCAGTTCCTGGTGACATCATTTGGGAAGAGCTCACGGGCTTAGGGTCTATTTAGAACTATTTATAGGGTTATCTTCCCAAAGTGAGAAAACATCTGCGTCTCTTCAATCCTTACTGAGATCCAATTCCAAGCCCTGTCCCCTTTGGTCGTTCAGTAGAGCTTTTAGAGGAGCTGGCTGCTTAGCCTCTGTGGGGGGTCTCCCATCGCAATTGGGGACAGATGTTTGCAGAGTCTAAGGCCTCATCCCTGCAAACAGGAAGGAGGAAAGCAGCAGCTGCGTCAGTGGTTGTTGGGAGGGCCAAAGGAGCCCACGGCTTTGAAAGCTCTTTGTAAACAAAGTACTTTATGCTTTTAACTTTTTGTTTACTTTCAGTCAGTCAAATGAAGTGATAATTTTTTTTTTGTTTACTCTTGAGAGACTCTAAAGCAATGATTCTCACCCTGCAGCGTGCTTAAAAATTACCAGGCTGGTCGGGTGCATTGGCTCACACCTATAATCTCGGCACTTTGGGAGGCTGAGCAGGCGGATCACCTGAGGTCAGGAGTTTGAGACCAGCCTGACCAACACGGTGAAACCCTGTCTCTACTAAAAATACAAAAATTGGCCGGGTGTGGTGGTGCGCGCTTGTAATCCCAGCTACTCGGGAGACTGAGGCAGGAGAATCGCTTGAACTCAGGAGGCAGAGGTTGCAGTGAGCTGAGGCCGCGCCACTGCACTCCAGCCTGGGCAACAAGAGCGAGACTCTGTCTCGAAAAAAAAAATCACCAGGCTGGCTTACAAAGGATGGTGTTTTTTTACTGTCGTTTCCAGAGATGTGATTCTGGAGGTCAAGGCAGGGCCCAGGGACACACAGGTTTAATAGGCCCATGGGGGTTCTGTGCAGTGCCTCGGGTCACACCTGGAGAACCGTTGCTCTGATTGGTATTTCTCCACCCGGGCTGTGCGTTAGAATCAAGAAGAAGCGTTGAGATATTGGGATGCCTGGGTCCTGCTCCCATGCTGGGCTTCTGGTTTACTTGGGATGAGATTGCATCCAGACAGAGTTTTAAAAGTTTCCCGGTTGAGTTTAATGTACAGTTGAAGTTGAGACATGAATCTCTGCATGTAGGGGAAATTTTGTGTCTGGTTAGTCAAGAAACTATGGAAACCAATTCTTGATATTTTGAACCATTCACGAAGATAGTTTGAGTCATGAGCATGCTGTTGTCTAGAGTGGGCGGGGATGACTCATTGGAGTGGATGCGCTGCTCTGTACTTGATTTTTTTGAGTCTGAAATTAGCTTTCCAGGCTGGGGCAGGGAGGGGAGCACAGGTGGATCAGTACTGCCCCCAAGCGGTGGAGCTGTGGTGGTGGATCAAATACTGCTGCCGCCTGTCTGCACAAACATATTTCTCTCTTCCAGCCCTTCAGAAGTGTATTGGAATATGTCGATAACAATAATGATGGTAGTGAAGATGATGATGATGTGGGTAATTCTGGCTACCTTATTGGGTCCAAGCTCCCCACAATTCGTTGCACAAAGCACTCTACATACATTCTCTTTAGTCCTGATCAAACCACCTTTCAGAGTAGGATTTAGTGTCCTATTTTAAAGATGAAGGAGCTCGGGCTCAGAGAGAGATCGTTTAGACACACACACAACTTTGGAATGAAACATTTACAGCCGGGCGCGGTGGCGCGTGCCTGTAGTCCCAGCTACTTGGGAGGCTGAGGCTGGAGGATCGCTTGAGTCCAGGAGTTCTGGGCTGTAGTGCGCTATGCCGATCGGGTGTCCGCACTAAGTTTGGCATCAATATGGTGACCTCCCGGGAGTGGAGGACCACCAGGTTGCCTAAGGAGGGGTGAACCGGTCCAGGTCGGAATGAAACATTTACAAAAATTGACATTTCCTTATGCATAGATATTTCACTAGGTCCTTAAAACCCACGTGAATCTGTGATTAGAAAAAAAAAAACAAAACAAAACAGATCATTGTTCTCCAAACCAAGGGTAAATTTTATTGGAGCCCTGTCCTGGTGATAGCCTAATCCACACTCTGAATATTGTCTAGGTATCTTGTCAAACTCCGGGCCCCCCAAAAAACGCCACAAAGGGTGGTCTCCAGAATCTCCATCAGCTCCAGATGGTGGCTGCCCCCAAGGTGGTGGGAACAGAGCTAAGTATGGTAAGTGATGGCAGCCTTGCCCAGAATTCCAGACTTGGGTACTGGTGGTAGTGCTGCTGCCAGTTGTGTGTATGTGTGCGTGTGTGCGTGCGCACGAGTGTGAATGTGCGTGTGTACTGATGAGGGAGTTCTAAGGAGGCAGAGTTTGGTGTGACAAAAGACCTCTTTCTCACATGTTAAAATTGCTTTGCAAGGTCTAGGATCCGTGTATGATAGTGAGTTCTCTGATCCTTGAGAAATTTTAAAAGGGGCTATTTATGACTTGGCAGGGATATCGAAGAGGAGACTGAACTACTGGGGGAAGGATGGGCGGAATGAACTTAAAGGTGCCGTTGACCTTAGGAATCTGTGACTCTAAGAGTTTGGTGCTCCTGTAATCAGGGACGTTGGTCAGAGGGTAGCAGATTTGCTGGCTGGCCTGATGTCAGGTATGTGAGAGGTGGATGCCTTGTCTGATGTTTTCACTAATATTCTTGGGTGTTCCTAGAGAGCGCAGGCATGTCCTGCGTGCCGCAGGTTGGCTTGGTGGGACCAGCTTCAGTCACCTTTCCAGTGGTGGCCTCTGGAGAACCAGTGTCTGTTCCTGACAACTTGCTGAAAATATGCAAGGCCAAGCCAGTGATATTTAAAGGCAAGTACAGCAGTGCACCGAGTCGTGGGGATGGGAGAACCTAAAGGAAGGCATGAGAAACAGGCAAAAGCGAGACCTCATCCCGGTCTGACTCCAAGGGTATCCTCCTGAGACAAACCTAAAATGCTTTCCAGGGCAAGGAAAGAACAAGGCAGAGCCAGTCACTAGCTCAGCCCCTGATCAGATGCCAAGAATGATGGAGCTTGTCACAACTTTCCACAGTGGGTCCAGGTGAAATGATTCCCTGCCATGAAGTCTATTTGCCTGTTCACTCATTCTTTCCTTCGTTTGCTCAGCTTCATTGAGCTTCTGCCGTGGTCCCAGACCCGGTGCTGAGTGCCGAAGATTAGGAAAAAACAAATCACTCCCTGGCTGCAGGAGCTCCGCTCTGGTGGGTTGTCTCCTGTTATCACCCACGCCACTAGTATTTTTTGACTATGAAATCTACTTTGGTTGGGCAAAGATAGCCGTGGTCACCACTGTAGAAGCATCAAACAAAATTAGATTTGATCTGTTTTGTGCAGTGGGCTAACGTACGCTACGTGGGGGTAGACTTTTGGCTCAGCTGAAGAAATCTCTTTGATGAAGCTGGGGATGTTGCAATGGGAAACCCTGGGGGGATTCAGCAGGGCTTGGCTGGTGATATGTAGGCACCAGAATGGCTGGCACATGGCAACACACACATACATACACGCGTGGGCACGGCACACACACACCGTGCACGCAGGCCCCTCTTAAATACGTTATTATTGCATTTGGTATCATGCTTGTAGATAGAGTAGAGAGGATTGTAGGAAAGTGAGAGAAGCACCCTACTGTTAATTAAGAAATAAGAAAGAGCATGTCTTTTTCCTAAAACACAAAAACTGGACGGGGTATTCAGGAAGTAGAGTGCAACTCTGAGTTTCGACCTTAGCATGACGCAGGACCAATGACCGAGGCAGTTCCACTGGGCCCCACTGTCTACCTCAAATGAAGACCAACATTCTTTCAGTCATGTTGTGTGTGTTTTTTTACGTGGCCATGGCGTGTCTGTGGTAGGCCCGAAGACCACGGTGCTCAGGAAACAGAGCTAGGACAGGGTGCAGGGCTTGGAGGTGCAGGCAGGGCGTCACCTGCTTCTGCTTTGAGCCAGGAACCTCGGAAAAGAAAGCCCAGCAAGTCTACGTCTCACACGAGCAATCTCAGAATAGAGACTGTCCTCTCGGTTCTCAGGCGTGCTCTGCTCCCTCCGCTGCCTCTCTGTTTACACTGCACCCCTCGCTGTAAAGCCCTCGTCTCCCGGACTCCTGCTCCCCACAGCCATATGTCCAAGCCCTCCTGAGGCCTTAAGACTCAGCTCTGTGCCTTCTCCATGAAGTTGTCTTAGATTCCCTTTCCTCTGCCCCCCTTGTCACTTCTCTGTCCCTCTTTTATGACAAATGTCACATACTTGCCTTTATAGCAACTCTTTACCTTGCCTCTTGCCCACTGCAGTATTTGTAAATGGTGCTACCCAAATGGTAGCCCTTGGTCCGGCAGAACCTGCATCGCCCCGGAGCTTATGAGAGGCGTGAATTCATGGACCCATCCTGGAATCAGAATCAGGCCCCACTTCTGCATCAGAAGCCCTGGGTGGCACCAGCAAGTGTTTGGCAAGCCCTTGAGAAGCAGTGTCTTTGAGAACGTGACCTGTGCCCCAGGCACCAGCTTTACTCCCCGAGCCCAGCAGGACATCTGCATATAACACACAGCCGAAGTCAGAAAATATATTTTTGGTGACTAAATGGAGTACCTGGAGTACAAGATAACACACACACACACACACACACACACACACACACACACACACACACACGCCACCTTTGGGAGCTCAGCAGCCCCGAGAGGATTTGATAGCTTCACCGCTTCACCTGGTTTTACAAATGCGGAGACTGAGGTTTAGGGCAGTTAAGCTTCTTGCTTAGCATCATGTAGGTAAAGAATGGTGGAAAGATATTTGAACCCGACCTGGGCAATTCCACCTCTGAGGGCTGTCCTCAGAATGAATCTTCTGATGGGCTGGGCACGGTGGCTCACGCCTGTAATCCCAGAACTTTGAGAGGCCGAGGCGGGTAGATCACTTTAGGTCAGAAGTTCAAGATCAGCCTGGGCAACATGGTGAAACCTTGTCTCTACTAAAAATACAAAAATTGGCCGGGTGTGGTGGTGATGCGCACCTGTCATCCCAGCTACTCGGGAGGCTGAGGTGGGAGAATCACTTGAACTTGGGAGGCAGAGGTTGTGGTGAGCCGAGATCACGCCACTGCACTCCAGCCCGGGGACAGAGCAAGACACTGTCTCAAAAAAAAAAAAAGAATGACTCAGTCTTCTGGTCTCTGTGGTGATATATTGTCCCAACTCACCTTGCCAGACAGCCCTGGGAGAATGCAGGGCAGAATCCTCCCTGCTTGGAGTCAGGGAGGCAAGACCTGGCAGGCAGCACCCAGTGAAGCTCTGGAAGGTGCTCTGCCCACAAGGTGTCCCATTGGTGGTGCTGGAGGAGTGACAGGTGGCGGCTGCTTGGCTCTGGGCAAGTCCCTCCCTCCAGCCCCCTCACTTGTAAAAAATAAGAGGATTGGACGAAATGAACCAGCAAGTGGCACAGCCCCATTGGTTAGAAAAGGTGACTCCTCTCATCCTAGGCTCCAGGAGGGTGAGCAGGTGCACTCAATGAGCAAGGCTTCCCAGGACAGGGCACTCGAGGGACCTGGCGCAGCTCACCTATCTCCTTCAGTGCCCTCACCCCCAGAGAACCCACATGTATGGGACCGTAAGCTGTGCACAAGACTGGGTGCCAAGTCGCTGCTGTTCCTCTGCAGGCCATGGGAACTTCCCTTACCTCTGTGGGAACCTGAATGACGTCGTGGTCAGCCCCCTCTTGTACACGTGCTACCAGAATTCCCAGTCTGTCTCACGGGCATACGAGCAGTACGGCGCCTCTGCCATCCAGCCCATCTCCGAGGAGATGCAGCTCCTGCTTACCGTCTACTACCTGGTCCAGCTGGGTGAGTCACCTCCACCTCCTGGCCCAGTGGCAGGGAGTGGCCACAGCCCGAGCACAGACCTGGCCTCGGCCCTCGTGGGGGCTGACTTGGGCTGCTGGAATTGAAATACATGGGGAGAGCTTATGGCTTCACTGGCGGGACGTCATGAAGTCACTGTGGGCGTCCCCACACTGGGGGGCTGAAAGTAGGTTGAGGTTGATGGAGACATTTCCAGAACTCTTTATCTGCCATTCTAGGCACAGGGATACAGCAGGGAATTGAGCAAAGACCCTGTCCTTGAGGCGATTCTAGTCTTAGTGGGAGAGAGAAGCAATAAACCAGTGGAAAACAGGCAGGTAAAGATGGGTGCATGCATTAGTGTGTGTTTGTATGGGGTCAGTTTAGGTCATGAAGAAAGGCCTCTGTGAATAGGAGACCTGGACCCTGAGAAGGATTCAGCCTTGTGATGATCTGAGGAATGAGGACAGGTGGGGCCCTGGGGAGAGAGGGAGGCCAGGTGAGTGCTGTGAGGTGGAGGAGCAGTGAGTGTCCCAGTCGCTGGAGAGGCCAGCGTAGCTGTAGCAGAGAGAGGGTGTGAGTGAGAGGTGTGGTCAGAGGGGGCCGGCTCCGGTCAAGGGTGTGATTCTATGTAGACACATTGAGAAGCCATTGGAGTATTTTTAGACAGGGGATGGAGGTGATCTGATTTTCACTTTAAAAACGCCACCCTGGCGGCTATGTGGAGTCAGATGGGGCAGACGCAGTGGCGGAAATGGAGAAAGAGTCAGTTGTTGCCTATTAAAGGCACACAGTGGCTTGAGCCACTGAAGGTGGCAGCAGTGAGCTGGAGGGGCTATTCTGAAGGTAAGGCCGGCTGGAAATGCCTTTGAAGGGGGTGGGAGCAGATGGGGCCTGGGTTTCAGCCTGAGCAGCCAGGTGAATGGTGGCAATGAACCTGAGTTCTGTCTTGGCGTGAGTTTGTACAAGATGCCCACGAGACAGTCAAGTCGCCTGTGTTCATTTGCATGGACAGGCCTTGAGTCCCAGGAGAGGTGGAGGCTCTAGGTATACATTTAAGACACACTGGCTTACAGATGACTTATATTAAAGCCGTGAGACCAGCTGCGGGTGGCTACGAGGAGAGGAAAGTGCCAAGGTTTGGGCCTGGGGACCTCCAATCTTCAGAGATCCAGAGGAGGCGACTGAGATGGAATGGGTGGGAAGGAAGGAAAGGACAGTGGAGAATCTGGGAAACCCAGCATTGTCGCTCTTTCTCATAGTCCCCACCTGTCCATCAGTAAGCACGGCTTCATCCTGAATCCAGCCTCGCTCACCCTCTCTGTGGCTGCCGCCTCACCGGGGCACCATTCTTGCCCTGTTCCCCACATCCCTGAGAACTTGGACTCCGATTGCATCTCTTCCCTGCTCAGAGCCCTGCCGCGGCTTCCCATCAGTCGCTCACTCCACCCCTTCCCGGGGGCCCAGCCTGCCTCCTGGTCCCACCTGCTTGCTCTGTCCCAGCCCACTGTCCCCCTCAGCAATCTTGGTCCCACCTGGGCATCCCACACTTGCTGTTCCTTCCCTGTGGCATGCTCTTGCCAAAGACATTTGTGTGGCTTGCTCCCTTATGTCCTTCAGGTTTTGGGTCACTCATCATCTCCTCAGCAAGACCTTCTTGTTACTGTGTGTAAGACAGCTCCCACCCTCCGGGCCCCTATCCTATGCCCTTTATCTTTAGGCACCAGGAATTAGGGTCTGTGATTGTTCCCTTTAAGTGTGTCTCCCCCAGCTAGGGTGTAAGCTCCATGAGGCCAGGCATGGTGAGTGAGTCCTTTTCCCGATGTCCCATAGCATCTGAAGCTGAAGTCAACAGTCTGCCAACCTATATTGAGGGAATAGTTGAGGAATGGGTGAATGTTGATAAGAAGCAGTGAAAAAAAGCATTCCCAAGGAGAGGGGCTGATCCCAAGGAGAGGGGCTGATCAACTGTGCCAGTGTGGCCGGGAGTTGAGTGGAGGGAAGACTGGACCCTGACCATTGGGTTTGGCCATGGGAAGCGGCTGGCAACCTTGATGATGATGTATGTGAAGATTGGAGATAAAAGTCATATTGGAGTGGGTTAGAGAGATTGGAGGTGAAGAGACAGTATGGCCCGTGCAGACAGCTCTGGGTAGGGGTTAGTTCTGGAAGGAGATGTGGACTCAAAGGAAAGTTT
Source organism: Homo sapiens (assembly GCF_000001405.40). Taxonomy (NCBI): domain Eukaryota; kingdom Metazoa; phylum Chordata; class Mammalia; order Primates; family Hominidae; genus Homo; species Homo sapiens. The sequence continues at coordinate 11,591,126 of NC_000002.12, forward strand.
TTAAAGATGAGAGAGATAACGGCTAATCTAATTAAATTCTAATTTGATTAGCTAATTCAAGTAGTGAATTCTGATTAAATGCATCCAATCAAAGAGGGAGATATAAGCTAATTTAATCAAATTCTGGCACGGCCCACAGAGCAGGTGTCATGAACCCCGTGTTATGCATCAGGAAACCATGGGAGATAGCTCAGGGCCGCACAGCTGGTGCTGGGTAGAGCTGGGCTGGAACCCACCTTCTAAATGGAAGCCTGACGCACTTTCTTCCAGCACATCAAATACGAAATCCGGACGTATAAACCAGACAATTCATAAAAGAGAAAATACCAGAAGGAAACAAATATTGAAAAGTATTCAGTCTCACTCATCATCAAAGACATGCAAATCACAAATCAAGTCATCTTTTTCTGAATTAATAACCCAAATGATGGTACCCAGTGGTGCTTAGGTGCGGTAAAACCAGCGCTTGTCCGATGCACCGTTCGCGTGGTAAACTGACGCATTCAGGCTCTTGGGAAGCAATCTGATGATATGTAGTAGCTGGTTCTGTAAATCCACCTTTGAGAATTTAGGCGAAGGAAGTAACGTTCTATATGTCAAGATGTGCATTGCAGAGGGATTTATAAAGGTGAATATTTGGAAGAAATAAGAGAATCCACAATAGAGACCTTGCTAAGTAAACGGTGGTGCTCACGTATGATGGGACATTATGGACACACTAACAGCACTCTTTATGTTGGCTGAAAATGGCACTGAAACTGATGATAGGGTCATGGTTAAGGAAAGAATGCAAGACCCAAAGTTTATACTGACAATCATTGCAGCTATTTGTAAGGACAGTTTTAATACTAATTCCAGCAATACATGTTTTTATTCCCTGTCCTGGAGTAGGAGAAAGCCTATATTCCCAGGCTGAATGTTCTACACATTTACCACTGTATATGCACATAGGGACAGTGTAACCTGTCTATACCACCGTAGTTCCAGTCCTAACTTTCTGAATTCTGTTTAAAGACCTTCTCTAACAAGCTATGGGAATTTGGCTTCCTACTTTTTTTTTTCTTTTTTTTTTTTTTTTAACAACAGCAGTGTTTTGGGTGATAATTCTGGATTGATACTTATTCCTTTTTCTGGGTTTTGTTGGCTTTTTGAAAAATTGTCTTTCCAACTTATAATTGGTGAGTGGCTTGGTAGCAAAGTAAGATTTTTTTTTTTTTTTTTAAAAAGAGGACAGAAAAATTGAACTGCAGCTTGAGGACATATTCTTTTTTCCTACTTTGTCATTGAAAATTGAGGAATCACGTTTAACTGTTTTAGGTGTGTGTGGCCAAAGAGTGAGCAAGGACTATGTTTCTGGATTGTCAAAGAGGATGCTTAATCTTAAAAATAAAGATAAATGTACAAATCATCTTATAATTAAAAAAAAACTTTCATATGGAAAAAAAGACTGAGAAATACACGTAAATAGCGTGGCTCTGTTAGGACGGTGGTGAGATTGTGGCGGATTTTATGCCCTCCCCTCGTGCTCCAGCCATCTGTGATACGATTTCACAGTAATAACTTAGGTGGGTACTTTCACATCACTGCACCCGTGCGTCCCCGGATGCCGCTGGCATTTGTGGCAGGCCCTCCGCCCGCATTGTGTTGCAGCCGCGGACCAGGTGCCCTTGATGGAGGACCTGGAGCAGATCTTCCTGCGCTCTTGGCGCGAGTCGCACCTGACCGAGATCCGGCAGTACCAGCAGGCGCCGCCGCAGCCCTTCCCGCCCGCGCCCAGCGCCGCGGCACCCGTGACCTCCGCGCAGCTGCCCTGGCTGGCCAGCCTGGCCGCCAGCTCCTGCAACGACAGCGTGCACGTCATCGAGTGTGCTTACTCCCTGGCCGAGGGCCTCTCCGAGATGTTCCGGCTGTTGGTCGAGGGCAAGCTTGCCAAGACCAACTACGTGGTCATCATCTGCGCCTGCCGCAGCGCGGCCATCGACTCCTGCATCGCCGTCACCGGTGAGCTCTGGGCCGCGCGGCTGCGGGAAAGCCCCCTGAACGGTGTTCCCGGTCCCCTCCTTTGGTGGTTCTCTCCCTTTCTGTCTAGGGTGGCCCGGGTTTGCAGCAGCAGTTAGCACCTGCGGTTTGTGCTCAGTAGCTGGCTTCAGAAGGCAGCCTTGACTAGTGACTTAGTTACAATCTCATCCCTGCTCTGAGTGGCTGGTGAGGTTAGCCCTGGGGTCAGCTTGGGAATGTGGAAAGACCCTGTTGAAAACCTGGCTCCACCACGTGGGTGGTCACTCACACCAGGATGGCCCTGTTTCTTCACTGATCTATTGGAGATAAGAAACAATGCCCTTGTTGTGTTGTCTGTGTTCAGGAGCCAATTAATTTTTTGAGACAAGGTCTCACTCTGTTGCCCAGGCTGGAGTGCAGTGGCCTGATCTTGGCTCATTATAACCTCTACCTCCTAGGTTCAAGAGATTCTCCCACCTCAGCCTCCCAAGTAGCTGGGACACGCCCAGCTAATTTGTATTTTTTGATAGAGATGGGGTTTCACCATGTCACCCAGGCTGGTCTCAAACTCCTGAGCTCAAGTGATCCACCTGCCTAGGCCTCCCAAAGTGCTGGGATTACAGGAGTGAGCCACCGTGCCCGGCCAATTGATTTAATTTTAAAAACACCCATTGAGGCCCCACATGTACAGCCACTGTTCTAGAGGCTGGGGGCCCACAGGGAGCAGAGCAGTCTCTACTTGCCTGGAGTGTTCTTTTAGGTGGGGGAGGCAGACACCAAACACGTGAGCTTTCCTGGCCTGCTTAAATCTTCACAAGTGTTGTGCATTTTCAGCCAGAATTTTTTGTACCTTGTAAAATTTACTTTAAAAGTGCAGAATTTAATGCACTTTTTTTTTGAGACAGGGTCTTGCTTTGTCACCTCGGCTGAAGTGCAGTGGCGAGATCTTGGCTCATTGCAGTATCGAGCTCCCGGGCTCAAGTGATTCTGTTGCCTCAGCCTCCATCCGGAGTAGCTGGAACTACTACAGGTGTGCACCACCACACCCAGCTCAGTTTTGTACTTTGGTAGAGACAGGGTTTTGCAATGTTGCCCAGGCTGGTCTCAAACTCTTGGGCTCAAGCAGTCCACCCGCCTCAGTCTCCCAAAGTGCTGGGATTACAGGCATGAGCCACTGTGCCTGGCATTTAATGTACTTTTTAAGTATAGTGTCTGAATTGTCTTTTAGCATTTTTTTTCTTTTTTTTTTGAGATGGAGTCTTGCTCTGTTGCCCAGGCTGGAATGCAGTGGTGCAGTCTCAGCTCACTGCAACCTCCGTCTCCCAAGTTCAAGCAATTCTTTTGCCTCAGACTCCTGAGTAGCTGGGACTACAGGCGTGCACCACCATGCCCAGGTAATTTTTGTATTTTTAGTAGAGATGGGGTTTCACCATGTTGGCCAGGCTGGTCTCAAACTCCTGACCTCAGATGATCCACCTACCTCAGCCTCCCACAGTGCTGAGATTACAGGCAAGAGCCACCGTGCCCGACCAGCGTTCTTTAATCTTAAACCCATTCTGTGTTTTTTGTTGTTGTTTGTTTGTTTTTGAGACAGAGTCTCGCTCTGTCGCCCAGGCTGGAGTGTAGTGACACTTTGTAGGCTCACTGCAAGCTCCGCCTCCTGGGTTCACACCATTCTCCTGCCTCAGCCTCCTGAGTGGCTGGGACTACAAGGCACCCGCCACCACACCCGGCTAATTTTTTTGTATTTTTAGTAGAGACGGGGTTTCACCGTGTTAGCCAGGATGGTCTCGATCTCCTGACCTTGTGATCTGCCTGCCTCGGCCTCCCAAAGTGCTGGGATGGCAGGTGTGAGCCACTGTGCCTGGCCTTTTTTTTTTTTTTTAAATAAATTATTTACCTTGATGTGAGTGGGACTTGCAGTAGTAGACCCTGAGCCTCTGCCATGTGTCAGGCACCATTGTCTTGTGTCACCTGACAGCAGGCCTGGGAGGTAGATCCAGCTGTTAGCCACAGATTCCAGATGGGAAATGTCAAGTCTAGAAGGGTTAAGGGACTAGTCTAGGGCTACACAGCCCGTAAGCAGGGAAGATACAATGGGTACTGTGAAATCTGTTTGCTTTCCAGGAAAATACCAAGCCCGGATTCTTTCCGAGAGCCTTCTCACTCCTGCGGAGTACCAGAAGGAAGTCAATTACGAGCTGGTTACGGGGAAGGTAGACTCGCTGGGGGCCTTCTTTAGCACCCTCTGTCCAGGTAGGCTTGTCGTGAGACAGGTGCACATGCGTATGTTAATAGGACAGTAATCAGTGCCGGGGGAGGTCATCTCTGCCTCACCCTGCCTGTGACCTGCTAAGGCTGGCCTCCACTGCAGAGTGCCCCTCATTCTGTGCACTTGCACTTCTGTCCCTTTCTTTTCTTGAGTGACAGCTGCGGGTTCTGGCTGGCCATCTCTTCCTGCTTGAGCTGTAGAGTTCTCCTGAGAGGTGGAGGGCACCTTGTGGGTTCTTCTTCATGGGGTACACAAGGCCCTTGTGCCTGTTCCTCTCCACCTTTCCAGCCTTGGTGGCCTCTCTTCCCTGTCTCCCCTTTTTGCTGGAGAGTTCCGCATCCCTCGTGCTCTGGGCTGTGAGCATCCTTCTCCCTTGTTGGCCTAGCTACCCACCCCTCAAGACTCATCTCATGTCCCCCTAGAAAGCTTCTCAGACCCTTCGTTTTCCAGATGGGCTTGGGACCTTCCCCTTCATCCTTTACCATGTTGTTCTTCCTTCTGCCCTAGCACCTGCTATGTCTGTGTGGGGGGAGCTCACTCTGGCAGTGTGTCTTCATCCTGACTAGGCTGAGACCCCTTGACAGGACGGGCCATGTCCTCCTCTTTACCTTCATGACTCCAGGCCTCGGGACAGTACCTGACACTAACTGCGCTGTAGATGTTTGCTGAATTTCACTGACATCAAAAACCCATTTGTTTATTCTGTCTTGGGCAGAGGGTGACATTGACATTTTGCTGGACAAATTTCACCAGGAAAATCAAGGCCATATTTCTTCCTCACTCGCTGCCTCTTCTGTCACTAAAGCAGCATCCCTGGATGTCAGTGGGACACCGGTGTGCACAAGTGAGTGGTGAAAAGGAATCTCCCAGGGTGGAGAGGGTACAAAGTAGTGATGAGGGGCAGGGTCAGTGGGCGCAGGTGTGCACAGTGAGAGGGGCCATGGCGCAAGTGTGCACAGTGAGGGGGCAGGGGCACAGATGTGTATAGTGAGGGGGGACGGGGCACAGGTGTGTACAGTGAGAGGTGGCAGGGACGCAGGTGTGCACAGTGAGGGGGGTGGGGGCACAGGTATGCACAGTGAGGGGGTGGGGCACAGGTGTGCACAGTGAGGGGGTGGGGGCACAGGTGTGCACAGTGAGGGGGTGGGGGCACAGGTGTGCACAGTGAGAAGGGGTGGGGGCACCAGTGTGTACAGTGACGGGGGTGGGGCACTGGTGTGTACAGTAAGAGGGGGCGGGGCTGCAGGTGTATACAGTGAGAGTAGGTGGGGGCACAGGTGTGTACAGTGAGGGGGTGGGGCACAGGTGTGTACAGTGAGAGAGGGTAGGGCACTGGTTTGTACAGTGAGAGGGGGTGGGGGCGCAGGTGTACACAGTGAGGGGGGTGGGGCACTGGTGTGTAAAGTGACAGGGGGCAGGATTGCAGGTGTGTACAGTGAAAGGGGGCAGGGTCACTGGTGTGTACAGTGAGAGGGGTGGGGGCACCGGTGTGTACAGTGAGAGTGGTGGGGGCACCAGTGTGTACAGTGAGAGGGGGCGGGGGCGCAGGTGTGCACCGTGAGAGTGGGCAGGGGCACAGATATGCTCAGTGACATGGGGCAGTGGGCATAGCTGTGTGCAGTGAGAGGCGCCAATGGGCACAGGTGTGCACCGTGAGAGAGGGCAGTGGGCACAGGTGTGCTAAGTGGGTGCTGAGGGGACAGAGGGCTCATGTGTGCTCGGTGGGCGATGAGAGGGCACTGGCGAGGGCCTCGGTCTGGCCTGGGAGGCAGCATCCAAGGACTCAGATTGGAGGTAGCAATGTCAGAGGCACATCCACAAGACAGGACATCTTTTAGTGTCACAGTAGACCTGATACCTAATTTAAAATTCAGTCTTTAATTATGACAATCTCATTTAATCTTGAATTGCACATCCATCACTGTCTCTGAGGTGATAGATTTTTCTATGCCAATTTCCTGCCTCTGAGTCTGTTGCTGATGTTTTTTATTCATACAGAGTTCCTAAATGACTGTCGTGTTAGTTTTCTTTTCTGGAGAGTTTGCAGTCCTCTTCCAGAGTCCAGTCTCAGCATCACCTCCCCTGGGATAGGCTCCTTGTCCCCTCTAAGCAGAAGAGACCACTGCCTCCACTGTGCTCCCCAAGTGCTTGGTTCTTATTTTTATTATTAAGTGAAAGATGGTGCATAAAATGATTGCTACCCCCACACCCGCCACTGCTTAGCTGAGAGCAGGGACTTGATAAACGTGAGTTATTCCCCTTTCCCTCATCGCTTTGTGAATGGGGCCGTCTCCCCTGGACAGGTCTCACTGATTCTCTGGCCAAGGGCCTGGCAGTAGCCGTGTGCCCTGGAGCTCACCTGGCATCCTGGGGCTCTGGTTCCAGGTTACAATCTGGAGCCACACAGCATCCGGCCCTTCCAGCTGGCAGTAGCGCAGAAGCTCCTCTCCCATGTGTGTTCCATTGCGGATTCCAGCACCCAAAATCTGGACCTGGGATCCTTTGAGAAGGTGGACTTTCTCATTTGCATTCCCCCCTCAGAAGTGACCTACCAGCAGACTCTGCTCCATGTGTGGCATTCAGGTATGGGGCATTTTGGGGAGAAGTCACGTGTGGAGAAGCTTTGATCTGCCGAAATCCATGTGTGGGTGTTGACACTGTTCTTTGCTATAGAGTGAATAGGGCAAGTATTGCTGCTCTTGTTTTATAGATTGTGAAACTGATGTTCAGAGACAGTGACTTGCCCAAGATTTTAGGATCTGTTGAAGGTAGAGCCAAAACTTGAACTTTCACCATGTCCCACTCAGGCTAGTGACCTAACCACATGTTGCTATCTAGCGTCACTGATATCCTTGTACTTTCAAGGATATCATATTTAACCACAGAGTACACAGATGTCCGGTGTCTTCACTGAAAGGACTCACTCTTTAGTGGTGTCATGTATCGCCCTGTGGCATTCAGACTGAGAGAGGGATTTTGCTGCTGGCAGGACCTTTCGGTTCCCTCTGTCTTACCATGCTTGGGATCAGCTGCTTCATGAAGCTGGTGCCCCTCGGGAGGGCTGCTGTACACACAGCCAAGGCTTGCCTGCGCCCCAGCTCCTGTGCAGGACAGTTATGCAGCTGTAACCTGTGTGGGAGTTTTTTCCCTTCCTTTCCCTGCTCTTGCATCTCTGAGTCTAGCTCAGGACCTGCTGTGTAGGAGTCGCTCCTCAGGTGTCTGTTGAGTGAATGAAACCCAGTGCGCATGTTTGCAGTTACTGATGTATGTTCTTTGTGTTGCAGGGGTTTTGCTGGAGCTTGGTCTGAAGAAAGAGCACATGACGAAGCAGAGGGTGGAACAGTATGTTCTGAAGCTAGACACGGAGGCACAGACAAAATTTAAGGCTTTTCTGCAAAACTCCTTCCAGAACCCGCATACACTTTTTGTCCTAATCCATGACCATGCGCACTGGGATCTTGTGAGGTTAGATTGACTTGATATATGACAAGTTGACATTTTCCTTCTTTGAAGTGATGTATGTGGATGTTCCCGGGGGCTGAGGGTACAAATCCTGAAAAGATGGATGATGTTTGGGCTTGGTGTTTCTAAGCAGATGCCATGGAGGTTTCCCACAATCTTGAGCTGGAAGTTATCTCAGGGATTATCCAGTGTGACCTCTGAAATTTACCATGGTGGAATTTAAGGGCTGGAGAAGGGAAGCGTGTCTCCCAGAGTCACAGGGTGGGGTGGAGTGGGAGGGTGTTAGTGGCAGAGCTGAGACCCCGAATCACAGCCTGATGCCTGATGTGTTTCTTTCATAGTCCACTCAGCAACAAGGAGCCATGCTGGTGTGGGGTGCGGAGGGTCCTAGCAGGAGTAGCTCAGCTTAGCCCTTCCCTGAAAGAGGCTCCGTGGGGGCTCTGGTACCGTGGGTCACCACTGATGCCTGCCCTTCTTTTTTTTTTTTTTTTCCTTTTTTTGAGACGGAGTCTCACTCTGTCGCCCAGGCTGGAGTGCAGTGGTGCGATCTCGGCTCACTGCAGGCTCAGCCTCCTGGGTTCATGCCATTCTCCCACTTCACCCTCCTGAATAGCTGGGACTACAGGCACCTGTCTCCACGCCCAGCTAATTTCGTTTTTGTATTTTTTTTTTTTTTTTTTGAGACAGAGTCTCTCTCTGTCGCCCAGGCTTGGAGTGCAGTGGCACGATCTCCGCTCACTGCAAACTCTGCCTCCCGGGTTCACACCATTCTCCTGCCTCAGCCTCCTGAGTAGCTGGGACTACAGGCGCCTGCCACCACACCTGGCTAATTTTTTGTATTTTTAGTAGAGACAGGGTTTCACCGTGTTAGCCAGGATGGTCTCGATCTCCTGACCTCGTGATCCGCCCGCCTCGGCCTCCCAAAGTGCTGGGATTACAGGCGTGAGCCACCGCACCCGGCTGATGCCTGCCCTTCTTAAGGGGTGATTTGACTCACTCAGTTAAAATGAACATAAACCCAGATGAATTTCAGATGGGCCAAGCCAAGCGCCTGGCAGGATTTCTGGTGGTTTACCGGGATTGGTCATCTCCGTGAGACTGGCCTAGGGGTTGTACCTTCAGACATTTCCACTGATGTAGATGAGGAAGGAGGGGGCTCCTGGGCCAGGTCGTGGAGAAAGCCTTTGATTGTCGCAGATCCACAGATAGCTAGTTAGGCTGGTCAGGACATGAAGGACCTCGTAAAGGGTTTACAATCCAGAATCCATGTGTGGGCTTGGGGGAAATCGGAACATTCCGAAATTATAGAAAGAGCTGTATTGTGAATATTCATTTTGGGAATAGGTTTCTCAGAGTGGCCTCCTGCCATCCAAAGGGTTAAGCACTGATTTTTTTTTTTAATCCCCTAAACTTACAGGAGAGAATGCAAAGGCCTTTGTCCCACGGAAAAGTGCAGAGCTGGGCCTGTCTCCTAGACCCCTTGTCCAAAATGCTTCCCAATCCTTTCCTGCTGCCTTTTAAACTGACTATAGAATTTACTCTTTTACATCTTTTCTGGATCATTTCAAGGTCAGAAGGACTGTGTAAGGAGATAAGTACACAATCAGATGGGGCCAAAGAGGAACAAATGATTCATGGAACATCCCCAGGGTCATATCACTGTCCGATTGGGATAGAAGGAGTGTGTGTCTTGTAAGAAATCCTCTCTGACTACCGTCCCACGCCAGACACATTTTTCCTAAGTAACGAATCTCAGGAGAGCCCCTGACAGCTACCTGAAGTCCAGCCTTTTTTATTTTCTCTATTCTTAGTCAGGGGCAGAGCCATAATCTTTAGTCGTTGGTAAAGTCAGGGGTTAGTTATAAATTTATTCAACTGCTTCACCTTGCAAAATTAGAAAACAATATAGTAATTCCACTGATTGTGTCTTCTCCTCCCTCAGTAGCACTGTTCATAACCTCTATTCTCAAAGTGACCCGTCGGTGGGATTGGTGGACCGATTGCTCAACTGCAGGGAGGTGAAGGAGGCCCCCAACATTGTGACACTTCACGTGACCTCCTTCCCGTATGCACTGCAGACACAGCACACCCTCATCAGCCCCTACAACGAGATCCACTGGCCTGCCTCCTGCAGTAATGTGAGTGCCACGGGGCTGCTGGGCCCTTGTGTAGCAATATCACTTGGGTTTGCAGAAATTACATTTAGTAACAGCCTTGACCAGTGTGGTTGAGGATAATGGGTTCCAGCTCCTTGGATCTTTGGTTCAACCCAGAGTTAGGTTGTAAACCCTTCTTGGTCTTTTTGGTAACCTTCCTGCAGTACGCCAGTTGGCTTCCTCATCTCGGAAGATGTAATGCAGTTTGTGGGACATTTTCTCTGGTGACTGCCGCTTTCTGAGCAGCATGTGGAATGTTTGTTCTATGGCATTGAATGGAGATATTGAAGGTAGAGCCCTTAGGCGCTGGGGGCTTTGGGCTCCATACAGAGCAACGCTTAATGTCTCCAGAAGCCCTAGGAAGGTTCCTGTTTTCCCTATCCCTGCATCCTTAAGTAGTGAGATTCAGAATCTCCTTCCTCAAACTGAACACATATCCTCAAAACTTGATGAGTTTTTAGCTTATCACCTGACATTTTCTCATCAAAATAGAAGACTAAAACAATCCTGGTAATTTGAGAATTCTGGGTGGTTTGTAGTTAGTTACACAAGAATAAGTAAACGTAAGAGATGAGACTTTTTTGGAGTGCCTCGCAATCCTCTGAGAAACTTTAAAAAATACCTGGCTTCCGTCCTGTGGACTGAGAATCCATGGTGGGGATAGCCATTGTTCATAAGGCACTTCCCATAGGCCAGGGAAGCCCTGCCCAAAGTGCTTCGTGCTGTGAGCTCATGCAAGAGGCAGGTGCTAGGATGAGTTCTCATCTACAAATGGGGAACATGAGACAAAGTGGCCAACAAGAGTTGGGCCACTTGGCTCAGGCCAGGCAGCTAGAAAGTCGTGGAGCTAGGATATGACCCAGGCCACTGGCTCCATGGCTCGGCCCTTAACCACTGTGCTATTTAGGAGTAGAGTTTTCATGCCTTAATATTTTCAACAAACTCCCCCAACTTTGGAATTTTATGTCTGTGTGAGTAAAATTGGCTAGGTAAATGTTTTCTTTGTCTATTGATTTTTAGTAGCAACTGAATGCAAAATAATTGATTTGCCCATTCCTAAAACCAGCTTAAGATTGTAGAAAGAAGCAAATTTAACAAAGAAATGTATATGTTAAAATAAGATAAGGCTGATTTTCTTCTTGGTAAAAACATTGGGACCAAATGAATGGAAAACTCCTGAGCAATGGGGACACACCATTTTTAAAGTATGGGAGGTACTTTGCTCTGCTTCTGCAGATGGAAGAAGTTTATAAAATGCCATCCAAGCCACTGCACAGTGGGCACGATTTGGATGAAGTTGCCAACCCAGGTCATCCGCAGGCCTGGCACACGAACCTCTGACCGTCCCTGCGAATGCAGTGTTGGAGTGACCGACGCTCTTCTTTGTTTTAGGGAGTGGACTTATATCATGAAAATAAGAAGTACTTCGGGCTGTCGGAGTTTATTGAATCCACCCTTTCAGGACACAGCCTCCCCTTGCTCAGATACGATAGCTCCTTTGAGGCCATGGTCACTGCATTAGGAAAAAGGTACTTGTTTCTCTTCTAAGTTACTAGAAGTGCTCAGTAGCTTAAAGGGCAAGTTGAGGTGCGTTTAGCCAGCCAGGGAATTCCAGGAAGGGAGGCCTTTCCTTCCTGAGCAACTCAGTTTCTCCACTAAATGTACCCTGGTTTTTTCCTTCTCCTCTATTTGAATCCCTTTGGGTCAGCGATATCTTTGTCATCCTGTTGCTCTAGAAAATTTTAGAGATGACAATGAGCGGAAATATGCTGGAATGTGGAATTATGTTTTTGAGCCAATGGAGGGTAGGAAAATGGGAGGAAGATAACAAAGCTTTAAAAGAAACTGGAGTGATGATCATAGTCAGCTTTGTTTTTATTTCCGATGCATATCATGTATTGAATGTTTATTTTGTGCCGTTCACTCTTCCATGGACTTTACTTTCATTATCTGATTTGATCCTCACTGCCTCTCTGAGCCACTTGCTACTGTTATTCATACTTTGCAAATGAAGAGGCTGAGGCTTGGAGAGGCCCCATAGCTTTCTCAGGCTACGTGTCTAGCAAGTGACAGAACTGGGTGAGAACCCAGAGTCAATCTGACTGCACAGCCAGCCCCTTTAACCCTGTCGCAACAGACCTCATTTTATAGATGAAATTGAGGCTCAGACAGGCTAAGTGATTGCCAGGGACCACATGGTTTATTCGTGGTAAAGCCAGGCCAAGTTTTATAGACGATCTAATGCAAAGCAAAATGCCACTGAACAAAATACCACTGATTGTCAGCATGAGCTGGTTTCTACCCGCTTTTCTTACTGAACCTCATTCTTCTCATTTGCAGACCAAGGGATGAAGTTAGACATATCCTTCTCAAGCTATGTTCCAAGGTATACTGCTTTGGCTGGATACTAATAGCTATTAAGCATAAAGGGGTTCCATGGTCAAACGTGTCTGAGAAACATTTAAGGAAAGGACTTCTTTTCCATGAGAGTTCTTGGAGCCTTCAGCACATCCATGCATGCTGTAATTCTCCAGAAGGCTAGAGATGTGTCCAGTAGCTCGTGGGACTAGAATTTCCCAGAACACTCTTGCAGAAACTAAATCTCTTAGATACTGTTCGGTTCTGTGATACTGATAGAAATTAATCAGGTCAGTTCTCCAGCACATGGATCGACAGCTGAGCTCTCATCAACTGGCTGCATGAAGTAGCCCTCCAAGATTTCACATTGAGGCAAGAAAACCGGCCTTTGCCCTTCCTCTGCTTCTCCTCAGACAGTGAGCACACATGATGTGTTTAGTATGTTGTAGACACTGGGCTCAGCACTCTATATTTATTACCTAAAATAATCCTCACAGTGACACAGTGAGATAGGAAATACTGTTATCTCCCTTTTTCAGATGAAGAAACTGAGACTTAGAGAAGTTAGGCTACTTGTCCAGAGTCACATGGGGGGTTTATAGTGAAACTGGACCCCAACCCTGCTTGCTTGGCTCCAAAACCACGTAGCCACCAAGCCACATTGACCAAAGTCTCACAGCTAGTAAAGGGTGGGCTGTGACCACCATGCCAATACATCTTGGTTTACCCTCTATCAGTTTTAACCTTGGCAAATCATCTAACCTGTCTAAACTTCTGTACCCTGACCTGTAGAAATCCACCTTGCTGGTGGCTTCTTAGAGTTTCATGAGCTAATGTACGTGTGCACATTCAGTAACAGTTGCATGCTGAGAGCTCAGGCTCCAAAATCATCCTTCCTGGGTTTGAATCCTGAATCTGCCGTTAACCAGCTGTGAGACTTTGAGAAAGTTTCTCGATTTTCTTTGGGGATGATAACACCTACATCATAGAGGTACTATAAGGATTAAATGGATTCATACACCTAAAGCTTTGGAAACAGGGCCTGGCACACATTACATGCTTCTGTTGGCTGCTAGCACCACCACCTCCACCACTATTCACCATCATCATCCTCTCTTCTCTCTCCCCCTCTGCTAAACTAGAAGTGTTGCAGAGATTAAATCTTATGTCTCACTGGGTGAAAAGAGAATTTCAAACCCTGGATTGTTGAAGTATGGAGAATCATAGGAACTTCTAGGAATTATTTGGCCCAACCACCTCATTTTATAATTGTGGGAACTGAAGCCGAGTGGGAGAGTGATTTGCCCGACTTCATGCAGCCTGTTGGTGGCAACATGGACTGCAGACAGGTTTGACATCTTTCCACCATACCGCACTGCCTTTACTAGGAATCATTTGTCTGGAGAACTCTCTTGAAACTGGTAATTTGAACAGAAGGAGATAAAGGTTAGAACATGGGGTTACTGCTTCTTGCCACCATGTGTGTGGTCCGACTGTTAGTCCTCTATGTGCCATAAACGCCAGCATACGGCTGGGAAAACTGCTTGTAGGACTGTCAGTTGGACACAAACCTACTGTGACTTAAAAACAAAAGATCTAGACCTTTGACAACTCCTATTTTTATTCTAATATATTGTCTATGGAACTTTTTTCCTTTAGTACCTACCACAGAGGCTTAAGGGTGGGCATAGTTCTCTGCTGAGCCACAGCTAGGGTACATTTCTGTGCCTGACCTGGGGGTACTGTCTGGAGCTGGGCACCAGAGCCTGCTTCTTTTTTTTTTTTTTTTTTTTTTTTTTTTTTTTACGCAGCAGCTTTAATGGGGAATAACTGACAGCCAGTAGACCGTATATCTTTTTTTTTCTTTTTTTTGAGACAGAGTCTCACTCTGTCGCCCAGGCTGAAGTGCAACGGCGCGATCTCAGCTCACTGCAACCTCTGCCTCCCAGGTTCAAGCAATTCTCCTACCTCAGTCTCCCAAGTAGCTGGAATTACAGGCGCTTGCCACCACGGCCAGCTGATTTTTGTAGTTTTAGTAGAGACGGGGTTTCACCACGTTGGTCAGGCTGGTCTCAAACTCCTGACTTCATGATCTGCCCACCTCAGCTTCCCAAAGTGTTGGGATTACAGGCGTGAGCCACCGTGCCCGGCTGTGCATATTTAAAGTATTCAATTTACATTTTGATCCACGTATAGACTGGTCACCAAAAGGTAATGAAAAACAGTTTTCTCCTGGCCCTTTGTAATTCCTTCCTCCTGTCCTTTTCCCACAGTAGAAATGTAGTTTGCATTTTCTAGAGTTTTATATAAATGGAATTGTACAATAGGTACTCTGTTTTTGGCCTGGCATCTTTCACTCTGTATAATTATATTGAAATTCATCCATGTTGTTTTATGTATCAATAGTTTGTTCCTTTTTACTGCTGGTATTCTAGAATAGAATACTATCGTATGGCCATACTAGTTTGTTTATTTACTGGTTAAGAGGCAGTTAGGTTGTTTTTCGGTTTTGGCTATTACAGATAAAGGTGCTATGAACATTCATGTACAAAGCTTTGTATAGACATATACTTTCCCTTTTCATGGGTAAACACCTAGTTGTGAAATGGCTGGGTTATTTGATAGGTGTATGTTTAACTTTTTCACAAGCTGCCAAATTGTTTTCCAAAGCGTAGCTGTCCCTTGGTATACACGGGGGGTTAACTCCAGAACTGTCCCCGCCATACCAAAATCCATGCATACTCCAGTCCCATGGTCAGCCCTCTGGAACCCACATGTAAGCAAAAGTCAACTTTCCATGTACATGGGTTTCACGTCTAGAAAATACTGTATTTTTGATTTGCATTTGGTTAAAAATCCACATACAAGTGGACCCTTGAAGTTCAAACCTGTGTTATTCAAGGGTCAGCTGTCGTTCATTTTACATTCCCATCAGAATTTCAGTGGCTCCACATCTTTGTCAGCACTTGGTATGGTCAGTATTTTAAATTTTATTCATTCTAATAGGTATGAGGTGGTAGCTCGTAATTTTAATTTTAATTTCTCCAATGACTGATGATGTTGAACATCTTTTCCTATGTTTATCTGCCATTTGTGTATCATCTTTGGTGAAGTGTCTCTTGATAAGTTGACTCCTTTATTATTTTCAAACGACCCAAAGAATATTATTTATAGCTCTATAATCGCTTCTGATATTAATACAGTTATTCTAGTTTTCTTTTGACTAGTGTTACTATAGATTATAATTTTTTATCCTTTTACTTTGAGCATGTTTCTCTTTTTGTGTTTAAACTTCGTTTCTTGTAGGCAGCTTATAGTTGAGTCTTGCTTTTTAATCAAATGTGACAATCTCTGCCTTTTAATTGATTGCTATTTGATTTTAGTTTCATTATTATTATTATTATTATTATTATTATTATTATTATTATTTGAGACGGAGTCTCACTCTGTTGCCAGGCTGGAGTGCAGAGGCATGATCTTGGCTCACTGAAACCTCTGCCTCCCGGGTTCAAGTGATTCTCCTGCCTCAGCCTCCTGAGTAGCTGGGATTACAGGCACGCACCACCACGCCCAGCTAATTTTTGTATTTTTAGTAGAGACAGGGTTTCACCATGTTAGCCAGGATGGTCTCGATCTCCTGACCTCATGATCTGCTTGCCATGGCCTCCCAAAGTGCTGGAATTACAGGCGTGAGCCACCATGCCTTGCCTATTATTATTATTTTTTAGAGAAAAAATATTTTAGGGCCGTTGCCCAGGCTGAAGTGCAGTGGCATGATCATAGTTCGTTGTAACCTCAAACTCCTGGGCTCAAGCCATCCCCCCATCTCAGCTTCCCAAACAGCTGGGACTACAGGTGCATGCCACCATGCCTGGCCAATTTTTAAAAATTTTTCTTGCTATATTGCCAAGGTCTTGAACCCCTTGCCTCAAGTGATTCTCCTGCCTTGGCCTCCCAAAGTGCTGGAACATTTTAGTTTCTATTGCTGTGTTTTCAAGTTTATTAATCTTATTTTCTATGTTATCTAATCTGCTGCCAATTTCATCCAGTATATGTATGTGTGTGTGTGTGTGTGTGTGTGTGTGTGTGTATATATATATACACACACATACATATATATACACATATATATACATATATGTACATACATATATATACACATATATATACATATATGTACATACATATATATACGCATATATACACATATATACATATATACATATATATACATATATACACATATATGCATATATATACATATATATATATTTATCTTAGAAAAGCACAGTTTTATGACAAGATTCCTAAGAGAAAAAAGACAATTTCAGGTGTCACGTGCATTGATGTACATACACATTGATGATACATAGTTACTGTGTTTATTAATCAGGACTCTTTGTTGCAAGTAACAGAAACTCAACTTGAACTCTTTTCAGAAAAAGAGAGAGATGTATTGACTTGTAAAAGAATAGGAAAGGTTGAACAAATAAACCATAGAACAGCAGAGATACCTAACAACTTAAGTATTCAAACACCGCCAAGACTGTGTTGTTTTGTCTTTGGTATCTGTATGATGGTTTTATTGTATCTCACTGCACAGTGTCTTCCTCTGTGCACTGAAAAACATTACCACTGCTTGATGCTGAGCCTCACGGTCTCTAGATTCCAGAGGGGGACTTATTCTTTCTTATTGTTTGAAAAATCCCAAGAGAAGACTGGCTCAGCCTGAGTTGGGTTTCCATACCTGAACCACTCTATTGTGGCTGGCAGGGCAAGGTCACATACAAAGATCATAGCTCCCATGAGAATTCAGGGTCTAGTTTATTTTCTATCTACGACATTGAAGATTTCATCTCTAGAATTTAATTTGTGATTTTTATATCTTCACTCAACAAGTTCAGTCTTTCCTCTAGATTTTTAACCATATAGAATATAGTTACAATAATTGTTTTAATTTTGCTGTCTGCAAATTCTGTCATCTGTGTCATTCCTAGGTCAGTTTCTACTGATCAATTGGTTCCCCCCCTTTATTATGGATCATATTTGCCTGCTTATTTACATGTCTGGTAATTTTTGAGAGAATACCAGACGTTGTTAATTTTACCTTGTTGGGTGCTAGATATATTTGTATGTCTATAAATACTGAGGTGTTTTTGTGATACAACTAAGTTACTTGCACACAGTTTAATCCTTCCAGGTCTTGGTTTTAAACTTTGTTAGTCAGGACCAGAGCAGTATTTAATGTAGCGCTAACTTTGCCCATTACTGAGACAAAATCCTCTGAGTAAGTACTCTACAATGTTTCATGACTCCGAGGTGTTCCATATTGGCTGTGGAAACAGGAACTATTCCCAGCCCTACATGAACTTGAGACATTGTTCCCTTTAATTCGTTTGCAACCAAAGGATTCTTGTTTTGGCTTTGGGTCATTTCCTTACATATGTGCACTGCTCATATCAACTGAAGACTTTAGGGAGACCCTCTGCAGATCTCTCCTCTTTGGTACTTTGCCCTGTGATCTCTAGCTGCCTTGGCTTTCCCGGAATCTGATACCTCTCCTCAACTCAGGGAGACCACCGAGCTTTGGCTGGCTTCCCTCTTCCTGAGTACATCCCAGAAACTGTAGGCAGAAGCTGGGGGACTCACCTAATTTGTCTCACATTGTTAGGATCACTGTCTTTCACTGCCTGATGTCCCATGTATTGAAATGCAGTTGTTTCATTTATGTGTTCAGTTTTTCAGCTGTTTCAGATGGGAGGATAAACCTGATCCCGTTGCTCCATCTTGTCAGAAGCAGAAATCTCTGTCCTTTGAGCAGAGCCCATTTTCCCTACTGCACTTTCTTTCTTTCTTCCTGGGCATTATTATTTTATTTATTTATTTATTTATTTATTTATTTATTTATTTAGAGATGGAGTCTCGCTCTGTGGCCCAGGCTGGAGTGCAGTGGTGATCATGATCTTGGCTTGCCACAACCTCCATCTCCTGAGTTCAAGCGATTCTCCTGCCTCAGCCTCCCAAGTAGCTGGGATTACAGGCGTGTGCCACCATGCCTGACTAACTTTTGTATTTTTAGTAGAGGCAGGGTTTCATCATGTTGGCCAGGGTGGCCTCAAACTCCTGACCTCAGGCAATCCGTTTCCTGGGCATTATTTGACAGGTGCACCAGGGGTAGGTAGAGCAGTCCCTGGGCTGCTGAGTCCCCTTCATGCCAGAGTCTGTGGACCAGTTATACCTTCCTAGACAGCCCTGGTAATGGCAAGCTTGCCAGGCCAGCTTCCAGCTTATGTGACCTGCGTAGTGGATGAAGTGCTGAAGGAAACATGAAGAAAAGGAGGAGGATGGTCAGGAAGAAGGAGCAGGGATGTCATCGCAATGTCAGAAATGCTATCAAGTGCTGTAGGAAGGCGAGCTGGCTGCCCTGATAGAACTCACAGGGTGGCATGGCCACGGTATGGTACTCATTTTTGTAGGTCGAGAAACTACCTTACCTTTGCTACAAAAAGCCAGAGTCAGGAGGACCCATTCCAGCTCAATCAACCCAGAAGAACATTGTGCATAAACTGGATACCAATTTATTTATTCACGTTGAGAAACACCATCATCTACAGGGACCTGGGCTTTTCCATTGGTGCCCTGGGGTCTGTGTGACTAACGGGTCAGAGCCACTCTAGGAGAGCAGGTGGTTGTGGGAGCAGCCACCACCTTTGTGTGGGGACACAGATAGTAACCACAGTTTCTGAAGCAAAAACTGGGATTCTTGATTTGGCTGGATATGTTCTGATTTGTAATTAGTCTGTCAAAATACGTTTAGTTATATTTCTAATAATTCACTGTGATCGAAGTGAACACAGAGATGGGCCTTTAGAACTCGGGCCTCCGGTAGCTGCATTTCCATATTGATTGCTGGTGGTTCTCCTGTTTCTAGTAGGAACCAGAGGCAACTTAGTCCCCTCCTCAGAGAGCTGCACATTGTGCTGATAGAGACAAAATAGGCATTTATACCATTTATTCATCTGCTCATTCATTGGACAAATATTTATTGAGCAGCTACTAAGTGCCAAATGCTGGAAAAACGTAATAACAACAAACCTATGTTTTTGTTTTCCAGCTGGAAAAAACAAAGGACTGTATAATTTGATTTCTAAAGAAGGCTTCTCATTCAGGTTCCCACAACCACCTTCCAGAGGCAACACAACTGCGTATAATGCCGGAGTTGCCTGTGGTAGAGTGACGGATGTCTTGGGTGACTTGGCAGCAGCAGGCCGGTGGGCGCGGCCGTCACAGACATGGTCTCTCTGTGTTCCTTGCAGGTTCCCCCGCCTGCACAGCGCGGTGATCAGGACCTTTGTTCTCGTGCAGCACTACGCGGCCGCCCTGATGGCCGTAAGCGGCCTCCCGCAGATGAAGAACTACACGTCGGTGGAGACGCTGGAGATCACGCAGAACCTCCTCAACTCCCCGAAGCAGTGCCCCTGCGGCCACGGGCTCATGGTCCTGCTGCGGGTGCCCTGTTCGCCCCTGGCGGTGGTGGCCTATGAGCGGCTGGCCCACGTGCGGGCCCGGCTGGCGCTGGAGGAGCACTTTGAGATCATCCTGGGCAGTCCCAGCTCAGGCGTCACCGTGGGGAAGCACTTCGTAAAGCAGCTCAGGGTAGGTGCTGTGCGCAGGGAGGGGCGGAGGGCCTGGGGGTACCTGGGAGAGCTGAGGGGCCCACCAGAGGCAGGGAGTGTCACGAACCCCACAGCGTGGCCAACGTGGCTTCCCTAGACCCAGCCACCCCTCAGCCTCCTCTCTGTGCTTCCCCACCTCTGCCCTCCGCCCCAGCAGCACCCCCACACCCCTGCAGCATTGCCTTATGACTTTAGACCTCTGGGCAACAGCCTGCTTTCTTTTTTCCTGGGCATCCATTTCCTCTCTTCTTTGTTTAGCTGATGCTTCTTTATTTTCCCCTTTGAGACAGGGTCTCACTCTGTGGCCCAGGCTGGAGTGCGGTGGCGTGATCACAGCTCACTGCAGCCTTGAGCTCCTGGGCTCCAGGGATCCTCCCACCTCAGGCTCCTGAGTAGCTGGAACCACCAGCGTGTGCCACCACACTCGGCTAATTTTTAAAATTTTTAAAATTTTCTCCATGTTGCCCCGGCTGATCTCAAACTCCTGAGTTCAAGCAACCCTCCTGCCTCAGCCTCCCAAAGTGCTGGGTTCCAGGTGTGAGCTGCCCTGCTTATTTTCTGCAGCACTTAGGTTGGTGTCTTTCCTCTTTCAGGAAGCCACCCTCCCCCTCTGCCATGCCCAGGGCAGTGCCATGCTCCCTGCCTGTCATCTAGCCCCTCTCCCAGATGGTGGGGGGCAATGGCCATCCCCACAGAACTCAGCCCCCAAAGCCTAGCACAGCGCCTGGCCCATAGTAGGTTCTCACTCAATCTGCAGGTGACAGAAAATGCAAAAGGTTTAGGGAAAGAACAAATGAGTGGAAAACAGGAATGAAAGGGAGGACACTGTCAGGAGAGAGCACAGGCAAGACATAAGGAACAGCTGGTTGGGCGCGGTGGCTTACACCTGTAATCCCAGCACTTTAGGAGGCCGAGGCGGGCGGATCACTTGAGGTCAGGAGTTCGAGATAAGCCTGGCCAGCATGGAGAAACCCTGTCTCTACTAAAAATACAACAATTAGCCAGATGGGGTGGCGTGCGCCTGTAGTCCCAGCTACTCGGGAGGCTGAGGCAGGAGAATCACTTGAACCCTGGTGGTGGAGGTTGCAGTGAGCTGAGATTGCGCCACTGCACTCCAGCCTGGGTGACTCAGCGAGACTCTGTCTCAAAAAAAAAAAAAAAAGACTTAAGGAGCAGCTGACAACATAGACTTCCTTTCACGGAGCTGGTCAGCTGATAGAGATGTCTTGGACATGCTCTGGCTGGCTAATCTCCATGTTCTAGCCGACTGAAAATACGGTGGCCAAGTGGATGGTGTGCTTATTTGCAGTCTAAAGAAATTTCCTTTTGGTCAGAAGATATAGTTCAAGGAGTTTAAATTGGTGTGGGAGGCCATCAGGATTCCTCTGAGCTGGGCTGGTTGGGAAGGGAGGCGTCTGTGGCTTTATTTCTTTTTCGTTATCTGCAGATGTGGCAGAAAATTGAGGATGTGGAGTGGAGACCCCAGACTTACTTGGAGCTGGAGGGTCTGCCTTGCATCCTGATCTTCAGTGGGATGGACCCGCATGGGGAGTCCTTGCCGAGGTGAGTGGAGGGGTTATGCCCCTGGGGGTCTCTGAGGAGCTGGCTGCCTGGGCCCCCTCAAGGAGCATGTCAGGGGGGCTGCTGTGCCCTGACGGTAGGCAGCACCACTCACATTCACAGGCCCCGTGGGTGGGGCCTTCATCGTGGCTTTCCCAGCATGGGCCTGAGTGCGTCTGAGGCCCGTGCCCCTTCTCCTGATTCTCAGAAAGGCGCTGTTTGGGCTCGTGGTGACGGCTGTTGCCAGGCTCTACGGGTGGAGGCTCTGCAGGTGGAGTCAGGATTTCATGCCTCCTGAGTTCAGTGTCTCCCCATGGGGCGCTCTGTGTGTGCTGGGGATGGCAGTTCTGCTTGGGACAGTACGGCATCCTCTCCAGGAGTTGCAGCCACAGTTCCTGCTGGTACCTAGGCTGCCGCAATGCCTGGGCCCTCCCGGCTTAGGAGGCGTTCTGGGAGTGGAGGCAACTGACGCTGCTCGGGAAGAGCTGGTTCTTCCAGCACAGAGTGGACTGTCTCAAAAGATGTGTCCCTCTGAATCCATCACAGCCTGGAAAGTCTTAGCCACATATCCACTCGATGTCCGCTGGTGTGGGGGGTCTCTAGGCCACCACACAGACATGCGGACACTCGAGACTCAGGTCCCTGGGCCTCCTGTAAGGCAGTTTCTTGGATTGGTAGTGACAGATTGGGTTTTAGAGACTTCATACCGGTGGAGAAGAGCAGACGGCCAGCAAAAGATAGCAAAAGCCGACATCAGTGGAATTCCTGTTATGTTCTGGGAACTGTCCTAGATTCTTCTTTTAGGTTTTATTTCATTTTACTCTCACCTTAATCCTGGGGGAAAGGTGCTATTTCAGTAGTCCCATTTTACGGATGAAGAAACTGAGGCTTACTGAGATTAAGCCAGTCTGGCCAGCAGTGGGCCTGGCTTCTTCCCCCAGGAGCACCCCACACTTCAGCAAACGGCCCTGTGCATGCTGCATACTCATGGGCCAGGGGAAGGGGGCTCCAGAACATTTGACCTTGCTTGTTGCTATTTCACATGGATTAATTCTTTTCTTCTTCAACTCCTTAAGGACTGAGACAATGTCTTAATCTATTTTAAATTTTAGCAAGCATTTGCTGAATACCAGGTACCTTCTGGTACCTTCTTTGTACCAGGCATCATGATAGACTTTTCATATGAAACTTACTCCTTGCTGCAGTAGTATTACCATCCTGTTTCATGGTTGAGTCAATGAACGATCATTTGCTTGAGGTCATGAGCAGTAAGTTTCAGAGCCCCACTGGAACCCTCACGTACCCCTCTCTAAGCCCTTTGCCTTGGTTGTGTTTCTGCTGCGCAAGTCTGAGCACGGGGTTGGCCTTTCCTCTGCTGCTCACAGATAGCATTGCTTGTTGGTGTCCGACTTGATTGCCATCATATTTCTAGCATCTAGTACCCTGGCCTGTGTTCACTTGGATTGAATAATTAAATGCTCACTGATTACATTTAATCTTTATCACAGCGGACTTAGATTTTTTTTTTTTTTTTTTTGAGACGGAGTCTCACTCTGTTGCCCAGGCTGGAGTGCAGTGGTGCAATCTCAACTCACTGCAGACTCCGCCTCCTGGGTTCAAGTGATTCTCCTGCCTCAGCCTCCCGAGGAGCTGGGATTATAGGCACCTGCCTCCACACCCGGCTAATTTTTGTATTTTTAGTAGAGATGGGGTTTTGCCATGTTGGTTAGGCTGGTCTTGAACTCCTGACCTCAAGTGATCGGCCCGCCTTCGCCTCTCAAAGTGCTGGGATTACAGGTGTGAGCCACCACGCCCAGCCAGATGGTTATTAATATTCATTCCCATCTTTCAGATGAAAAAATCAGAGCCTCAGAGAAGTTGTGCAGCTTGTCACGGCTTCTGTCGCTAGGAAGTAGCAGAGCTCAGGTTCAAGCCCCCCCTTTTTGTTGTTGTTGTTGTTGTTTGTTTTGTTTTGAGATGGAGTCTGGCTCTGTCGCCCCGGCTGGATTGCAGTGACACAATCTCGGCTCACGGCAAGCTCTGCCTCCCGGGTTCACTCCATTCTCCTGCCTCAGCCTCCCGAGTAGCTGGGACTACAGGCGCCCGCCACCACGCCTGGCTCATTTTTTGTATTTTTAGTAGAGACGGGGTTTCACCGTGTTAGCCAGGATGGTCTCGATCTCCTGACCTTGTGATCCGCCCGCCTCGGCCTCCCAAAGTGCTGCAAGCCCCTTTTTTATCTGACCCAAAAGTTAGTGCAGCACAGAGCTAAATGCATAGTGGGTGTCCCCAAAGATTTACTATTATACTGAATTTGTTGCTGCAAGCTCCCAGTAACACTGTTGGCTTTTCCACTTGTACGAGTCCTTGGGTCCTCACCAGGAAGGTGGGGTGTGGTCCCGATCAGTGCTGCCTGCCGCAGTGGGAACAGCACTCCACTTGTGGAAGGCACTAAACAGACACCTTCTTCTGTGTCTTGCTAGGTCTTTGAGGTACTGTGACCTGCGATTGATAAACTCCTCCTGCTTGGTGAGAACAGCCTTGGAGCAGGAGCTGGGCCTGGCTGCCTACTTTGTGAGCAACGAGGTTCCCTTGGAGAAGGGGGCTAGGAACGAGGCCTTGGAGAGTGATGCTGAGAAGCTGAGCAGCACAGACAACGAGGATGAGGAGCTGGGGACAGAAGGTGAGGGATGGCTGCCCTCAGCCTACTTGTCCCTGTCTGCATGTCTTTCTTGGCTTCTGAGCTTTGAGGCTGCCTGTGCTTATGGAGACAGCTGTCTCCAGTTCAGCAGGGTCCTGGGACCTGTCTGCTGGACAGCGGCTCTGGATGAGAGGTCTCCAGTGTTGGATGAAATGGCAGAGCTCTCACTGAATTCAGATTTTGTTTGTTTTCTCCCCATCTCTTTTGGTGGTGTGAGAAAATGGAAATCCCTATAGGTTTTTCCTAGTTCTAGAATTCTTAAAGAATAGGAAGAAAAATTAAGATTTCTTAGAGTTCAAGTTCAAAATTTCTTAGAGTTCCTCGTTCCACTCACTGGTGGAATTCCCACCTAGTGTGATTTGCTTGTTTATTTCCTCTGTGAATCAACCCAACAGCGTGCTGTCCATTTTTAAGAAGTGTGAAAACAGGCTCATTTGCAGACTCTTCAAATCTGATGCCGCCTTTTTAATAGGACACATAAATGATAACATCGCAAGGCATTGACTATAGTCAACAATGTGATGAGAAAGACGTAGACAGTCATTCAAAAACTAGAAAGCATTTGTGGAGTGTGTGGAATGGAAGGAGGTGGGTGTGGGCACCAGCGCGGGTCTGTGGTCTGCCTTGTCTGTCTTGACTGTGGGACCTCTCTTAGCCTCAGCTTGCTCGTCTGTAAAATGTAGATGGAAAGGCCTGCCCGCCTGTAGCCATCTTTTCGAAGCACGGCAGAGACTCTGATTTAATTCTTTCATTTGTGAGTATCTGCTGCACGTCTCCGTGCTCCCTGGCATCTCAGGACCCCCTTCTTTAGTTTCACCATCTGCTTCTCTCTACCCATAGCCCGCATTGCACTGAGCACTGGCCCACGTTAAACTTGCAGTGGCCGGGCTGTGCCCTGCCCTTCTGGCCTCTGCGCTGCACGGCTGCCCTTCCTGCTGCTCAGAGTTTTCCTTTCTCTACTTTACCTGCAAAACCCTGAGGCCCTTCAGGGCGACGGCCAGATGCCCCCCTCTTCCAGGAGATGCCCTGCTTTTCCCCCAGGCTCCCCGACCCCTCTCTCTTTGCATCTCCTCCACCAGCTTGCAGCTGTGCCTCATGGGCAGGAGCCTTCGCTGCACCCAGAGTGCCTCCCTGCACTGCAGCCCACTCCCTCCTGTCTCCTCAGTGCTCTGTCCATGGTGGGGGCCTGGAAGATGGCAGTGAATGAGTAAATGGATGGGGAGAGGTGATGCATGGGAACACACTTTACACACTGTGAAGTGCTGGGCAAATGTCAGGAATGGTGATTTCGGTGCATTCTCAGCGTGTGTGTTTTGGAACAGGCTCTACCTCGGAGAAGAGAAGCCCCATGAAAAGGGAGAGGTCCCGCTCCCACGACTCAGCATCCTCATCCCTCTCCTCCAAGGCTTCCGGTGAGTCTTCCCACACGGGAAGGACCAGACCAGCAGACTGATTTTTGAGGTTTCAGAGAATGAAAAGAAACCTATAGAGGGCTATTTGCTGATCCTTTATTTTCCATCAGAACTGGAAAGATAAGGAAATCTTTGAAGTGCTAGACTCTCTAGAGAGTAAATATTGTGGTCAACTTCGGATCGGAGAACTTGAAGACTGAGCAAGACTGTAGGGTTCTGCTGCCCCTGTGCTCAGGGGAGGACCGTGGACCCTGCCCCTCACTGTGGCTGGGGCCTCAGGCTGAGTCCTGGCCGTGTTAGGGGCGGGTCCCCGGGTGTTCTCCCTGCCGTTGTTGGTTTGGGAAAACCCTGTGCCCTGTGGGGAGAGGAGCTGAGCGCAAGGAGAGAAGTAGACATGGAGACTTCACTGGGGGAAGAGCAACAAAAGGCAACACAAGCTCATGAGCCTTCCGCGTAGCCACAGCCACAGCGGGTGGGCAGTGCCAACCACAGGCTCCACACGGTCTCTGCCCTAAGGGGTTCCTCTGTCTCCGAGAGTAGTCAGGATCCCGCAGAGGAGGGCAGAGCCCCTGGTGAGAAACAGAGGCCCCGGGCAAGTCAGGGGCCACCGTCGGCCATCAGCACGCACAGTCCCTGTCTTTCCGCCAAAAGCATTCTGAGGGCCTACTTGCTATCTGGATCAGCACTGAAGGATAAATGAGATGTAGACCTGACCTCAGGGAACGAACTCATTGTTCTCATAAAAGACGTGTTATTTTGCAGTAGTCTTTTGCACACATTTTCACTTCACATATGAAGAAGTCTGTAATTTTGTCCCAAGGCAGAGGGCAGATTTCAGGGTAGGTGAGGTTACCACAGGTTTGAGAGAGCAGCTGACCCTCAGTCGGGCCTTGCGGAAGGTGTTGCAAGTGCAGGAAGCCTTAAGGGCCGAGAGGCTCAGGGGCGAGACGTGCAGGGCCTGGGTGCGGGGACGGGTGTGTGCGGTGGCCGCAGGCTCCTGTTGTTGGGGCCGGGGGTGTGCCTAGCTGTGGCTGAGGGAGCGGCTGAGAGTCCCTGCTGTTTGGTCTGGGACGGGGAAAGGTCAGAGGTCAGGGCCCACCAGGAGACTGGCTAGGGGGCATCTGGGGCCGCCCTTCTTTTCCCCTCACCTCCTGCGCCTGTGCACAGCAGTGAGCTGGTGGTTGGGGTCTCCCTCCCAGATGCCCCCGATGGAGTCAGCACTGAGCCTCTTCACCCTCAGCCCAGAGCTCGGGGACTGAAAGAAGCCCTGCCTCATAGGCAGGAGCTCAGTCAGAAAAGCTGCAACCACTGGGTCTGTTTGCCTGAAACAGTACAGGGGGCCTGGGGCAGAAACAGGAGCCGCCGGCAAGTTCTGGGACAGCTCACTCCTGGGACGAGTCGCCCCTGAGATGGGCCACTCCTGGGACAGGTCACTCCTGGGATGGGTGACTCCTGGGACAGGTCACTCCTGGGATGGGTGACTCCTGGGACAGGTCACTCCTGGGATGGGTGACTCCTGGGACAGGTACCTTCTAGGACGTCCCTGACCATGTTCGTCTCTCCTCAGGTTCAGCGCTCGGTGGCGAGTCCTCGGCTCAGCCCACAGCACTCCCCCAGGGAGAGCATGCCAGGTCGCCCCAGCCCCGTGGCCCCGCAGAGGAGGGCAGAGCCCCTGGTGAGAAACAGAGGCCCCGGGCAAGTCAGGGGCCACCCTCGGCCATCAGCAGGCACAGTCCCGGGCCGACGCCCCAGCCCGACTGTAGCCTCAGGACCGGCCAGAGGAGCGTCCAGGTGTCGGTCACCTCGTCGTGCTCCCAGCTGTCCTCCTCCTCGGGCTCATCCTCCTCATCCGTGGCGCCCGCTGCCGGCACGTGGGTCCTGCAGGCCTCCCAGTGCTCCTTGACCAAGGCCTGCCGCCAGCCACCCATTGTCTTCTTGCCCAAGCTCGTGTACGACATGGTTGTGTCCACTGACAGCAGTGGCCTGCCCAAGGCCGCCTCCCTCCTGCCCTCCCCCTCGGTCATGTGGGCCAGCTCTTTCCGCCCCCTGCTCAGCAAGACCATGACATCCACCGAGCAGTCCCTCTACTACCGGCAGTGGACGGTGCCCCGGCCCAGCCACATGGACTACGGCAACCGGGCCGAGGGCCGCGTGGACGGCTTCCACCCCCGCAGGCTGCTGCTCAGCGGCCCCCCTCAGGTGAGTGTTGCTCGCTGCCCCAGCACAGCCCCGGACTGGGGGGGTCCTCACACTCCCATCTGGAGGGCAGGCCTGGGGGTGACCGCACCCACGTCTTCACTTTTCACCCTTCCCGTGGTGGAATCTTCTCCAATGGCCTGGGGTGGACCGGAGGGAGGAGGGCAGGACTCATCTGCCACTCAGGGCTGGTGGCTTCCATTCCTCCCCTGTGTGATGTAGGGGGCGGACAGGAGACCTTTCTGGGTGTATCAGACTACGGTTCCTCAATCCACATCATCTCACTCGGCCACTGCCCATGTTCTCTGACAAATAGAAACAAAACTCTGGGTTCTCCACTGGAAGGTTTCGGTGAACCATGAACGGAGAACTAGGGGTTCTGTTTCCCTGTCTCAGCCTTCCTGCAATGCATGGTGTTTCCTTAACAACAAAAGTCCATTTCACCTCTCAATGGCAGAATCTCCTGTGCGTGAGCCTGTGGGGAGGAGGAGGGCTGGGGACTGGAATCTGCTCTTTGGAACAGAGCTGGGCTTTGGGGCTGGGATGCGGTTCAGTATCCATTTGTTTCTTAAACTTGTAGAATGAACAATATTACTTTTTCTGATTTAAAAAGGACAAAAGAAAATGTTTCTTACCAAGGAGTCTCCCTTCTTCCATACCCTCACACTATTGGATATTATCAGTTTAAAATCGTTGTCTCTTTGATGGGTGAAAAATAATACCTTACGGTTTTACTAGTAAGGTTGACATATTCTTGTGTTTTTACTGGTCGTTGATACTTCTTTTTCAGTGATTTTCTGGTTTCTCTTATTTGTTTTTCCTTTAGGCCATTTGACTTTTTCTTGTTGATTTGTGGAAGTGCTTTAGATATTACAGATTTTTGTCCTTTGTCTATCATCTGTATTGCAGATATTTTCTCTGAAGCTTCCCTGTGGTTGGGTGTCATATTTTCCTCTGTAAAGTTAGTTATTTCCATTCATTGGCATTTACTGAGTTGTAGCATGAACCAAGCATTGGGCTCGGTGCTTGGAAAGCACATCCCTGGAGTGGCTCTTTTGTTTATTATTATTGTTATTTTTCAGACGGAGTCTCGCTCTGTCGCCAGGCTTGAGTGCAGTGGCACGATCTCAGCTCACCGCAGCCTCCGCCTCCCGGGTTCAAGCGATTCTCTTGCCTCAGCCTCCCGAGTAGCTGGGACTACAGGCAGATGCTACCATGCCCGGCTAATTTTTGTATTTTTAGTAGAGATGGGGTTTCACCATGTTGGCCAGGATGGTCTGGATCTCTTGACCTCGTGATCCGCCCGCCTCAGCCTCCCAAAGTGCTGGGATTACAAGTGTGAGCCAGGAAACCCACGCCTGTAGTGGCTGTTTATACAGTGGTACAGGGAGGGTACTGGGCCAGACCATGGGTACTTCTCAATCAGTAATAACCAAAATGGACTAAGATTAATAGGAGGTATGCTAGCCTGAAGCTGGGCTGGGGAAGCAGGGAACTCTACGTTATAGGAAGCAGGAGAAGGAAGAAGAAGAAAGTTGTTCTTTTCCTGGGTTTAGAAGGAGAAATACGAGAAGCATTTTTTTTTTATGTCTTATACAATGAATTTTGCTGTCTTGTACAGACATAATGATTAAGACAAGCAATTTGCAAGATTCATAAGGCATGTTTATAGTATCCTATTTTTTTGAAGCAGCTTGCTTTGGCTTATGATAAACTTCTATTTCTAACAGCTTAAAAATGCGGCTGGTTAAAATCTAGAGATGCGTGTGCGACGATATTTAAGCAGGAAGGCCTTATGCTCGTGGGAGTCCATTTGTCCACCTGCCACGCTTCTTCCCTTCAAATATCTTTGCATCCACAGGGTTCTCATTTTAAAGACAGGATCTTCAAGTGAGGCAGATGTCAGGAGCCATGCCAGGTGTTCAGCCGGTGCCTGGCACGCGGATGGGGCTTCCTCACTGGGGGTTTTAACTCCTATACCTTTACAGATCGGGAAGACAGGTGCCTACCTGCAGTTCCTCAGTGTCCTGTCCAGGATGCTTGTTCGGCTCACAGAAGTGGATGTCTATGACGAGGAGGAGATCAATATCAGTGAGTTATCTGTTTGGGGTTATGTGGGCTTGGAGCCACCTTCATCACTTTCTCAAGTGACTTTAATTTTATATTTCACTTTCTAGATGGAATTCTCAGATTCATGATCAGACTCATCCCAAGGACCTTGTAGGGGGTGCTATTTATCTTGTAGTCATTTTTCTCAGTATCAGGCTTTTGCTGTAGTGATACAATTATGATTATTAGCTGACTGTTTACTGAGTACCTTCCACATGTGGAGCGCTGACCTAGATACTTTGCACAAGTTACCATGTCAATTTCTTAGGCCCAGGGTGAGATAGATGTTCCATTCTCCTGATAAATCACATGCTTGGGAGCCCAGCTGAGTAGTGGCAGGGCTGGAAGGAATTAGATTTGACTGCTGCCTCTGCAAAGCAGACTTACCCCTCAGGAGAGGTTTCCTGCTCAGGCAGCTGAGCAGGGAGGTCAGTGTCTTGGGGCAAAATAGAAATACATGAAATGTGGGGAAAATCCTGTTCTCATTTCCAGAACAGAGTTTACCCTGATTAAGGTCAGTTTCTTTTTGAGCACCCCTTTTGTGCTCATGTAAAATAACCTCCCCTGTTTCCTCCTCATCCCTCCTCCCAGTGGCTCATAAACTTGGTCTGGTCAATGAATCTGCTGTGCTGGGAGAGAGAGCTTGTCAGACGAGTCCTGTCTGTGTTGTGGAGAGGTTGCCAGCCAGCTGCACCAGTGTCTGAAGGGCACTTGGTGAGATGCTGTCGATTGTGCTTCAGTTTTGACTTGGAGAAAATTTGGAGCCAAGGAAGCCCATCCAGCCCTCGGCCTTCCCTCCCAGGAAAGGAGAGGCTCTTCAGCTGGCTCTGAGTTTTCTAAGGTTTCCCCACAGTTTGGAACCACATTTCAGATGAAGTCTGCAGCCCTGCTGAATTTGTCTCCTTGCTTTCTTGGACATACCAGTGATAAAGACAGGATTTGAACCCAGTTTGTTCAGTGTTAAAGCCCATTCTTTAAATCTTATCTCTTTTGTTGAATAGGGATAATTTCTCTATTATAGGGTTTTATGGGGATTAAATGTGACACACACAGAGCACCAAGACTGTTTTTTTTAGACAAATTCTAGCTATGTTGCCCGGGCTGGAGTGCAGTGGCACCATCTCGGCTCATTGCAACCTCCGTCTCCCAGATTCAAGTGATTCTCTTGTCTCAGCCTCTGGAGCAGCTGGATTTATAGGCATGTGCCACCACGCCTGGCTAATTTTTGTATTTTTAGTATAGACAGGGTTTCACCATGTTGGCCAGGCTGGTCTCAAACTTCTGACCTCAAGTGACCCACACGCTTCAGCCTCCCAAAGTTCTGGGATTACAGGTGTGAGCCACCGTGCTTGGCCAAAACCTATTAAATACTCATAGGCATTTCTCCCCTGCCTTCCTATGGACATGCACTCTGCCCATGTGTGTACTATAGTAGGACATGTATTTAATATAATCAACATGTTTTATAATTTGAATTGGGCCATCTAGATTTTTCTACCTTAGACACTTAGTAAGCACCATAGACTACAATGATCACCATGTGAGATGAGACATGGCAAATGGAAGAGTGTGGTTTGGGCTACGAATGTTGTTGGCATCAGAAGGGAGAAGCCCCTAGGCTGGAGCACTCTGAGAGGCTTTCTATAGGTGGAGTGACAGGAGCTGAGCCATACTGGCTGGGGGGCATTTAGATAGAGGCAAGAAAGGAAGCTATGCAGGTTTTGCTGGCATTGGCCACCAGTGTGGTCACCTGGGGGGATGGTGCTGGGGTGAAGCACAGGGCTGAGGTCCTCTGGGTCAGGACTCTGGCCGGAGTGGAAGTCAGACTTAGGGACAGGAGAGCAAAGCCATTCTCACAGCAAACAGCACAAGGCTGTTGCTCTGGATGGAGATAGCTCTGAATGCACATTCTTGCCTCATTAGAACATTCCTGAAAATGGAATATGTGTCAAGAGCCTTGCAGATACAATGGGGTTTCCCAGCAGCCCACGGACTCAATAACAATTCCACTCCAAGCATCATCCTTTGTGCGCATTTAAAATTTAGTCGTGCGCCACATAATGACGTTTTGGTCAACGGACTGCATCTGTGACGTTGGTCCCATGAGATTCTAGGGGAACTGAAAAATTCCTATCACCTAGTGATATCGTAGTCATCGGAATTTGTGGCAAGAGGCATTACTCAAGTGTTTGTAGCGATTCGGGTGTAAATTAACCTGCACTGCCAGTACTATCAACAGTCTAGCACATGCAATTATGTACAACACATAGCACTTGATAATTATAAACAACTGTTACTGGTTTTATGTATTTACCATACTTTTATTATAGTATACACCTTCTACTTATTGAAAAGCAGTTAACTGTAGAACAGCCTCGGGCAGGTCCTTCAGGAGATGCTTCAGAAGGAGGCATTGTTCTCATAGGAGATGACACAGCTCCATGAGTGTTGCTGCCCCTGAAGACCTTCTAGTGGGACAAGATGTGGAGGTGGAAGACAGTGATATTGATGATCCTGATGCTGTAAAGGCTGGGCGAGTGTGTGTGTGTCTGTCTTAGTTTTAACAAAAAGTTTTAAAAGTAGGGCCAGGCGTGGTGGCTCACGCCTGTAATCCCAGCACTTTGTGGGGCCGAGGTGGGTGGATCATTTGAGGCCAGGAGTTTGAGACCAGTCTGGCGAACATGGTGAAACCTCGTCTCTACTAAAAGTACAAAAATTAGCTGGATGTGGTGGCACGCGCCTGTAATTTCAGCTACTCCAGCCTGAGGCAGGAGAGTCGCTTGAACCCGGGAGGCGGAGATTGCAGTGAGCTGAGATGGTGCCACTCCATCCTGGAGTGACACTCCAGCCTGGGTGACAGAGCGAGACTCTGTCTCAAGAAAAAAACAACAAAAACAAATAAAAGTAGAAAAATTAAAATATTAAGCTCATAGAATAAGGATATCAAGAAAGAAGACATTTTTGATCAGTTGCACAATGTGTTTGTTTTAAGCTAAGTGTTATTACAAAAGAGTCAAAGAGTTTAAAAGGTTATAAAGTAAAAAAGTTATAGTAAGCTAAGGTTAACTTATTAATGAAGAAAGAAAAATATCGTTTATAAATCGAGTGTATCCTAAGAGGAGAGTGTCAAGTCTCCAGTAGTGCATGGCCATGTCCCAGGCCTTCACATTTGCTCACCGCTTACTCACTGACTCACCCGGAACAACTGCCAGTCCTGCAAGCCCCGTGCAAGGTGGGTGCCCGGTACAGTGCACTGTTTTACATTTTTTATACCATATTTCCCCCATGCCTTTTCTATGTTTAGATACACAAATTCTTTTTTTTTTTTTTTTTTTTGAGATGGAGTTTTGTGCTTGTCACCCAGGTTGGAGTGCAATGGCGAGATCTCAGCTCACTGCAACCTCCGCCTCCTGGGTTCAAGTCATTCTCCTGCCTCAGCCTCCCGAGTAGCTGGGATTACAGGTGCCCGCCACCATGCCCGGCTGATTTTTGTATTTTTAGTAGATACGGGGTTTTACCGTGTTGGCCAGACTGGTCTCGAACTCCTGACCCTAGGTGATCCACCTGCCTCGGCCTCCCAAAGTGCTGGGATTACAGGCATGAGCCACCATGCCCGGCCAAGATACACAAATGTTTCACATTGTGTTACAATTACCTGCAGTATTTAGTGCAATAACTTGCTGTATATAGCAACCTTATCCAACCCACAGGCTGCATGTGGCCCAGGACAGCTTTGAATGAGGCCCAACATAAATTTGTAAACTTTCTGAAAACATTACGAGATTATTTTTGCAATTTTTTTTTTAAGCTCAACAGCTATCATTAGTGTTAGTGTATTTTATGTGTGGCCCAAGACAATTCTTCCAATGTGGCCCAGGGAATCCAAAAGAGTGGACACCCGTGCTCACAGGTTAGTAGCCCAAGACCAGTAGGCTACACCACACATCCTAGTGTGTAGCAGGCTGTGCCGTGTAGGTGTGTGTAAGTGCACTCTAGGATGTTAGCACAGTGACAGAATCGCCTGATGTCGCATTTCTCAGAACGTATTCTGTGTTGTTTAGCGACACATGACTGTAAATCATTTTCACTTCCTATTTTGTCACATCTATGTTTCTACCAATCTTGTAGACCTCAGAGAAGAATCTGACTGGCATTATCTCCAGCTTAGCGACCCCTGGCCAGACCTGGAGCTGTTCAAGAAGTTGCCCTTTGACTACATCATTCACGACCCGAAGTATGAAGATGCCAGCCTGATTTGTTCGCACTATCAGGGTATAAAGAGTGAAGGTCAGACTTTGAATCTCTCGTTTCACCTTCCAGAGTGCATGGGCACAGCCTCTTAAAGGGATGAGCTGGATTTTGTTAGGCATGAAATCAGGTGGTGATGAATTAACCTGCCATACCTAGTACAGAACTGAGGTCACCACCTCCCTGTATAAGGAAGGGAGGAATGCAAAACCTGTGAATTGAAGAGTGTTGCTCAGGAAGTGCTAAGTGACAATGACGACACCCTTGCTGATTTGTCACCATTGGAATATTCTGAAGGCTGTGGTTAATAGAGGATAAAAGACGTGTATGTTTACTTATTAATTTGGAGTTATCAAAACGAGTACACGTGTTCACCTCTCCTCCCCCGGTGTCTTGATTTTTCCCTCCCTCAGGGATCCCCAACATCCATGGTGTGCTGGCGCTGCAGTGTACCGGGGCCATTGCGATTATAAACTTAGACTAGAAAAATTTGGTAAATGCCGTGAGAAAGGAAATGACTGTGTTAGTCCGTTTCACGCTGCTGATAAAGACATACCTGAGACTGGGTAATTTATAAAGAAAAAGAGGCTTAATTGACTCACAGTTCCACGTGGCTGGGGAGGCTTCACAATCGTGGTGGAAGGTGAAAGGCACGTCTTATATAGCAGCAGGCAAGAGAGAGTGAGAGCCCAGCAAAAGGGGAAACCCCTTAGAAAACCATTGCATCTCGTGAAAATTATTCAGTACCATGAGAACAGTATTAGGGAAACTGCCCCCATGATTCAGTTATCTCCCATCAGGTCCCTCCCACAACATGTAAGAATTATGGGAGCTACAATTCAAGGTAGA
Source organism: Homo sapiens (assembly GCF_000001405.40). NCBI lineage: Eukaryota > Metazoa > Chordata > Mammalia > Primates > Hominidae > Homo > Homo sapiens. The sequence goes on from NC_000002.12 coordinate 11,626,123, forward strand.
TTTGGGTGGGGACACAGACAAACCATATCAGTGACCCACCAGTCTCCATTTCAAACCAACAACTTTATTGTCCTTGCTCTCAGAATAGATCCCTTGCACTGAGGATCCTTCTCGTAGGCCAGTCTCTAATGAAGGCTGAGTGTTAAAATCTTAATCGGCGAGGTCATTTGAAAAACAAGCAGGGGCCGGGTGTGGTGGCTCACGCCTGTAATCTCAGCACTTTGGGAGGCTGAGGTGGGTGGATCACCTGAGGTCAGGAGTTCAAGACCAGCCTGGCTAACATGGCAAAACCCCGTCTCTACAAAAAATGCAAAAATTAGCCAGGTTTGGTGGCGTGCACCTGTAATCCCAGCTACTCAGGAGACTGAGGCAGGAGAATCACTTGAACCTGCGAGGCGGAGGTTGCAGTGAGCTGAGATTGTGCCACTGTACTCCAGCCTGAGCGACAGAGCAAGACCTTGTCTCCAAAAAACAAACAAAAACAGAAAAACAAGGGGCAGTTCATCTGCATTCAGAGCTGGCATGTTAAGTTGGCAATCGATTTAAATTGTTGTATAGCGGATCTTTACATAGGTGCTGATGAAATATTTTTAGTCTACAGTAAGACATGATATGGACAGTGCCTTAATTAGTTTATTCCACTGACACTTTGTGGCCCTTCGTTGTCTCCTTTGACCAGCTGTCACGTCAGGGCCCAGGGAGGTGAGAGGCAGTCCTCCCCAACCAGACAGAATCCTGTTGTCTGGTCATTTGAGCATTTTTGGTTTCTGTTTGAGCAGGCAGGGGATAATGTTTGCTTTGCTCCCTGCTGCTTTTTAATCCTGGGGAATTTGGTGCAGACAGAGGGATGTCCCGGAAGCCGGAGGACCTTTATGTGCGGCGTCAGACGGCACGGATGAGACTGTCCAAGTACGCAGCGTACAACACTTACCACCACTGTGAGCAGTGCCACCAGTACATGGGCTTCCACCCCCGCTACCAGGTAGGCCCCAGCAGTTCCCCACCAGGCATTTCACCTTGGCTCACATTGTCCGTTCCCCTGCTCTCTCACGCTTTCATTCCAGAGTGGGAGATAGAGAGTTCTGGAAGCCCTGGCTTCCTGGTCTGCTTGCATCCTCTGTTCCCTTCAATTGTCTGTGAAATGATTGCTGGAACTAGAGCACCACGGTTCTCCTGGGGTTGTGTGTTTATCAGTGGCCAAGTTACCCGACCGTGGAGGTGGTCGTCATCTTTAGGTCCCAATGCTTTCAGAAGTTAGTCCAATGCAACAGATGCTCACCAGGTGCTTATTCTGTACCAGGCACTGGGGCTGCAGAGCTGAATCAACTCTGTCCCCATCCTCCATGCTCAGTCTAGAAGGGAGATGTGCACATAAGCAAAACCTAACGATATGAAGCAGGCAAAAGGAGTACTATGGTTGAGGCACAGAAATCCATTGATAAGAGGAGGAATTTGCATTTATTGAGCACCTACTGCATGCCAGGCAATGTGCCTAGGCACTTTTTATATATCAGTCTCTCCCAACCTTTTATGCAATAGAAAATATTTATCCTGGACACATAGAAATGGATAAGGCTCCTGACCCAGGGCTCTGGCTGCCTCAGGCCCTGGTGGGTCACCTGAAGCCACGCCTGCAAGCCACCCAAGGTGTGCTGGATGGGAGCTGTCCTATCTAGTGTCCTATTTACTTCACACTAAAATTTCATTGTCCCTGTTTTATAAATGAGGATCCTGTTTGGGTCGGGAGCGGAAGAGAGAAGATTTGGAAGAATTAATAAGAATTTGCCAAGGTGCCAAGAATTAATAAGATGAAGGGAGAGGGACAGCATGTGTGGGAGAGGGGAGGTGGGGTTTCCAGGGGATGGGAAGTGATGTGGGTTGGGTGTTTCTGGAACCCAGACTTTGGGGTGGGTACACTCAGCCACGAAACTCGGAGGGCAGGCAGAGGCCAGACCACAAAATGCCTGGTGGGCACTGTGGGGAGGAACGAGGACTCTCTCAGTGGGAACTCCAAGTGGAGCCCAGTGTGGGCAGAGCTGTGTTTAGACTGGTCTCTTAGTCCCATGGAGGTGTATGGAGGGCCTGTGAGGCTGGTTATTTATAAACAGGGCAGAGGATTTATTTTACATTGAATATTTCTTTTCATTTCAGACCCGAGCAAGGGAGAGAGGGGTGGAGGGAGAGAGCCAGAGTTGGTGGGAGCTAGTCAGATGCCTGGCTGGGGAGCAGAGGCATGTAGGGTAGCTGATGTCCTGGGCTGCTTTCAGAAAGGCCTGAGGCAAGAGCACTGGCCTCTCTTTCCATCCCTTTTACAGAGGGAAACAGCACCTGTCTGCCTGGCCTTGAGCTTGGCTGCCGGGGACGCAGCACTCATTGTTTGAGTGTGCAATTGTACTGTAGATGAAAGAAAGAACATATGAGCAATTTTTTAAGGGTCAAAATAATCAGTAATCCCATTTGTTCCAGATAAACTCTCCTAACATTTTGTTTCTTGGAGATGTAGTTTTTCTTTTAAGGCAAACAAAAACATACATGAAAACACGTCCTTGATTTTGAAATGTAGGGAACTGAAAGGGACTGAAGGGTGTCAGTCCCTACTCATCCCTGTCAGTGTCAGGAGTGGGTAGTGCCATCAGGACCTCGGGCTGCATCAACAGACACCAGAGTGCAGAGGAGGAGGAGAGGCAGCCGGCTGGGCTGTGCCTGGCCTGTGTTCTCAGGGGTGCGCAGGTCTGGGGGCCACAGTGGAAGAGGAGCATGCCTGGGACGGTGAGGGGGCTTGAAACCAGCTGGTGCGGGTGCAGAGGCCGCGTGGCCCCCTGGCTGCCCTCTCCATGTGGCCTGCACCTGCTCGTTCTGTTTTCTCTTCCTTTGCCTCCCAAGGCTCCCTTGACCTTTTTTATGAAACTGCCTCAGTGTGTCCTCCTTAACTGCCTCCCCGAGTCAAAATCCCTTTCTCCCTCATCTCTGCTCCCAAAGAAAGGGCTCTGTGGGTCTAGAAGAGCCATGGCAGAGATTAAAGCAGTGTGTGCTCGTCTGCCTCCTTCCCTGCAGACCCTGGATGCATGCATAGCACATGCTAGGAGGGGATGTCAGTAGGAAGGGCCGTGGGTCGGTGGGGTCGTAAGAGGACGTTCAAGCTGAGGGCAAAGCTGCGCTGGAGGTCACACCCAGAGCAGCACGTGCACAGATGTGGGGTGTGAGGCTCCTGGGAAGTGGAGGCTGGAGGAGGTGACTAAGGGCGCAGCCAGACTTGGTGACTTGGTGACAGAGCCCAAGGTCTCTGAATGTCAGTTTTCACACCTGTAAAATGGGGATGATGACAGTACTGCTTTGTAGGATTGTTAATCGCAGCACACAGGACAGAACGGTGCCTGGCGAGCCGTGTTATAGGAGTGTCCAAGCATATGCAGCTAGTGTTAATATGTGATTGCATGTAACTGTGATGGAGAAATACATTTATTAGAATTAAAAATGAGCTCTGTAGCATGAATGCTTGAGTTGGTGACCCAGAACAGGGCTCTGGTCAGGTTCAAAGCCACGGGGACCAGAAAGCTTGATGCCTGCTTGGCACAGCAGGGTGAGGCCCCATGCGGACTGAGGATGGGAGCAGGCTCTCGTCGTGGGTGTGTGGCCTCGGGCGTGCTTGCCCTGTCAACAGACCTGGGTGTCTGCACTTTGCACTGGAGTCACCCCGTGGGTTTCTTGTGCTGTAGGGAAGTGGTGACTGTGAGCTGCACGTTGTCACAGCAGAGTGGGCCTGGGGTCTTCTGGGAAGCAGGCCGGACTCTGACGGCAAGCTCTGTCCTTTCCCCCACACCCCAGCTGTATGAGTCCACCCTGCACGCCTTTGCCTTCTCTTACTCCATGCTAGGAGAGGAGATCCAGCTGCACTTCATCATCCCCAAGTCCAAGGAGCACCACTTTGTCTTCAGCCAACCTGGAGGCCAGCTGGAGAGCATGCGACTACCCCTCGTGACAGACAAGGTACTGGCTCAGAGACCTAGTGGGACAGATCCAAGTGGCTTCAACTGGGGACTGAGCCGGGGACTAGAGACAGAGCTTCCTGTGAGGGAGTGCAGACACCGATACAGGGACTGAACTTGGAGGAGGCTGGTGTCGCGCACGGGCTCTGGAGTCACTCCAATTCAAGCCTCAGCCTTGCTCTACCATTTACTAGTTTTGTTACTTGAACATGTCACTTAATATCTGCAAGCCTTGGTTTCCTCATTGTTACATTGGAGAGTAGCAACTTGCAAAAGCTTGTGGTGAGAACTGTTTGGAATAACTGATGAAAGGCCCTATCTTCCGTGCCCGGAAGATAACAGGAGCTGGGTAGACGTTCATCCCCTCCCTGTCTTTTCTTGAATGCTCTGCCAGGTAACATTTTGCGTAGGCTTAGGTAGATAGGACAGCACAGTGAATCCCTAGGGCCCATTACCAACTCCAGCAATTGCTAACTCATGGCCAGCCTTGTTTCATCCGTCCCTCTCTCCTCTTCTGCCTTCCTGTTTTGTTTGGAAGTAAATCCCAGACCTCAAATCATGTCATCTATCTATACATATTTATACCTATAGATATAGATATTTCAGTGTGTCTCTCTAAAAGACACATTTCCTTTATCTTTTGAAGAGGTCGTTCTGAACGTTCCATTGTCTCTCACCATTCTTACAGAGATGCTCCTTGTAGAGCTTTTGGTTTGACGGTGCTCACCTGATCACCTCAGAGTCAGTTGGCTGCTCTTTAACCAGCCCCGCTCAAGGCAGGCCATGTGGAGAAGCTGCTTTTCCTTCTCCAGAGTGCTAGGCACCTGTGGAGTTGCCCCTGGCCTTTCAGATCTGGCAGCCTGTTATTAAGCAGTGAAAATATTTGTAATGTACCCAAGAGGACTTCATTGTTAGGTACCTCCTACCCCACGGGCTGGGGTTGGGTGTTGCGGTGAAATTCCAGGGGTGAAATATGAGAGCTGGGGTTTCTCCACCACTCCACTCACCTTCCAGCCTTCCTGGCGGAGCTGGCCATGAGCACCAGCTGCATGCACAGTGTTGTGGCAGGTGCTCTGAGGAATTCAGAGGGAGCAGAAGGCCTAGCTCTGCCAGTTGAACTTATTGTTAAAGAAGGAGTTGAAGAAAACAGTTATTTACATAAAAGATATAACAACCCGAGTGGATAGCTAAGCTCTATGGGGCAGTGATTGGGGGGTGTTGTGTGTTCATTTGCATGGAAAATTAAAGACATACAAGAATAATGTGTGCTCTGGGCACAATATTAGATTCTAATATGAGAGGGTAATGAATTTGGTTAATTGCTATATGCCAGTTAATTTCCGTTGCCTAACTATTCCCAAATAAGCATTAGCTTTGGGATCTGTGGGCTAGCAGTTTGGGCTTGGTTCAGCCGGATGATTTTCTGGGCTCTGTTGTGCTCACTCACTCGTGTCGATAGTGAGCCAGCAGGTTGTCTGCGGGCTGGCTGGTGGCCTCAGCTGGGCTGTTCAGCTCTCCTCCATGTGGTCTCTCATCGTCCAGCAGGCTAGCCCGGGCTTGTGCATGGGAGAGTTCTGAGAGGGTGTGGAACATGTAAGTCCTCTTGAGGCTATGCCCAGGACTGGCACAAGGCCATTTTTCCTCCCTTTTACTGGTAAAAGCAAGTCACAAGGCTGAAAATTCCAGCAGTGTAGGCATGGTCATCATTCTTTGACGGAAAATACTGCAAAGTCACATGTCAAGGGAATAATTGCAGCCACATTTACAAACACTCTACCTCATGATACCTGTACTTTGCAGAGCCATGAATATATAAAAAGTCCGACATTCACTCCAACCACCGGCCGTCACGAACATGGGCTCTTTAATCTGTACCACGCAATGGACGGTGCCAGCCATTTGCACGTGCTGGTTGTCAAGGAATACGAGATGGCAATTTATAAGAAATATTGGCCCAACCACATCATGCTGGTGCTCCCCAGTATCTTCAACAGTGCTGGAGTTGGTGAGTGTCCTTTAACATCATCTACTCAGTCAAACTCCTGTGAACGAACACTTGAGAGAGTGTTCTAGAGACAAAAGTTAAACATGTGACATCAGGCCTTTTACTTTTGGACTTTTAAAGCTATTTTCATTTTGTCTGACTTTTTTATGCAGTCTTCCCCCGCTACCCGCACCCAGTGTTTGGTTATCCATTTAATCGATATTTTCTTTCTTTCTTTCTCTCTTTTTTTTTTTTTTTTTTTTTGAGATGGAGTCTCGTTCTGTCATCCAGGCTGGAGTGCAACGGCATGATCTCGACTCACTGCAGCCTTTGTCTTACGGGTTCAAGCGATTCTCCTGCCTCAGCTACCCGAGTAGCTGGAATTACAGGCGCCAGCCATGACGCCCGGCTAATTTTTGTGTTTTTGTAGAGACGGGGTTTCACCATGTTGGCCAGGCTGGTCTTAAACTCCTGACCTCAGGTGACTGGCCTGCCTCGGCCCCCCAAACTGCTGGGATTATAGGCGTGAGCCACTGCGCCTGGCCAAATTGATATTTTCAATGGTTAGAGAAGAAAGCATAAGAAAGCAAATTTGTGTTCCACCTGGAGAGGAGTGTTTTCCTCCCTGTAGTTTTCTCTCCCTAGCCCATGGGCTGTGTTTTGTGACAGGTGATTCATGTCAGGAAGGTCGGGGCTGGCTTGTCTGGGCGGCCCCGACAGCAGGTCTGCCTGGGGTCTGTCTGCTGTGGGTGTGGGTGCAGGTCAGTCCTGAGTCCAGGTGCTTTGCCCACTGCAGGTGCTGCTCATTTCCTCATCAAGGAGCTGTCCTACCATAACCTGGAGCTCGAGCGGAACCGGCAGGAGGAGCTGGGAATCAAGCCGCAGGACATCTGGCCTTTCATTGTGATCTCTGATGACTCCTGCGTGATGTGGAACGTGGTGGATGTCAACTCTGCTGGGGAGAGAAGCAGGTGAGGTAACCTGAGAGCACCACCTCCTGCCACCCTACGAATGATGACCAACGAGTGTGCCCTCTTTGTATGGGGAATGTGCCCACCCCTGGAAGACCGGAGGGCCTCTCATAGTAGAAGGGGTGGTTGTGGTTGTGGTTCCCAGAGTCCTGGGTGTGGTAAAAGTGAGCTCATGTGCCAAGCCTGGCTTGCTTTTAATTTTAAAAAATTGTTATTGGGCCGGGCGCGGTGGCTCATGCCTGTAATCCCAGCACTTTGGGAGGCTGAGGTGGGTGGATCACGAGGTCAGGAGATCGAGACCATCCTGGCTAACACGGTGAAACCCTGTCTCTACTAAAAATACAAAAAAATTTAGCTGGGCGTGGTGGCGGGCGCCTGTAGTCCCAGCTACTTGGGAGGCTGAGGCAGAAGCATGGCGTGAACCCGGGAGGCGGAGCTTGTAGTAAGTGGAGATGGCGCCACTGCACTCCAGCCTGGCAGACAGAGCGAGACTCCGTCTAAAAAAAAAAAAAAGAAAGAAAAAAATTGTTATTGAAGTATAATGCAGAAAATCACACTATCCATTTAGTATAATATATAGACAAAAAAGAAAGTATAATACATATACAGAACTTTTCCCAAGCTAAGCACATTCATTTAACCTACTCCGATATTAAGAAAGGGACATTGCTGCCCCCCCAGAAACTCCCTTCCTGCTGCCCCAGCCCCACCCCTCCTCACTAGCCTGACTGCTGACTCCTAGCTTTATTTTTATTTGCTGTGTGGCTTTAGGCAAATGGCTAAATCATGTTGGGTTCTAGTTTCCTTGTCTGCGATTAATACCTATGCCATGGAGTTGTTGTGAGAATTGACTAAATTATGGTCTGCAAATGTGTTCAGCACATAGCAGAAATGAGCGCCCGTGGGAAGCGCCCAGCAGGGTGCCTGGCCCTGGGGGGACTGTGCGGGGCACCGGCCCGTCCAGGTGTTCACGGCAGTCTGAGAGCCGGTGCCACACTGCCTGGTCCCAAGGACCTTGCTGCTGCTCGTGTGTCAGCCTAGGGACTCACTCTCCCTCCTTGGAGCAGGGAGTTCTCCTGGTCGGAAAGGAACGTGTCTTTGAAGCACATCATGCAGCACATCGAGGCGGCCCCCGACATCATGCACTACGCCCTGCTGGGCCTGCGGAAGTGGTCCAGCAAGACCCGGGCCAGCGAGGTGCAAGAGCCCTTCTCCCGCTGCCACGTGCACAACTTCATCATCCTGAACGTGGACCTGACCCAGAACGTGCAGTACAACCAGAACCGGTGAGCTCCTGCACCTGGGGCAGAGGCGGCGGCAGCCCTGGGGGCGCAGAGTCCTGAGTGAGGGCAGCCTGGGGCTGCAGAGGCGTCCTGGCTGTGAGCACTGACCTGGCCTTGCTCTCCGTTGTCCCAGTTTTTTTAGTGCTGAATAATTTTGAGTATTCGCAGATCATTCAGCTTCATTCACCAATTCTCATGATGCTTTATTGAGTGAGTTATATTGGACTGTGTGTTTTTCTTGCCTTTTTGGTTCATTCTCCCAATACATTGCTTTTTAGAAGCTTTAGCCCTGAAGAAAATGATAATTTCCGTAGGTTTCTGTACATATCTAGTCGCAGAAGTGCTCACATCTCCAGAGGATTCAATTGCTCAGTGTTCACGGAGTACCTCTCCACTGGGCAGTGGACCACGGCCTGCGTGAGCCTCTCAAAGAGGGTGGGCTTTGGAGCCAGACTGACTGCGCCTCCAAGAACCGGGGTTCTGCTGCGTATTAGCTTTGCAGCGCAGGCAGGCCACTCACCTCCAAGCCCTATTCTTCTTAGCTGTAAAAAGCAGCTCACGTTTTTACCCTGGGAGGTTTTTTGTTGCTTTCTTTTTCACCGATGCGTGAGGTCGTGTTGGTAACGTTTCTCACGTGCACTTGGCCCTTGGCCTCTGGTCACCACGGGCAGTGCTTTTGTGGTTTAAGCATGAGGTACACACTGCCTTTCCTGTGCAGAGATGGCCCTGTCTGTCCTGTGCGTTTTCCTTGTCTGTTTTGCCTCATATTTCCCCTAGAGTAAGGAAGGTCTTGAGGCAAGAATGAAGCCCACTCCACCTTCATAGCCCCCTACGATGGGGACCCACACTCTAGGTGCTGGGGGCAGTGACGGAGGGTGTGAGCTGTGCCCCATCAGACCCACCCCTCCTCTGGCCCTGAGTAGGTTCCTGTGTGACGATGTAGACTTCAACCTGCGGGTGCACAGCGCCGGCCTCCTGCTCTGCCGGTTCAACCGCTTCAGCGTGATGAAGAAGCAGATCGTGGTGGGCGGCCACAGGTCCTTCCACATCACATCCAAGGTGAGCTCCTCGCTGCTGGGCAGGCCTCTATGTCCACCGCCTGGGCCGCCCTGGCACACACACTGAGGGTAGGAGCCATTGAGGGAGGCCATGTCTCTTTCAAGCGCATGGGGCAGGGCCCTACTGGGTGGGGTCAGTAAAGGTTTTTAATCGGCATTGAGCCCTGGGAAATGATGGGGTCTCTCTTCTACCTCTGACATTAACCAGTATCCTGCAAGCTTCCTCTGGGTGCAAGGCTACAACCAAGCCTTCCTGTGTGTTCTCACCTGCCCCAGCTGGGTGAGGTCTCAGGCCACGCTCTTCCTTGGGCCCCTGGGATGGTGCCTAGTTGCATAACTATTTGAATGGCTCTGCAGGCTGGCCCCATAGTCATACTATGTGTCCACTGGGCAGCCTCGGGGTGGGGAGAGACCTGGTATGATTATGTGTGTTCCAGCTGAGCAGGCCTGGGGAATTAAGACGTAAAATCACAGCAAGTCTTGATAGCTCTGTGTCTTCCAGGAAGCAATGCAGCAGGTGTGTCTCTGCCCGAAGTTCTCCCCAGTCCCGTGGGCCAGAGCCCCTTTCTCTGTCACTTCTGTCTGTCTTGATCCTGCCCTAATGCCACCAGCTGCCTTTCCCAGGCTCTATCCCTCCTTGTCTCTGTAAACTCCTGATGGAGTTAGCTACGCTGAGGTGGGCTGGGTCTGAATTGGGACACCAGCTCCATCTCCACTGACCCCCAGAGTCAGGGATTGCCCCTTTTCCGGGAGTTGGGGGCCTCTCCTCATTGTTCTTGCAAAGTAACAAGACCTTTAAATAAAGGCCCCCACTTACAGCATCATTGAGATCTTACGATTGTGTGAGGTTTGTTGTTTAATCAGGGAGAACAGACACCTTTACCAGGGTCTCCACCAAAGGGCCAGATGTGGCTTTAAAACGAACTTTTCTTTTGTGTCCTTCAGTGTCATTTTTAAACTCTTAGGTATTTTATCTTTATTATTGAAACATAATCTTAATTTTCTATTATGTTTGATTGTATATTGGTTATGCATAAGAAAGCTAGTCATGTCTTACAGTCTTTCATGTGAGTGAAATCACTGCATTGTTTTCATTTATTCACTAAATATTTAGTGAGCAGCCAATCCCCATGCTCAGGAGTACCCAGCCCAGCAGCTGGGGCAGATGTTAGACACATGGCTAGTTAAGGACCATCGGGAGAAGCACCACAAAGGTGAAGTGTGTGTCGCGGGGAGACCTGAGTCTGTGGGAGTCCCCAGGGAAGTGATGTTAAAGGAGACCTGGAGGAAGAGAGTGAGCCACGTGCCCAGGCAGGGGCAAGGGCAGGGGTAAGGGCATGGGCATGGGCAGGGGCAAGGGCAGGGGCAGGGGCAGGGGCACGGGCATGGGCAGGGGCAGAGGCAGGGACAGAGGCAGGGGCAGGGACAGAGGCAGGGACATGGGCAGAGGCAGGGGCAGAGGCAAGGACAGAGGCAGGGGCATGGACAGAGCCAGGGACATAGGTAGAGGCAGGGGCAGGGACAGAGGCAGGGTCATGGGCAGGGACAGAGGCAGGGGCAGGGACAGAGGCAGGGGCATGGGCAGAGGTAGGGACAGAGGCAGGGGCAGGGACAGAGGCAGGGGCATGGGCAGAGGTAGGGACAGAGGCAGGGGCAGGGACAGAGGCAGGGGCAGGGGCAGAGGCAGGGGCAGGGACAGGATGCCTTCAGTGGGTGAAGGTGCAGAAGGGTAGGAGCGAGGAGGTCGGTATGGAGGAAGGGGAGGAGGGTGGCGGAGAGGAGCTGAGGAAGTAGGCAGGCCTTCCCAGCTATGGGAAAGTTCCAGACTTTTCTCTAGGACTCACGGGAGGGAAGCAGTGAGAGTCTGATTTACGTAGATGTAAACGTGTTGGTGATGGAGCAAGAGCCTGTGGCTGGGATGCTGACTGTGGGTGGGAAGAGCCCCGGGGCTGGGCGGGATGGGGACAGGACCTTTGGTGGGGAGCTGGCCACTCCCAGAGGCTTGCATCCCCCAGACCCATGGGTTCTCTTGTTTTCTCTAGACCAGAAAGCTGGTTTCCTGCATGGAATGATCAGTGTCTATAATTCTTACTGATTAGGGTGGTTCGTTTTGACGTGTCTGTTTCATGTTTCCTTTGAGTAAAACCTAATCTTTCTCAATAGAGAAGTTTATTCTTGAAGTATGTGTTCTCAGTTCATTCCCCTGAGTGACACAAGCTCCCATGCTTGGGCCACCCTTGCAGCCCGGAAGCCATGGGAAGGTCCTCGCCCCTCAGGGCAGTAGTGGCCTGACACCCCCCTTCCCGTGCAGGTGTCTGATAACTCTGCCGCGGTCGTGCCGGCCCAGTACATCTGTGCCCCGGACAGCAAGCACACGTTCCTCGCAGCGCCCGCCCAGCTCCTGCTGGAGAAGTTCCTGCAGCACCACAGCCACCTCTTCTTCCCGCTGTCCCTGAAGAACCATGACCACCCAGTGCTGTCTGTCGACTGTTACCTGAACCTGGGATCTCAGGTGACTTTCAGAGGGGGTGCTGTCGAATCCCTAATTCAGAGAAATCTCTAGAACCAATGGGCTGGAATCTGGGACTCTGAATCCTAAGTCCTCAACTCCTTCGTCTCGGGGTTGACCCCACTTTGTAGGTTTTGCCATTCAGCTGAGAGAACTGAGATGCTTTGCCTGGAAGTAAGACGATAGGAAGCCAGCCCAATTCTGATGCCCAAACTTTTGTTTGTTTGTTTGTTTGTTTGTTTTTGAGATGGAGTTTCACTTTTGTCGCCCAGGCTGGAGTGCAATGGCACGATCTCAGCTCACTGCAGTCTCTGCCTCCTGGGTTCAAGTGATTCTCCTGCCTCAGCCTCCCAAGTAGCTGGGATTACAGGCACATGCTACCACGCCTGGCTAATTTTTGTATTTTTAGTAGAGACAGGGTTTCACTATGTTGTCCAGGCTGGTCTCCAACTCCTGACCTCAGGGGATCCACCCGCCTCGGCCTCCCAAAATGCTGGGATTACAAGAGTGAGCCACCGCACTCGGCCTAAATATTCTGATTCTCAGATGAACTCATGACTAGATAAATCTGGATAAAACTTCCAGAATTTATTTTTCAGATACAGATTTGGAAATAACATGAAAATATTGTCTCTGGCCCCCCAAAAATCTTGAGCTGGACCAAGCAGTTGGTATTTACTAGGTGCAAACCTGTAGTATAATGTTACTGAGCATTTCATAGAAAACGGTGCCCTCTCTTGGATTTCTTCTTTTTCAGATTTCTGTTTGCTATGTGAGCTCCAGGCCCCACTCTTTAAACATCAGCTGCTCGGACTTGCTGTTCAGTGGGCTGCTGCTGTACCTCTGTGACTCTTTTGTGGGAGCTAGCTTTTTGAAAAAGTTTCATTTTCTGAAAGGTAACTTTTGTACTCTTAACTCTGCACCTTGTCTTCAATGGCTGTAGTCACCGGGTACCCTGAGGAGGGGACCTTTGGTCCTAGTCCTTATTTGCCCATGGGTAAACTGAGGATCAGAGAGGGAAGTGACTGCCTCAGCCACCCAGGGAAGTGCAAGAGAGCTGGGATTTGATCCCCGGGGGCTCTCTTTCCCCTATACCTGTTTGGGTAGAGGCAAGACACATCCCCCTTTCTTTTAGATGAATTGCGGACATTTTTTAGCCTTTGTGTTTCTTTTCTTTCTTTCTTTCTGGTTTTTGAGATGGAGTCTCGCTCTGTCACCTTGGCTGGAGTGCAGTGGCACGATCTTAGCTCACTGCAACTTCTGCCTCCTGGGTTCAAGTGATTCTCGTGCCTCAGCCTCCCGAGTATCTGGGATTACAGGTGCCCGCCACCACACCCAGCTAATTTTTTATTTTTAGTAGAGACAGGGTTTTGCCATGTTGGCCAGGCTGGTCTCGAACTCCCGACCTCAGGTGATCCACCTGCCTCGGCCTCCCAAAGTGTTGGGATTACCGGCGTGAGCCACCGCACCAGCCATGTGTGTTCTTTTCCAACCCAAATCCTTCACATCGGTGTCCCAGTCGTTGCTGACACTCTTCCTCCTGGTAGACGAGTCTTTCTCCTCATCCTGGGAGGTGCCACACCACCTTGGCTTTTACGCCAGTCTTCCTCCTGTCTGCACCAGCTTGGTTGAGAATGACAAGCACTTGTTCTGCATGACTTGAAAACACGATTTCCAGTCTGCATTTCCAGTCCTGCTCAGATCCCTAGCTGACCTTCGCTTTCCTTGGTGGCCCTTGGCTCTGACCTTCCCCTCTAGCAGGCACTGAATGAGCACCAGCAGCATCTAAGGCCTTGGGAAAGATCAAGAGGTTTTACAGCAGTCTCTGCCTTGGGAAACATTTCATCTAAAGGGAGGACTGGACACAAAGGTGGGGAGGGAGCAGAGAGGGACAGTGTGGAGGAGACTGGGTTGAGGTGTCGCCAGGTGCTGGGAGTTGAGAGGAAGGGGAATTCCTGTGGCTGGCACGTGGGACAGTGGGGGCTGCCCCAGGCCTGGATGGGTGGCAGAAGAGGGGGATGAAGCTGTAAGGTGGGGTAGGTAGGGTGGGGTATGTGAGCTACCGGCTGGGGCTGAGGATGCTTGGTTTGCGATTCCACCAGCCTCTCTCCTTCCTCTCCGCACCTCGGTTCAGTCCCTGCTCGGCTTTCCTTCTGCCTCCGTGTTTTCTCCCCCGCACACCTGCCACATCCCAGCCACACTCCTGTCTCGCTAAGATTGTACATCATCCCGAAAGAAGCAAGGGGCCGACTTGGATGCCGCTTCTGCCCTTCCCAACAGCGCCCTGTCTTGTCATTGCAAGTAGAATCCGGGCAGCCGCTTTCCTCTGGATAAACTCACCTTTTCCCTTCCCACACCTCTGCCGTTGTCCACGCAGGTGCGACGTTGTGTGTCATCTGTCAGGACCGGAGCTCACTGCGCCAGACGGTCGTCCGCCTGGAGCTCGAGGACGAGTGGCAGTTCCGGCTGCGCGATGAGTTCCAGACCGCCAATGCCAGGGAAGACCGGCCGCTCTTTTTTCTGACGGGACGACACATCTGAGGAAGACAGCGGCGAGTTTTCTGAAGAGATGAGTGCTCAGAGCCCTCATGCTGTTGAGGCTAAAGGGAGGCCTGGAACGGTGGGGCGTTTGACTGGAATGGACCCCAGGGACTGTCCAGGTGCAGCCCCTCCTAGTACACATGGGCCCCCGAGGCCGTGGTCCTGGGAGCCAGGAAGACTCCGCAGTGGGTGAGAATGAAAACTTGAGACTCCCAAGTTCTGGGCCAGCCCATTGCTCTGGGCTGTTTTAAAGCCCATTTCACGAGGAACAAAGATTTACTTCCTGTCCTGCCATTCGTGTGCTTCCATGGACAAACCTGATTTTTTTCTCTTAGTTCTAAAGAATCTTGGGTTATTTTGTAGCGGTGCCAGTATTTCAGTAGATGGGATTTCAGCCAAGTAGGTTCCCCTGTAACCTCCTACAAAGCAATATTCCAAAGGAACATTTTAACTGTAAAGGCTGGAGACAAGAAAAAATAAGTAGATCGTTTTAATAACAATTATTTAATTGCCTATAAGTTTGCTGTTTCAGAGGCTAGCCCAAAGGCATCAAATTTAATAAAGTTAAACAAATTGATTTACTTCAGAGCAAATATGATCCTATTAAAATAATATAGGGTAAATACCCTACCTCTTAGAAAGGGCAAAAATGCAAAGAAGCTTTCTTTAAAACTAAAAGGGTTTTTTGGGGGGGGAGTTGGCGGGGAGGAAATAAGGCTAACAGAGGTTGACCTAAAATTAGCCTTACAAAGGAGAAAGGACCACATTGCTTACTTGAAACAGACAATGAAAACAACCAAAGTGATATATAAAATAGTTGATGAGAACTAGACTTATGACTGTAGTTTACTAGAGTTTAGTTTTCAGTTGCTGAAGTAGCTCATTTTCTCTTACTAATGTTTGGTTCCTCAGGGAAGAATCTCACTTGACTAGAGAGGAGGTGGGAACAGAAGAGAGAAGGAGGCAGGGAGATGTATTTCTTAGGGCTCACCCCTTCACAGACTGACAGAATGGTTTTGTTTTGTTTTGTTTTGTTTTGTTTTGTTTTTGAGATGGACTCTAGCTCTGTCACCCAGGCTGGAGTGCAGTGGTGCGATCTCGGCTCACTGCAAGCTCCGCCTCCCGGGTTCTCACCATTCTCCTGCCTCAGCCTCCCGAGTAGCTGGGACTACAGGCGCCCACCACCACGCCCGGCTAATTTTTTGTATTTTTTAGTAGAGACGGGGTTTCACCATGTTAGCCAGGATGGTCTCGATCTCCTGACCTCGTGATCCGCCCGCCTCGGCCTCCCAAAGTGCTGGGATTACAGGCGTGAGCCACCGTGCCTGCCCCAGAATGGTTTTTAAAGCCACAGTTGAGAGGCCACCCATTGCCCGGCGCCTGGACAGTGATCATCTTGTTCATCTTGTTCAGTCCTTTCTTGTGTGATTGGAATTATTCATCCCCTTTGAAAGATGAGAAGGTTGAGATGCAAAGAGTCTACCTTTCCAAGTTCTCACTGCTGGAAAGAGCTAGAAGCACAGTTCAAAGTTCTGGCTTCTGGACTCTGCAGTCCAGGTCTCCCTTCTCCCACTTGCCTACCCTCAATGCCACACTGTTTTTGAAGTGGCCCATAACTTGAAGGAAAAGTTTAAAGACAGTTCAATTTAATCATCAGAATGCATTCTTTTTTTTTTCGGAGACGGAGTTTCACTCTTGCTGCCCAGGCTGGAGTGCAATGGTGCAATGACCTCGGCTCACTGCAACCTCTGCCTCCTGGGTTCAAGTGATTCTCCAGCCTCAGCCTCCCGAGTAGCTGGGATTATGGGCGCCCACCACCATGCCCAGCTAATTTTTGTATTTTTTTTTTTTAGTAGAGATGGGGTTTCGCCAGGTTGGCCAGGCTGGTCTTGTGAACTCCTGGCCTCAGGTGATCTGCCCACCTCATCCTCCAAAAGTGCTGGGATTACAGGCATGAGCCACTGCGCCTGGCCTCAGAATGCATTCTTACACATCTATCCTAGACATTTATAAGCACTCTAATGGATAACAATCCAAGAATAAATGATTGTAAAAGATGATGCCGAAGAGTTGATGTCAATCTTTTTTTCCTAAGAAAAAAAGTCCGCGAGTATTAAATATTTAGATCAATGTTTATAAAATGATTACTTTGTATATCTCATTATTCCTATTTTGGAATAAAAACTGACCTTCTTTAATCATATACTTGTCTTTTGTAAATAGCAGCTTTTGTGTCATTCTCCCCACTTTATTAGTTAATTTAAATTGGAAAAAACCCTCAAACTAATATTCTTGTCTGTTCCAGTCTTATAAATAAAACTTATAATGCATGTATTGTTTTGTTGGTGAGTATTCATAGCACTGTTTCGAGATAAGGTAGTGTGGCTAGTCATCTCTGGGGACTAGCTGCTTAAAATGGATAGTTTTGGAAAAGAAATAAGAATAAAACCATAAAAGTGGAATATATTAACATGTTGCAGAATTCCTGAGGATAAAAAGGCAGACTGCATTGGACGTGCAGGAGAACAAATATGGAGGAAACCAGCTCAGAATGTGCAGAGAAGCCTGCCACCAAGGGAAGAAAGTTTGGGGGGACTCTGAGCTTCACGGTGGCTGCAAAGAGTGGAAGGGACCTGGGGCATTTGTCTGGATGATCACCAGGGGGAGCGGTTTGGAGCAGCCAGCCTGGTTGATTCCCTGCAGCGCTTCCCGCCGTGCTTCCCATGCTCCACTGACCTGGGCTAAGCATGCGGCCATGGCTAAGGCCAGTGGCCCCCTTGCTCACTCCCCATCAGCTCCCTGGACCCTGCCAGGCAAGTGCCCACTCAGGCCTGCTGCCTCTCATGCCAGGAGTGCTCATCCCTTGGACTCTCCCACACCCTGATGTTTTCTTGCTACTCGTAAGTCACCTTCCCAATGAGGCCATCCCATACTGGGGAACTACTAACATAGAATACATTTTTGCTATTTTTGTCTCCTTCTGTGAAGGTAGGAATTCTGTAAGAAACATTCAGTGCTGCATGCCCAGAGCTTTGAATTTGCCCAGCTCCTGGTATGTGCTCATTCATTGCCCACTCAGTGAATGAATGAATCTCTCATACCCGCAATGATCTCAACATGGGAGCAGGGGTGGGAGTGATCAGTGATGGAGAAACTAAGAAAATAGTGAAGTCGAGCTGAAATTTTTGATTTACAGGGTCAGCACTGATTAATATGCTGGTAGAAAAGGAACATTTAAATATGCATGTTAAGCATTTCGGATGACCACTGGGAGAAAAGAAAGGATGTCCAACATCTAAAACATTAAAGGGAAGACAGCAAACACCACATCAATGAAATCCAACATAAGGAAAGAACAGTTGGGGATGGGGAGAACAACAGGAAATCTTGGCAAATAAGAAACAAAATTAGATGGCAGGTGTGTGTGTCCATTTGTATGTTACTATAAAGGAATACCTGAGACTGGGTAATTTATAAGAGGTTTATTGGCTCACGGTTCTGCAGGCTGTATAGGAAGCATGGTGCTGGCATCTGCTCCTGGTGAAGGCTTCAGGAAGCTTCCAATCACCGTGGAAGGTGAAGGGGGGCAGACACATTGTGAGAGCAGGAGCAAGAGAGAGGTGGGGAGGTGCCACACACTTTTAAACAACCAGATCTCGTGTGAACTCACAGGGAGAACCCACTCATCCTGAGGACAGCACCAAGCAATCTAAGCACGATGGAATCTGCCCCCCATGACCTAAACACCTCCCACCAGGCCCCACCTCCAATATTGGGGATCACATTTCAACATGAGATTTGGAGGGGACAAACATCCAAACATATCAACAGTCAAAAGAAATATAAGTGGATTAAATTTACCTAAAAATAGATTGAGGTGCTCAGATTGGACTGAGAAAGCTAATCAGAATAGAATTTAACATTTTGATCACAAACTTATGTAGACATGCCCACATGCTATGAAATATATAAAGTGAGAACTGTTAGAAATATGAGAAGAGGGGCGGGCATGATGGCTCAACATCTGTAATCCCAACACTTTGGGAGGCCAAGATGGGAGGAGTGCCTGAGCTCGGGAGTTAGAGACCAGCCTGGGCAACATGGCAAGACCCCACCTCTATAAAAAATATATATATGAGAAGAATGCATAAATTCCGTAGTCATAAATGGAGACCACTCCATCTCTCTCAGAAACAGAGGAAGGAGACCAATAGAAATGAAATCTGATGGGCATAGAAAGTGTTGGACATAAAGTTACCTTCAAATGAGAGAGTTCTGTGTTACACAAATCATTCCAGAAAATCAGAAAATGTTCTGGAACTAGAGAGCAGTGATTGTTACACAACGTTGTGAATATGCTAACTGTCAAGAATAGTAAATTTTTTGGTATATTTTACTACCATAAAATAAAACTTCCAGAGCATTGGAAAATATAGACATCTGTACTTCTGCAAGGCCGGAAATAACACTAATCCCAAACCAGTTAAGAATAGTAAAGACATTAAAAAGAATTATGGTTCCAGTTTCTTTTTTTTCTTTAAGAAAGAGGGTTTTTTTTTTTAACTACTCATACAATTTATGTATTTTTAACTTTTGCAGGTACATAGTAGGTGTATATACTTATGGGGTACATGAGATCTTTTGCTACAGGCATAAAATGTGTAATAATCACATCAGGGTAAATGCGGTATCCAGCACCTCAAGCATTTCCTGTTTCTATATGTTATAAACAACTATACTCTTATTTTTAAATGTTTAATAAATTATTGACTATAGTCATCCTGTTGTGCTATCAGATGCTAGATCTTATTCATTCTCTCTAACTATATTTTTGTACCCATTACCCATCCCTACACCCCTTTCCCCAACTGCTATTCCCAGCCTTTGCTAACCATCATTCTACTCTCTATGAGTTCAATTGTTTTAATTTTCTTAGCTCACACAAATAAGTGAGAACATTCAGTTTGTCCTGTGGCTGGCTTATTTCACTTAACATAATGACCTCCAGTTCCAGCCATGTTGTTGCAGATGACAGGACCTCATTCTTTTTTTTTTTTTTTTTTTTTGAGACGGAGTCTTGCTCTGTCGCCAGGCTGGAGTGCAGTGGCGTGATCTCAGCTCACTGCAACCTTAGCCTCCTGGGTTCAATTGATTCTCCTGCCTCAGACTCCCGAGTAGCTGGGACTAAAAGCACCCGCCACCACGCCCAGCTAATTTTTGTATTTTTAGTAGAGACAGGGTTTCACCATGTTGGCCAGGATAGTCTCGATCTCTTGACCTCATGATACGCCTGCCTCAGCCTCCCAAACTCATTCTTTTTTTTTTTTAATGGCTGAATAGTACCCTATTGTGTATATGTATCCCATTTTCTTTATCCATTCGTTTGTTGACAGACACTTAGGTTGCTCCAAATCTTGGCTTTTTTGAATAGTGCTGCAATAAACATGGAGTGTGTTGCAGAATTTATTTCACAGTTATTTGTATATTTAGATTTTATCCAACGTTCTAAAATGTACATTCTGGGAAATTATCTGTTTCATAAAAACCTTCAAGTTTTCTGGCATAAATTTAAACATTATGTATTTGTGTGGGAATTTTAAGAATCTCTTTACTATCTTCATTTCTCTTTTTTAGTGTCATATCTCTGTCTTCTCATTTTTCTAGTTAGGTCTTGCCGAAAACTTATTTTTTTAAGTCTTATTTATTTTTAAAGTTTTATTTTTAAGGATTTAGGAGGTACAAGTGCAGGCTTCTTACATGTATGTATTGTGTAGTGGTGAAGTCTGGGCTTCTAGTGAACCCATCACCTGAAGAGTGAACATTGTATCCAATAGGTAGAAAATGTGTAAGACCTCTGTGAAGATAGTTATAAAACATCCATGAAAGAAATAAAAGAAGATAGATTAAATTAAATATAGAGAAAACTATGTCCTAATGGAAAGATTCAGTATTATCAAACTACCAATTCCTCCCCCAACCCTACCCCCAAATTAACTTATAAGTTCAATACAAAGCTAATCCAAATCCCAACCAGATTGTTTCTGGAAGCTGCCTATTGAGATTGACATTCTCACTCTGAATCCAGATGTAAGACAAAACAGTAGTTAAACAAATGAAGACCAAAATGTCCCCTGTTGTATCAATAAGGCAGATGTAGGCATATCAGTATCAACAAGGTTTCCAGTGCTGAAGCTGGAATTAGGCCTTCCTACCTGGCCGCAAGCAGCAGACACCATGTGGGGTCTCGTCCGTACAAATGTATAGCTTGGAAGAGCAGGCAGGATCCTGTGCTCCTCAGGCAGGCTGGGTCCAGGGGCAGAGGGAAGGAGTAGATTGCTGAGTTATGCAGGCCAGCTCCTTCCCTGAACCTATAACACAGGTTACTTCTTTGCCCATGGCAAAGGGTAAGTGAGGAGGTAGACAGAAGCTAGAAATGTTACATTAATGGTGTTCCCTGCATGTAGGAGGAAATATCAGAAGTTGGGAACAAATGTTTCCTGTTAGTTTACCTCAGTTTTTGATTCCCTAACCCACTGGGCTTGACCATTAAGCCTACAGTCAGTATAGGCTGACCCCTAGGGGGATGAACAGTCCTTGGGGGAAGCTCTGCTCTCATTTTTAAGACCACCTTCCCAAAAACAATGTTTGCTTTTTCTGAATCTTCCTTGAAGCCCTTGATGGTGCCGTAGACTTGACCCCAGGAGGTGGCCGTGTGTTTCGGAGGGGGGTGTCCTGAGATGAAGGGACCGGGACCCTGCACAGACCCTCGCCCTCATAATGATGTTCTATGACAAGAACCAGTGACCATTTTTTTACACTGTTGAGCTACTGCAATTTCAGGGTTCATTTGTGATGTTGGCATTACTTAACCTATCTTGATGAGCAATGTGAATTGTGCCTGCTAGGATTATGCAACTTGATGGCCCTGAGAGATGTTCCAATAACCGTCTGCTAACAAAATGGAGATGTCCCTGTGATGTGGTTTGACTGTGTCCCCACCCAAATCTTATCTTGAATTATAGCTCCCATAATTTCTGCATGTCGTGGGAGGGACCTGGTGGGAGACAACTGAATCATGGGGGCAGTTTTCCCCATGCTGTTCTTGTGGTCATGAATAAGTCTCATGAGATCTGATGGTTTTATAAGGGAAAAGCCATTTCACTTGGTTCTCATTCTCTCTTGTCTGCCACCATGTAAGACGTGGCTTTTGCCTTCTGCCATGATTGTGAGGCCTCCCTGGCCACGTGGAACTATGTGTCCATTAAACCTCTTTTTCTTTATAAATTACCCAGTCTCTGGTATGTCTTTATCACCAGCATGAAAATGGATTAATACACCCCACATTTGAATATTAATCCTCTCCTATTATATATTTTGGGGGCAAAATCAAAGTCCCTCATCAGTTGATGTTCACAGACATTGAAACACAAAGGAATCAAATGTAAAGCAGAAATGGATGAAAAATCCGAAGAAATTATATGTATTCTTTAAGGTAAAGTCCCAATCCATCTTCCCTTACTTGTTATTCAGCTTCTTCTCACCCAGGAATGTTCTAGATGCCTGGTAGAGTTGGGGCTCCCTCTGCAGCTGCAGCCTGGGAATGCTCACTGGACTGGATTCCTCCAGGTTCTCTGAAGGTTGTGTTAGCACATTGGTAATTAATTGATGTTCCCCAGTTTTTAGATCCAGCGATTCAAGGAATCGATGCAATTATTAAAGTACTGGGCTTTCCCTCATAACATTTAGAAAACAAGGAGATTTTCTCAGGCAAAATTATGTTAAAGTACACTGTTTAATGCTTCCAAAAGCCACAGAGGACCCTCGGTGATATCTGAGTGAAGGAGGAGCATGGGAAAATCCTTTTGGTTTTAGTCATTCCAGGAAGCCGGTCTGTGCCTGTGGGTCTGGAATCCACAACGTCTGCACTTCAATTCAACTGGGTAACTCCCCCATCCACGTTAAGGATGGTGCTGTTTCCACTACCCAGGGGAAACACCATCTCTGCCTGCTCTTTCCTATCTCAAACAATGAGACTTGGAGGCATCACTGCCTTCCTGTGAAGTTGAGAAACCTGCTTAGCATGATCATCCCATCACAGCAGTAACATTCAAGGGCCCACCCTCTTGGTTGACCAGCTGTCCCCAGACACTCTCACCCATGTGCAGGTGTTTGCAGTCCTGCCATGGGGCAGAACCTGCTTGGAGCTATGGAGCCTGCTTCTTGGAGAAGCTTCCCCCACCCCCTCACATTTGTTTCTGCTGGAGAATCAATCACCTTCCCAAACCCTGGTGAAGGCCAGCACTGCTCATATGCAGTGAAGGCCAGTACTGCTCATATGTTTCTTGACATACCCTCCTCCCTCATTTTGGAGTGCCCATGGCTTTCAATCCCCTTTCTTTCTGCTATATTTTTTCTATTTAGAAGGATGTGCCACTCCTGTCTCCTTTTTTCCTGCTAAGAGCTGCCTCTATCCTGCTTCCTGAGTTGATCTCCCTCGTCTCTAACACTTGTAGGGCTAGGCCGTGAATAGATAATGGTGAATGGGACTGCCTTTTACGATTTCTTTTATTTTCTGCACAGACATTTGTTTTCCTAATGTGCTTCTCTAGATTTTGTCTTGTTGGGCTTCCCACAGTGAGAGAGATGAAATCGATGAGTCTGGGATCTGCCAATTCTATCTACTATGCAAATAAAAATGTTCATTTTAACTTAACTTATTTTAGCACAAACATATTTATCCCTTACCACATACATATCATTTTTGACTCCCTGTTCTAAGTGTGTCACAAATATTAACTTACCTCCCTGCATAGAACCATCAGGAGCTATTTTGTCAGGCCAGCATCTAACCCAGGCTGGGGCTTGATCCACCCACGTGCTGTCTGGCTCCTCTCCAATAGATCTCATCTTGACTGGGCCTTCCCTAGATCCCATATTCTATACATTTCTCAGGGATGCTCCTTAAGGACCCAGCAATTTCTGTATTTCCACCTACAGAGAACTTGAAACTCAGTTAATAGCATT
Source organism: Homo sapiens (assembly GCF_000001405.40). Lineage (NCBI taxonomy): Eukaryota > Metazoa > Chordata > Mammalia > Primates > Hominidae > Homo > Homo sapiens. The sequence continues at coordinate 11,649,479 of NC_000002.12, forward strand.
TTGAGTATTTACATTGCTATCTCTAGACTTCCCCTCTCAAACATACCCAGATTTTCTGTAACTACTTGGCACTGTGGTCATATTTTAAGGGATTGTTCCCCAATTACTCCTACTCCAAAACGTATCTGTGGCTTTAAAAGTCGCATCTCCAGAGTTTCCTGGGTCCTCGGTCCCTTTGCGGTCACATGCCAGGCTGCTGTTCTTGTCAGATGAGCAGAATGTTCTTCCCCTCATCACTTCTGATCTCACACAACTAAGACATCACCCCCTTTTCTAATACCTTCCTTAAGAACAGTTGGATCTAGGCCTCTCTCCAGTTCCTCGTTGTATGTCTCACTGGCCTTCAACATCTCATTTTTCATTTCATATCAGTCTAGTCTCTCTCCTCAGTTCTCAGCCTTTCTGCTAAGAAAATATCTCCATCTCTCTAACTCATCTTCGCTGCTTTTGTCCTTACTCTTCTATAGTCCAATGATGATGGGGGCACACACTTTCTAAACCACTCTAGCTCCTCCTAGGCAGACTTGATTTTCTAGAACAGTGTTCCAAACACAAAAGCGAAAAATAACACTTTTATGTTAGCAGTTTTATGTATACTGACATGGAGATATTGATCAGAGAAAGAAACACAAACTTTAGTTTACATGTAAAAATACATAGGCGTAATTTATGCATGTATTTTTGCTTATGTGTAGAAAGAAACTGGAATAATGAACACCAAACTGTTGACAATGACCACATTAGGGAAGGGGCAGGGAGTGGGGTGTGTTGAGGGGGCTTCCGCATTTTTCTCTCTGGCCTTCCAGATGCTTTACTTTTTTGTAAGGTAAGAGGACTTATGTGTAAATTGTACACTTTTTCTTAAACAGGAAATTCCCCACTACTCAAATGTCACACACACACACACACAATATGATAGTGTTCCTTCTCTGTTTCAATGATTGATTGTGTCACTCCTCTGGTTAAAACTTTTCAGTAAATCCCTCCTATTTGGCGGCATTTTTTTCCTCTGAGCTCCCACCCTTTCCCGTTAGCTCTGGTGATCTGCTGCTCTGTGGTTTTCATCTACCATCAGGGCCTGTCTTGTCTTCATCTCCTCATGCCTTTCCACTCCCTTCCAGAAGGGCTTCTCAAGTGTGTCACCAAACCCCAGATTGAATTCCTACACTGTCGTTCCCTCTCTACTGCCTGCAGGGCATTGCCATGCTCCCTTTTGTCACAACTTGTCCTTTCCTTGATGGCCTTTTGCATGCGATGCCAAGGAGCCATGCTTTCTTGCAAGCTATGAAGGGAAGAAATCATTGTCTGGGATAGTAAATCCATTTGCCAGGGTGTGCTCCTGACCTATTGCACATTTTATCCTGCAGAATTCCTCACCCTCAATTTGGTCCTGTGTGTGTGTGTATGTATCTTTACTTTTCTTTATGGAATGAAGAAAAATCAAATTCAATTTTTTTCAGTTGGTAAGGCTTGCCCTTGGCCTTGCTTCCTAACTGTTTTGGAGTTGGTGGATTCTCCTTCTCCGTGCCATGGATAAGGGCTGGTTAGGATGCAATGCCTCTGACCTATCTCTAGACATGATCCAAATCAGGACATTTGGGTTGATGTCAGTGTTATTACCAGGTTCTTTCTAAACTAATGTAGAAGAGGGAACTGATGGGGAGGTATAAAATGGAGGTGCAGGTTTCCAATGACTTCAAAGTCTTCATCTACACTTCTGGCAGTGGGAAGCTAAGCAAATTCCGACTTATTTTAAACCTAGAGGTGTGCTGTTTTAGGCAATAGAGCATTTTCTTTAACCAGTGGTTGAAAATTCCAGCAGTTTGATAGCTACTAGAAGTTAGGAGATTTTTCGCTTCCATTCCTTGCTTTTCCTAATGTCATTAGCCCTTCCCCATTGTATCTTTACCTTTGTTCTACTGGAAAGGGCTGTGTCAGGGGACTCTTAGCCAGATGTCATTTTGAACAGGAAGCCCCATTCATGCGCCTCTAACAGTCCATACACAACCAACCGTTAAACCCTCCTATTTCTTCATTTAGGGGGCACTCCAAGACCTGCAAGAATCTTTTCTAGGACACTCTGAGAGTTAAGACCCTCGCTTACCCCAGGACTCTGCTTTACAGTCTCAAGTCCAACCAAATAGAAAGCCCTCAAAACCCAAACCAATCAGCAAAACCCAACCTTACTACAAGGGTTCACAGTGGGCTGGGGCTGTAGGTCAGTGTTTAATGGGTCTTCATGACTATGTGCTATGCACCACTAACTTAGTGCCTACTAGGCCTAGCTTTAGAGCTGTTTTCTCTGTTCCTTGCCATCTGGGCTCAGAGATGCTTTTCTGACCTGCCTAGTAGTCAGGGTCAGAGATAGTTCCCAAAGAAAAAAATCACCTGGATGCTTTTAGCTAATTAAGAGCTGCTACAGTAACAGAGGAGGAATCATCCTGCAAGAAGCAACATTGATTATGTAGGAGTTGGAGTTCCCATGGCAGGATGTGGCAGTGGAGAGGGCTTGGCATTTCAAATCAGAAGACTTGGGTTCGAGCTTCTATTCCTTGGCCAAGTCACCCAGCTCCCCAGAGAGTGTGTTAGCTACAAAATGAACATAGTGAGTAGCAAACATTTGTGAGCACCCACTCTGTGCCAGGCATTTTACTAGATGACTAAATATTCATTATTTCATTGAATCAACACAATACTCTGAGATGGATATTATTGGGATCATCTTATGGAAGAAGAAACTGGGGCTCCGAGAGGTAAAATGACTTGTCTAAGATGACACAGCTATTAAGTGATAGAACAAACCTAGATTCATGCCTGCATGTGTAATAATATTTCCACTAACGTCACAGCTGCTTCCTGTTCTGAGCAATTTACTGCCACTGAATGCCATATATTAGAAGGCAATGTTGGCTCGCAAGGTTCTGTGTACAATCAAGGTACAGATCCAATCTTTTCTCACTGGGAAACCCAGTTCTCGGGTTTCCTGGAGGTAATCCTGGGTGTGGGCATTTATGAAACATACCACATTATGTGCCATCCAGAGTGTGGGACAGCCCAGTATTAAGGTTTAGAAATCACTTTTAATCTTAAAAATTGCATGAAACCTCCTAGATCTGGCTTAAGATTCTGCAGACAGCTTTTGTTGAAGGGAAGACTGTGAACCAAGGGTGCATCCAGTGTTGACAGCTTTCATTTCTTTTTCAGTCTACTTGCTTGGGCAGATTTCCCAGCCCAGAGGGAATTAGCATTTTACTTCACAAAACAGTTGGAAAGGCCAGTGCAGCTTTTTAAAGGCCTTCACGTCTAGAGAAGAAACAAGAATTCTTCTATGACTGCATTTGTCATTCGCCAAATATGCTGTCCCAGTTCTCCTTCTCCTTTCTTTCTAAAACTTTGGCAAGGACTCGTTCTTCTCATTTGAGACCATGGGCTACTCCAACTCTAATTCTTGCTCTATCCAAGGGTCTTTCCCAGGGTGGGAGTCCACCCTGCTGGAGGGGGGAGTTTGGGTGGTATTACAGGTCGAATCATGTCCTGAAAAAAGATGTGTTGAACTCTTAAGCCCCAGGACCTCAGAATGGGAACTTATTTGGAAATAGGGTCGTTACTGATATAATTACTGATATAACTAGCTAAGATGAGGTCATAGTGGAGTGAAGGGGTCCCATATGGTCATAATCCAGTATGACTGGTGTCCTTCTAAGATGGGAGAGAGAGACGTGGAGGCAGACAGACTATCATGTGACAATGGAGGCAGAGATTAGAGTGATAAATTTACAAGCCAAGAATGCCAAGGTTTGCTGAGAACCATCGGAAGCTGGAAGAAGCAAGGAAGTTTCCTCCCCTAGAGTCTTGTGCCCTGCCAACACCTGGATTTCAGATCTGTAGCCTCCGGGATTGTGAGAGAATACATTTCTGTTGTTTTAAGACACGCAGTTTGTGTTACTTTGTTATGGCAGCCATAAGAAACTAACACAGGTGCGTAGTGCATACTTCATCTTTCAATGTTTAGCGAAAGCCTCCTAGGATTCTGATACTGATAAAGTCATGGCTCAGAGACGGAAGCTTGATGAAATAAACACTTCTGGGGTCTCTCTCTTGATCTTGGCAAGGCAAGCAGGCAAGCAAGCAAGCAAGCAAGCAGGTATGCAGCCAAACCAACCAATCACACAAAGAAATACACAATTTAAAAATTTTAAATATAGAATTATAATAATAATCTGCATTCAGGTGCCCATAGAGTCCCTTTATAATCATGACAGCTACTGTTGTTTTATTTTATTTTTATTTTTTTTTTGCCCCAGAAGATGTAAATCAAAAATTTGAAATTTGATAGTGGTTATCTGCATGGTGGGACTACGACTGATCCTCTTCTTTCTTCCTTTTTAAAATGTTGAGATAATTATATATTCACATGCAGTTTTAAGGAAGAATACAAGATTCTGTGCACCTTACTAGCATTTTGACATCGATAGGTTTAAGATACAGTACAATTCCATCACTGTAAGAATCCTTCATATCACATGTTTAAAACAACACTCACCTCTCTCTAGGGCCCCCTCCCCACATCCCAGACACTTGGCAATCACTAATATCTTCCCCATTTCTATAATTTTGACAGCTACTATTTATTGAGTTGTTTTGGGTGCTAGGTAATACAGTAAGGATTTTTTCATATTCCTGATACCAATTGATTCTTAAAACCCAGCAGATAGTTGGCTGGGCGCAGTGGCTCACGCCTGTAATCCCAGCACTTTGGGAGGCCAAGGCGGGCGGATCACGAGGTCAGGAGATCGAGACCATTCTGGCTAACACGGTGAAACCCCGTCTCTACTAAAAATACAAAAAATTAGCTGGGCGTGGCAGCGGGCACCTGTAGTCCCAGCTACTCGGGAGGCTGAGGCGGGAGAATGGCGTGAACCCGGGAGGCGGAGCTTGCAGTGAGCCGAGATCGCGCCACTGCACTCCAGCCTGGGCAACACAGTGAGACTCCGTCTCAAAAACAACAACAACAACAACAAAACAAAACAAAACAAAACCCAGCAGGTTGTTGTGATGACGCCTACTTTACAGAAGTGGAAACAAGGCCCAAGGAAGCGAAGGGATTTGTTTAAGTACTCATCCCTGGACCCGGCTGACCCCAGGCTCCTGTCTCTTTAATCAAGGCTCAGTGTTACCACCTGGGACAACATCAGGGGAACGAAATTCCTATCTGCAATTTGTTATCTCAAGATTATACAAACAATATTATGTCAACACATGAAAGAAAACTGGTTTAGTGGTTCTTTTTTCTCCATACGTTTCTGCGTCTGCTGCGTGCCCCCAATTATTGTGCCTGGATGGTGTGATGAAGAGGACAGCCACTAGTACTGTTCTGGGGTCACTCATACCTCTTTAGCAAAGCCCCCACTTTTATTTTTAAGTGCTTCATTCTGACCTTCTCTCTGTATCTGTGTGATGTGTACATAATATCATAATTTGTCTTGTTTTCTTTCCTAGTCATATAATCAGAATATGCTTATATTGCTAAATACACTTTATAATTTATATTTGTTAAGGACGACCTAATAATTGGGATTTGATTGAACAAGGGCATTGTGATTCACTCAGCTCCATAATGTTGGTCCTCGAATCTCTTGTCGTCTTTCTTTTTTGAGATAGGATCTCACTCTGTTGCCCAGGCTGGAGTGCAGCAGTGCAATTACAGCTTGCTGCAGCCTCAACCTCCCAGGCTCAGGTGATTCTCCCACCTCAGCCTACGGAGTAGCTGGGACTGCAGGTGTGCACCACCACGCCTGGCTAATTTTTTGTATTTTTTATACAGGCAGGATCTCGCCACGTTGCGCAGGCTGGTCTTAAACTCCTGACCTCAAGTGATCCACCTGCTTCATCCTCCCAAAGTGCTGAGATTTCAGGCATAAGCCATGGTATCCAGCCTGTTGACATCTTTTGCCATCCAGCTCCTGGGCAGCAGCATGATGTAGAGGCTGAGCACTGGCTCCCAACTCCGAAGCCTGGGCTCTACTCCTCGAGTTACCAAGTAGCAGGAGAAGAACCTTGCTTAGCTTGTCTTTGCTTCCGTTGCCCCATATGTGAAGTGGTGATGGTAAGAACAGTTTTGACTGTAGTGACTGCTGTGAAGATTAGGCAGCGTAAGAGATTTATGTTGTTGAACCAGTGCCTGCTCGTAAAGGCCCAAATGAAGAATGTTGCAATGACTCTGTGTGCACACAGAGAGGCCTTTCCTTCTTTAGCAAATTTTATCAAAGTAAATATCCAGGAGTTGAATTACAGGGTCTAAGTTTCTGAGCACTTTATGGCTTTCAAAATATATTGCCAATTTGCTTTCCAAGAAGGTTATTCAGTTTCCTCTCCCTCTAAGACAGGAGCACACTGAGGTCACCCAATATTTGTTCTGGTCATTGACATTTTTTGTTAATACATTGCCCATAAAATGTCACGTATTATTGTTTGGGCTGCCATTTCTCCAGGAACTATTGAGGCTGAGCATTTTCCTTTTGTGTGTTTCTTGGCCTTTGGGGTCCTGGTGTTTTGCCTAATGATTTGCATGAAAATTTTGGATAATATATAAAGTAGCTCATCTATGTTTCTCAGTCTATTCTTTACATTTTGTTTCTCTTGCTGCTTACTGTACTTTGGTAACATGTAGCAGAAAAAGTGTCCCTCATTCATATAATCTTTTCGAAGGGACACTACCAGGTTTTACCCAGTTTGGGGTCTAGGATGAAGATGACGACAATAATGACAACTAGCATTTATTGAGCATTTACTATATGCCAGGCACTGTGGTAGGAGCTTAACATTCTTTATCTTATTTAATTATTATAAACTTATTATTAGGTACTACAGATCCACAGTCCCTTATCTGAAACCCTTGGGGCCAGATGTATTTTTCAATTTGGGTCTTCCATGTTTGAGAAAAGTAACATGGGATATATGCCATATATTACGTAACACCCTTAGCAGGGTCTTGGGAGAATACCCCAAATCAAGTGCATTAACATATCTGTAGACACACACACACACACACACACACACTCACACACACAAGCAAAAGAGATAAATGAAGATTACAAATTGCTTCAAATTCAGATCCATTCTTGCTGACCTGAATTACTGTTTTTAAATAGCTTAAGAACTTTCTGCCTTCACCAGTTTCGCGGATGAAGACACAGACTCAGGGAGTTGAACCTGCCCAGGGTTCCCCTGCTCCCAGTGATGAGGTCGAGGAACCGGCTCTTCCGGCCCACGCCCCGGACCTCGCCCAAGCCTGCTTCCCGCGCCGTCTTATCTGCGTTTGGACTGGGAGCTGCTTCTTGCCTTTCCTGCTTCCTGGACCTCTCTGGAGCGTTGGCTGGGGAGCCGCAGCCACAGCCTTGACCCAGGGCCTCCGAAGCCGCGGCTTAAACGGAGGTTGCACCATCACCGGCTGCGGGGCCGGGCGTGCTGGGCCTCACCGTTCCCGGTGCGGGTCTGAAGCTCCTTCTTCCTCCATGAACACAGTGAGCCCGTGGCCTGCCCGTCAGAGCCGCCCTCTCTAGGGGTCCCCACGCCAGAGCTGCTGTCGCTCCTCCTTTCCAGGTGGCATGTCCTCGCTCGACGAGGCCCACGTGTGGGTGCCCTTGGTGGTCCTAGCCCGGGATGGCTCCGTGAAGGGGGTATGGTCGTCACCTCTGGCCTCTTCTCAGGGGTTTTGGGGCTGGGGTCTGGAGAACAGTCACCTCCGAGTTGTGCAGAAGCCACTGCCGGCTCGTCTCAGTGTACCAGCCCAGGAGTGTGTGCATATGACACGTATGCATGTGATGAGTTTACATGTGGTGTGTGTGAGGTGCATCTGATATGTGCTGTAGGTGTAATGAGTGTGTATGTGACATGTGTGCACGTGAGGTGTGACAAGAGTGCATGTGCCGTGTGTTTGTGGTATGTCTGCATGTGATGAGTCTGTGGATACTTGTGTGATGGGTGCCTGTGTGATGTGTGTGTGATGAGTGTGTGTAGCGTTCATCATGGGAGTAGGGGGTGGGGGACGGGTCAGGAGGTGGACAGAGTCTAGGGAAGCGTTGACGCAATTCATCAAAACGAACCTCTCCTTGGTGCTGTGTCCTGCACCCATCTCTCTCCTCCTCCCCTCACAGGCCGGTACCCTCCCCTGTCTTTTGCCACTGCGTCCTCTGCACTCAGGGAAAAGCACCATTGCTCCCCTGGCCTCAGCCTTACCGCCTCCAGGTGCAAGGCTGGCGGTAGAAAGTGGGCCTGGCCTGTGCGGGCAGTGCAGGCTGATTAAGAGAATTAAGATTCAACTCTTGTCCAGCATTGCGCTGGCCAGAGCATAACTGGGCTGCATGTGCCTCGTGGCAGAGTGTGCATGGCCGTTTCCCGGCAAGCCACATGGTCTGGCTTGGCCAGAGGCAGGAGGGGACGCCAGCAGCCCACTGGCTTTCCAGAGTCTGCAGAAGCTGCTGTCAGTGTCAACAGCTGCTCCCTGCCTGGGAGAGAATGGAGAATCTTACTACAGCTCACGTGAGGCACCGATTTGGTCAGCTTCTGGGGCACTGCTGATTTGTCATTTGAGGAAATTTATAGGACACCTGAGCATAAAACTACAGAAGAGTGTTGTGGGCTTTCAGGACAGCAGGAAAGCAATGATGATAGCCATGCAACAACAGTAACAACAGAAATCGTGCCAGCAAAAATTTATTGAGCATCTACTACGCACCAGGTTCTGTGCTAAGCACTTTAGTCTCAGGCAACACTAAGAGATGGGTGCTGTTCTTTATCTCCACTACACAGACGAGGGAGCCTGAGGCTAGGAGGGGTCACGTGGCTTCCCTGCGCTTGATGGTTCTCAGCAGAGCAGGGGTTGATAGAAGTCGCCCTGGCTGCGAAGCTTGAATGATTAGTGATGAGGTTGCTCACCTGCTTTGCCAGGTGACTAAGCAGCTGGTCATTTTGCTTGTTCTGTTCATTCTTGCATTACATTCAGGTCCGGGTTTCTGGGGGATCCCCAAAGCCTGAAGCTGTATCCATTAGGGTGGGACTCTGGGGCTTCGGGGGTAACCGCTTCATGGGGTGGTGCTCTCCACACAGGGAGCTGACGGCTTCCAGGAAGAGTTTTCTGAAGGAGGAGGACACGGCGTTGTAGAGAAGAGGAGTCACAGCTGAGCTGACGTAGAAAAGTGTGTTGGTCACCATGTAGAAGTAGTGGTAGAAATTGTACAGTGGGCTGCAAGAGAAACCCGGGAGCCTGGTTAGAGGACCTGTCACCTCCTCACAGTGTCCACTTCCTACTGGAGAATGCCTCTCCTCCAGAGGGCTGCATGACGAAGCCTATTTTCTGCTATCAGGAAGCACAGTGTTTTTGTTTGTTTGTTTGTTTTTGAGACGGAGTCTTGCTCTGTCTCCCAGGCTGGAGTGCAATGGCATGGCTCACTGCAACCTCCGCCTTCTGAGCTCAAGCAATTCTCCTGCCTACAGTCCTGAATAGCTGGGACTACAGGCACACACCACCATGCCCAGCCAATTTTTGTATTTTTAGTAGAGACGCGGTTTCACCATGTTGGCCAGACTGGTCTTGAACTGCTGACCTCAGGTGATCCACCTGCCTTAGCCTCCCAAAGTGCTGAGATTACAGGCATGAGCCACCGTGCCCAGCCAGGAAGCACAATGTAAATTCCATAAATGTTTCATCACCAGCAGCTGACGCCCTCCACCCAGCCTCTATGATCTGCCATCCCTGGCTGTGGTTCCTGGTCACCTCATGGTAAGGTGACACTGCTGACTGACAGGGGCCATCTGTCCAGCCACTGAGGCCCCGGGTGCCCCGGACTGCTGCGTGTGGTCAGGAGATGTGGCTGCACTAAGAGCCGAAGTTCCGTCTGAGGAGCCGCACTCCTTGCTGCAGGTTCTCTGCAGTGGGAAGCGCTTGGCACGAGCTCATGTTGCCCGTGCAAGTGTAAGGGGTGCTGGTGCCTCCTGAGGAGGAGGCATCTGTCACATGGCTCTTTCTGTGGAGGCTTCCTGGGACCTCGATTCTTTTGGATGTTTGATTCCCACTTATGATTGGGGCACAGTGATTTCTGAAAGGCAGATTATGAATTCTCTCATCTTCTCCAACCATGTCATAAAAGGGGGTGCATGTCTTGGTCTCTGCCAAGGGGACCTTTGTTAGCTCCTGGGGTCGCACCTTTGTGTCTTCCTCACACTCTCCTTGGAATAGGAGAGGAAGGAGAGAGAGAGGAAGCCTCAGAAGCATGGCCCGTGCTCCCTCTTCCCAGGCTGAGGCTTCTCTTTCTCCTGTAGTGAGAATCCCACAGTCTTGGCTAGGCCTCTTACGCACACGGCCTTACCAGGTCAGATACAATGTTCTGTTCCCCATCCCTGGCTGGGAGATTTCAAGGCACAGACTGCACGGGACCAGGTGGAATGCGGTCCAGGATTCCAGAGGACCCAGCAATGGAGGGTCCCTCTGGAGAGCAATGGAGACCCCAGGCCTAGCCCAGTTGGGCCCCCTCCCTGTGTGCTAGGGTCCTTCTGCCACACTCACTCAGTCCACGCGTCATCAGGTACGTAGCAGTACATGAGCCTGCGGGCATGGTACGGCAGCCAGCAGATGACATACATGACCACGATGGCTCCTGCAGAGCATTGGAAAGGGAGAGACAGCGCCAGGAGAAAGCAAACACATTCTCAGTTACACCATTGCAAAGGGAGGCTGATGCCCGAGGGGATAGCAGCATTTCCCTCTAACTTGGTCCTGGAGTCAAGGGTTGGAAGGAGGCTTTGAGGTTATCTGATATATCCCGACCTGAATCTCTTCTCAAACCTCATGTGATCCTGTCCTCTGGATAAGTGTCCACTCTGGCCATGAGCAGGACACAGCATGCTTCTAGGACCTCCTCCTGGCCACTAGAATATACTCCCAACCCAGGGCTAGATATCCCTACCAGGTTATCTATCTGCATATACAACAGAACTGTCTTTCTTGGGCCAGGCACGGTGGCTCATGCCTGTAATCCCAGCACTTTGGGAAGCCGAGGCAGGTGGATCAGTTGAGGTCAGGTGTTTGAGACCAGCCTGGCTAACAGGACAAAAATTAGCCAGGTGTGGTGGCAGGTGCCTGTAATCCCAGCTACCTGGGAGGCTGAAGCAGGAGAATTGCTTGAACCTGGAAGGAGGAGGTTGCAGTGAGCTGAGACCACACCACTGCACTCCAGCCTGGGTGACAGAGCAAGACTCCATCTCAAAAAGAAAAAAAAAGTGAACTTGTGTCTTTCTTGTCTTAGAAAGCCTCTTGCTCCTTTAGTCCTTTCTCTGGTTAATTTACAGCACTGCCATTCATCTGGCACTCAAGCCATAAGCCAGAGACTCCTATTTTTCTGTTCCTTTCTATATCCAGTCTATTGAAAAGTTCCTTCTTAGCATCTCTCCTCTGTGCTTTCCCTGCTCTCACTGCTACCTCCCTAAGAGACTCTTACCGCCTCTGTACTGGACTATGACGAGTTTCCCAACCTCCCACCCCTTCCCTCTCCTGCTTCTACTCTGCTCTGACTGGCAAAGCCATCATCTAGCCCAGGGTAGCCCCTGGACCAGCAGTGTCAACATCAGTGAGAAGCCTGGTAGAAGTGCAGAATCTTGGGCCCCGCGGCTTGCATTTTACAACTCTCCAGATCATTCTTAACACACACTGAAGTTTGAGAGGCACCGTTTAGCCCATTCTCCAAAGAGCTGAGCGCAATAGGTCTCAAAAGCAAATCTCCCGTCACTTATGGACATCAACTTTTTCAATGACTGACCATCGTCCCTAAAATGAAGTCTGACACCTTCATGTGCTGACTTTGTGTTACTTATCACATCACATTGCACTTAGCTCTTGCATCTCTGTCCATACACAAGACTGTGACATTGATGACAGCAGAGGGCCTGTCTTGTACTTGATCCTTCCATACCCTAGCTAGTGCCTGGGTTATGGTGGGTGCTTGGAGAGACCTCTGCTCTCCTGTGCCTTTTGGAGTTTCTCTTACAAGGCCAAATTTTCCCAGAGACTTACAAAACAAGAAAGCAAACAGATCAGTGTTGTAGGAGGGAAAATGGAGTTTGAAGGGACTGGATTTAGGTACCCAGCCCATCTGAGAGTCCACAATTTGCAGCCGCAGTCTTTAACCATAACTGCTCCTCATGTTCATCCACACCGCCAGACTCACTGAAAAGTGGTCAGGTCTCTGTTTGCCTGTGTGTGCTATTCCCTGGAGCAGATCAGAGGCTTCATGTACAGAATTCCTATTCTTTCCTTTAATTATAGCACCGAACCCTACAGGAAGTCTGTTGGTTATACAGTTCCCCTGGGGCATAGGGTAAAGGAAGCCTTGAGAGAGGTAGTGACTTGCTGAGGTCACCCGGCCAGGGATTGGTGGAGGCAGCCCTGGAACTTAGGCCCCTTTCTTCTGGGGTGATGTTACAGAGGACTTAACTGAGAACCTGGACGCTGCGCTGGAGGCTGCGGATCCGGCGCACGTCTTTATGTCTCACCAGGCTGACCTGGCCTCCCTGGATAAAGGTCTTCTTCCATACGATGAAGCTGAGGAGACCCTCCTCACTCAGCAGCTCCAGGCGGCTGGGGGTGGAGCTGCCCGGGGTAGAAGTGGACGGCACTTGGGAGCAGAGGGCCAGCAGGTGGCTCACTGTGACCCCATTCAGGAAAGCAGTTAGTGCCAAGGGGAGCACGAAGGACACCAGCACATTCACCTGTGGAGGTAATGCCAAGGGCTATGGGGCAGCGCCAGGGCCCTGCGGCCCTCGCCATCTGGCTGTGCCCCAGACCCGGAATCTGCATCAGCAGAAGGAGCGGCAGAAGGGTTAGAAGATAAGGTTGAGAAAGTTCTCAAAAAGTGAGGAGAGAGAAAATAAAATTTCGGATTAGTATAGGATGTTCATAATAGGGGTTCCAGGAAGAAAAAAAATAGAGAAAACAGAGGGGAGGAAATTTTATTTAAAAATGCATTCAAGCCGGGCACGGTGACTCACGCCTGTAATCCCAGCACTTTGGGAGGCCGAGGCGGGCGGATCACGAGGTCAGGAGATCGAGACCATCCTGGCTAACATGGTGAAACCCTGTCTCTACTAAAAATACAAAAAATTAGCTGGGCGTGGTAGCGGGCGCCTGTAGTCCCAGCTACTCGGGAGGCTGAGCCAGGAGAATGGTGTGAACCCAGGAGGCGGAGCTTGCAGTGAGCCGAGATCATGCCACTGCACTCCAGCCTGGGCAACAGAGCGAGACTCCGTCTCAAAAAAAAAATGCATTCAAGAAAATTTTCCCAAAGTTGAGGAATCTGAGCTTCTAGACTGAAAGGCTGCCCGGGTGCCCAGAAGAATCGATGGAAATAGACTCATAGCAAGTCTCATTCTTATGACATTTAGCATCTTAGGTATAAAGAGAAGATCTTGAAAGCTTCCAGACAGATAAAACAGGTCACATAGATAGGATGGAAAACCAGAATGACATTCACTTCTTAAAAGCAATGGTGGAAGCTAGAAAATCATGAGCAGTGCTTTACAATTTGTGAGAAAAATGGCTTCCATCTTAGAATTTTATACCCAGCCATATTATGACAAACATGAGGATAAAAGAAAACAATTTTTGACATGCAAATTCTCAATTTTTTTTTACCCTCTATGGACCCTTCCTCAGGTCTCAGGAGATTAAAAGAACATGTTCTAGACAAATAAGGTTATAAGCCAATAAAGAGGAAGACCTGTCATTCAAAATGGGGTATCCTACACAGGACCCACCGAGGGATGGAAGGGAGCTCCCAGGGGGCCCCCGTGCAGATGAGACTTCCCTATGGTCCCCCTGTGCACCAGAGAGCAACCAGTGGGACTGGAGCAGGAGACCAGAGAGCTCCAGGGAGAACTGAAAAATAAAAGATGAAACTGGTAGATTATCTAATGGATCAGAACATATTGAAAGGGCATTTACGCTTGTGATAGAGGAGCTGAAAATGAACTACAAATAGGTACTTAAAAAACTATGCAAATGAAAAAAAAGGCCATACATTATTAACCGCAAAGAAAACAAAAGTCCTTGGATTAGAAAGAAAATACAACACATGGGTCATCTGTGAAGAATGTTTACATAGTCACAATTACATAAATACTGAACATAAATTTAACCCAGCACAGGGATAGAATTACACTGGAAGGAGGATGGGGCCAGTGTGTGTTGAGGTGATGGTGACAGAAGGCAGGGACAGGAATGTGGGAGAGTGAAATGCTCATTTTCTGTAGATATAAGACAGTGGATACAATTTAAAACAGAAATAAAGCTAGTATGCTCTTTAGAAATATGGAGGCAAAGAGGACAAGCGACAAGAACACATGGTATTTGCCTCTCAACTAGAGAAATAGAGAAATGAATCAGAGTATGGAGAATGATGGGACTGCTGTTTTCCATCACACACCTTGGGTTATCATCATTGATACTATGTGACTTAGAAAAATGAATTTATTTATATAATACCCTGTGTTTTAAATGTTTACTTTTAAAAATTCAAAATCAATGTGTTCTAGGGTTTCCCCTCATCAGTTCTAAGGCTCTCTTCCACCTTTCCCTTAGCAAACATTTTAAACACTGAGCATTTTTTTTTTTTTTTGAGACGAGGTCGCCCAGACTAGAGTGCGGTAGTGCAATCACAACTTACTGCAACCTCTGCCTCCTGGGCTCAAGTGATCCTCCCACCTCAGCCTCCCGAGTAGCTGGGACTACATGCATGTGCCACTACGCCTGGCTAATTTTTGTATTTTGTGTAGAGATGGGGTTCTCACTATGCTGCCCAGGCTGGTCCTGAACTCCTGAGCTCAAGCAATCTGCCCACCTTGGCTTCGCAAAGTGCTGGGATTACAGGTGTGAGCCACTGTGCCTGGACTAACTGAATGATATTTAATACCACTTTAAAATCAGTATGAACTATCTGAATTGGACCCTGTGCCTTTTTATGGAGTTATCATTCATGCCTTTTTATCTTAATGCTTGCTCACAAATCAGCAACACTGAGGGAAAAATAAAACACTACCTGTGACCATCAATTTAGTTTGTTGACGAACCAAACAGGTTTATATCAGTAATGACATACTTAATTACTCTCAATTTGTAGCTTTAATACCAGTCAAGACAAAGATCAAAATTAAAAATATATTTATGCATTAGTAATTAATCTTTGGGAGTTTTAAAATCTTTCTGGGAAAACTATAGTTTTTCGTACTTTCAAAAACTGTAAGCAATTTTCTTGGACCAAAAAAACACTGGTTAATATAAACAGTGAATCAACTCACTGATAAAATATTAGAATCAAAATAATCCTAATTTGAGTCTGGTTATTTTGTTGTGTTAACATACACTGTATGTTTCAATTGAAACATTTTTAAACGCACTATTTGTCAAAAGATGCTGTTAGACTGACAGAATTCATTTCACAGCTTCATTGCCCTGGCCAGGTTGAACCATGTCAAGGAAACTGTGAGCAGCATATTCAAAACACAAACATTGCTTGGCACTTTGGCACTGTTTTTTTTTTTTTTTTTTTTTTTTTTTTCCAAGCTTGTCTCCCAGTTAGGAACAGCCTGGAAGTCACTAGTCCAGACTGTGACAAGTGGTGGAACCCGGCTCCCAGGCATTGTGGAAATACGGTTCATTGTCACAGCCACGCCAGGCCTCGGCGGAGAACTGCGCAGCCAGGTCTGAGCGGCAATGCGCTGGCTCTTCTGCTGCAGCTGGGGACCACGTGCAGGCAGCTGGGAGGTAGATTCCTGTACCTGCTGCTCTGTGCTTAGTGCTGGCTTGTCATGGGGCTAGAGGTTACTAGTGTGGATGATAAAAAATATTCGTTCTGACATTAGTAGTTCTGCAAATACACACGCTATAGCCCATGTATCAGCAGCTCTGGAATAATGTCTTGCCTCGATAAGTAGCTCTGGGACTCGGAATGTTGCAGCTGCTAGATCCAGATCTGCCCAAGGCTTCAAAGGTGAACAAAAAAATAGAGTGCCACTCATATCAGTGATTTGGACTCGAATTTACTCAGGATCTTTACTCATAGTTAAAATATTGGCAGGTTCTACATACCTATGTAACTCCCAGTGGTCATGCAGGCAGCAAACTGCATCTAGGATGGGAGGTGATGATGACCTCACTATCCCCCAAGGTAACTGAGCTGGCTTCTTGTTTGTTAGTAGCTCTGCACCACTAGATTATAAGTCAGAGGTCACACAGAAGCCCTACTTCCATGTCAGCATGAGACAGAAAGACTTTCCGAAGAGGGAGGGCCCGTGGGTGCTCAAGCTTGTGAAGGAACCACCTTTCCTCTTGGCTTTGTAGACACGACCCCAAGTGCCTCAGCCTACTTTGCAGTCCTCAGATTCAAACAGGTCCTCAAGCGGCTCCCACTTGCTGGACAGCTTCAGTTTAAAGTCACAGTCCATGGTCACAGCCTCTGAGGCCAAGAAACCAGGTCAAGACTGCAGGAAGGCACGCAGGCGCTTTAGCCCTTGGAATCCTGCTACCCAGCAGCAACAGCAGGACCTGAATCGATGTGGCAAAAGGAGGATGATACCCCTTGGTAGAGCTGAGGTACCAAGTGGCAGTGGGCCAAAGTGGTGGGGAGACCTGGGAAGATCTCCCAGGCAAAGAGAGCAGAGAGATGAGGTTGCGGGTCTCCAGCTGGTCGTCTCCTTGCCAGTCCTTCCAGCTGCTGCCCCAGAGGCCACAGGGACAGCTACTGTGGGGTTCCTCATCCTACCAAACTCTCACACCCCTTTGCTTACTCATGCTCAAATTTTTAAAAAATGTACATATATAACTTTGCTTAAATAGTAAAGATGTTTTCAAAGCAAAAAATAAAATAAAAAACAACGAACAAAAAGTGAATCTAGGCCGGGCGTGGTGGCTCACGGCTATAATCCCAGCACTTTGGGAGGCTGAGACGGGTGGATCACGAGGTCAGGAGATCAAGACTATCCTGGCCAACATGGTGAAACCCCATTTCTACTAAAAATAAAAAAATTAGCTGGGCGTGGTGGCACGTGCCTGTAGTCTCAGCTACTTGGGAGGCTGAGGCAGGAGAATCGCTTGAACCCAGAAGGCCGAGGTTGCAGTGAGCCGAGAATGTGCGACTGCAATCCAGCCTGGCGACAGAGTGAGACTCCATATCAAAAACGAAACAAAAAGTAAATCCAGAGAAGGCAAATGGAGCTGAGTTATTAAAGAGAGGCCAGGGGTGGAGGAAGGAGGGAGCTTGATGATGAGTGAGGAGAGGAGGGAGGGAAGGAGAAGGGCAGAGCAGGCAGGGAGAGAGAGAAGACGGGACAGGTGGGAAGGCCCTGATTCTGCTTCCTGTGAGCCAGGCACTGTACCAGGCTGGGAAGGGAGAGCTGGAGTTAAACCCTCAGGTGGGAAGAAAAGGCAGGAAAGGAAAGAAGGTGAACGTTTGTTGAGGACCTGCAATATTCTGGGCAATTCCACATGATCTCATTGAATTATCACAGAGGATGCCAGCAGCCATGTTCTTGTCCTGTGGACAGACCTGGGCATGTGAACGCTACCCACAGACACCCAGAGGCCTCTTTCTGAGTCTGGGAAGAGCAGGAGCGAGAGGGGCTCCTGGGAGCCCTGAGCCCCTGACTCTGACCTGAGATCTCTGCCCCAACATCCTTGCTTCAATTTTTTATTTTGGCTGAAGTTGCCTCCAGTTCTGTTTCCATCATTTGCAACATAGAGTTCTGACTACACCCCTCTCCAGCCTCTTTCCCCTTCCACAATGGCTAGAATTTTTATTCAGAAACAGATTATGAACTTTTAATGTTTAATTTTTATTTTTTGAGACAGGGTCTTGCTCTGTCACCCCCGCTGGAGTGCAGTGATGCAATCATGACTCAATGTAACCTCAAACTCCTCGGTTCAAGGGATCTTCCTGCCTCAGGCTCCTCAACAGCTAGGACTACAGGCATGCCACCATGCCCAGCTAACTATTTTATTTTTAGGAGAGACAGGGTTTCACTATGTTGCCCAGGCTGGTCTCGAACTCCTGGCCTCAACTGATCCTCCTGCCTTAGCCTCCCAAAGTGCTGAGATTACAGGCTTGAGCTACTGCACCGAGCCTTATAAACTTTTAAATGCGAAGTTCCATGTAAAATAAACAAGGAAACAAATAAATACATCTTCCTTAGGCATTTGGTCCCTCCATCCTTCTCTCCCTCTCTCCAGGCCAGATCCCACCCTCCATACTCCACATCCACGGGAGACCTGTGTCCTGCTTCCAGGTGCGCATTGGAGCCCCCAGACCCACGGGAAAATCACTGCAGACAGTTGCTCATGGCAGATTCCATGTGATGAGCAAGGGATCTCTGGGCTGAGCCTGTCAGAAAGGAACTAGGGGAGGAAGACGTTGTTTAAAGAAATAAGAGGTGACAAGTTCAGTGGAGAGAAGGCCCTGTTGCCAGGACAGCCACTCCACAGAGGTACACTTCTGAGGATGACTCGGTGGCCTCTGTGGATTCCGGGGGCAGGACTGTGGGGCATGCTCAATATCTGGAAGGATTCTGGCCGTGGAAAGTCCCTCTCCCCTCCACAATGTTTAGATTGAATGGAAACAAAGCGGCTCCACTGAACACCCACGAAATCTTAAGACGTTGCCTGCTTCATGGATTTCTCTTGGTCATGAATGAAAAGCAGGTTGGTGAGTGAACACCTTCCCTGAGGCCCTTCAGTCCTCTACCCCTGCCCAGGGGATGGATGAGCAGACACGAACAAAGGTGGGATCTTCAGGAACGAGGAGAGGGTATAGGAAGAGAGAGGGGACTTTAGCGAGGGCCCTTCGACTGTGTAGGCAGGCTGGGCTTCCATCTGCAGGAAGCAGCTTAACATGAGAGGGAGCCTCACCTGGGGACGTGCCACTAAGAAGCCGCTTAGGAGACTGCTTAGGACGAGTCCCCTAAGCAGCCTCTGCACCCTCCATGTGCCCTGATGAATTCACACAGTAAACGCTCCCACATACCCTCGTGTGCCAGTGTGCAGAGAAGGGGTCCTGGCTCCACTCTGCTTTGTTCCTTTAGGTTTCCTGGAGGCCCAGCAGGGCCTGGAGGGGCCTGTGCTTTCTCAGCCTTTCCCACTTCCCCAATGTGCTGGATACATGAGATCATGGTCTAATGTGACTAGAGCAAGCGACCAGAGGACACTGGCTTGTAGAACGATGCGGAAATGGAGACAGACACTTCGAAAGGTGAGCATCACTTTCAGAAAATGCATTGTGAAGTGCTGCAAATACATCACATGCTGAGAGAATTCAGAAGACGGGAGAGTCCCTGGAGTTGGGGAGGAGGTGAGATCAGAGCTGCACTTTGGGGAATAAGAAGGGTTGGAACCAAAAGCAGAAGAATGAGCTTTTGACTTAAAAGCCAGAGGCTGGGCATGGTGTGGGGTTCGGGGAAAGCGGGAGCAAGAGGTGTGGGGGGACAAGTGGCCTGGAGGAGGCAAGGCTGCCAGGGAGACGGTAACAGGAAATGAGGTTAGAAGCCTGATCAGGCCTCTGGAAGAGAGGCCGGGAGTGCCTTCCCCGTCCCCACCCTACCTCCAGGGAGGCCCTCTCCAGAGCCGTCTGGGGAGCTCGTTGGAACACAGACTTCGGGCTACTGAGGCAGGAACCTGGGTGGGTCATGGACTCCGGATTTTCACAGGCTCTGCAGGCAACTTTACGCCCAAATGTCTGAGCACCACTCTCGCAAGAGTGGGAACACTGACTTTGGAGTTAATTTTGAATTGAAATCGGGACTTCTCTCAATGCTTCACTTTGGCCACGCCTCCCTCCTTCTAGTAAAATGGGACAGAGCAACAAGACCCAACTTGCTGGGTGGTGGCGAGCATTAGAGTCGAAAATGTCTGTTCCCCGGGGAGAGGGGGTTCCCTCCTCCCAGCACCGCCCCCCCACCCCCCCTCCCCCGACTCCCGCTCTCCACGCCCTTACCTGGATAAAGACTTGGAGCGCGGTGCGGCTCACCAGCACCGTGCACACTCGCGAGGCGGGCTCCGGCTCCCCGTCCGCCGTCTCGAGTTCGTGCTTCTGCCCCATGATGACGGCCATGGGCAGGGCGAGGCCGAGCGAGGCGGCCCACGAGAGCGCCACCAGCCACCGGGTCCGGCGTGGCGTCAGCAGGCTGCGGGCACGCAGGGGCTGGCACACGGCTAGGCAGCGCTCGGCGCTCAGGCCTGCCACGCTCAGCACCGTGGCGTAGGCGCACAGCTCGTGCACGAAGTAGTAGCCGCGGCAGCCCAGGTCGCCGAAGACCCAGGGGTAGTGGAACCACACGAAGCTGTAGAGCTCCACCGGCACGCCGACCAGCAGCAGCAGCAGGCCCGCGAGCGCCAGGCTGAGCACGTGGTGGCGCAGGCGCCCCGCGCGCCCGGCCCGCGCCTTCAGCACCACGTGCGCGGACAGCGCATTGCCCGCCGCGCCCAGCGCCCAGATGAGTGCGTAGAGCGCGGTGAACAGCACCTTGGCCCAGAGGCGAGTGTCCACGCCCAGCCGGGCGTCCAGGCTCAGCCCCGGGTTGGAGCTGGGCCGCGGGGGCCGCGGGCTGCTGGTTTCCATCCCGCTCCCGCGGCCGGCGCTCCCTCCCTCTCACTGCCCGGAGTCTGGGCGAGCTGCCTGGTTAGTGAGCACCTCCTCTTCTCTGGGAACCTCTAGAACTGGGAGGACACGCCCCCGAAAGGGTGTCCCTGAGCCAACGTGGGACCGCGAGTGCCAGCCCGTTAGCGTCGGTCACACGTCTGGGTTCAGTTCAACCCAGGGAAGCGCGTGCTGGTGGAAAGGGGGTTGGGTTCCTTCAGGGGCTGATAGTCCCGAGTTGGGCCGAACTCCACCACTTTCGAACTTTGTGAACTTGGGCAAGTTTTTTAACCTCTCTGAATCTGGTTTTGCAACTTTATTATCGACACTGCAGAATTTCTGGGAAGATGAAATGAGCGAACGTGTGTGTGGAAGTTTCTACCTGCAGCATAAATAGACATGGTGCTTTCGTCTTGCGCCTTGGCCCTTGTGTTGATTTGTGTGTGTGTGCAGCTCGGGAGAGATCTTGGGAAAGACTTTCCCAGCACTTCAGCATTTTGTTATTGTTCTTGCTAAAGGGCTGTTTCAATGCCATCCTAAGAGCCCCAGGAAGCTCCTTTGTCACTGAGAATACATCCTCATGGTGCCACACTTTCCCAGTCCTTTGAGAGTGTCATTCTCATGGAGCTAGGGGATGAAGTGAGAAGTGTTTTTAGCATGTTTTAAAACCTTTCACTTTTCTAAATTCATGCAGAACACCCGAACTTTAGAGCTGAAAAGCCCAGAGGCCTTCTCATTTCATCCAAGAACCCCTGGTATTTACTGAGGGGCAGAATTGAAATTGGAACCCAGGGATCCTGACTTTTTTGTCTTCAGCAAAGTTATTATGGCCCGGTGATAATCAGTTTAATCTTCCATGTGGGCATATAACCATATCTACATTGAAATTGAGATTATGTAAATATACTTTTACTCTGCACAATAAATTTATTGAAATTATAAGCATTTATTGAACGACAAGAATCATTAACAACCAGGGCTGGATTCTTAGGCATGTGACTGTGTTTTTGCATGGGGTCCCATGCTTGAAAAGGCCTTGTCCTGAGTCAAATGCTGTTGTCATCTGGGAATTCTGCATCATTTTTGAACAAGGAACCCTGCAATTTCATTTTGTATAGAGTCTTGCAAATTATGTAGCCAGTTGTAACTACAAATGAGAACATCCCACAAAGAAAGTAAATTGAGCAGAAGTGGTTAGACATATATTCAGTCTGATGTGTTTTGCAATTGAGGGACAAAGAAAGGAAGAGGGCTTTCTTTGTCAGAATATGTGATTTTTTTAATGGTTTATAGCTCCTTCCTAAATGGTATTTTGAAGTTTTAATTGTATTTATTTATTATTTATTTTGAGACAGAGTCTTGCTGTGCTGCCCAGGCTGGAGTGCAGTGGCACAATTTCTGTTCACGGCAACCTCTGCCTTGAGGGTTCAAGCGATTCTCGTGTCTCAGCCATTCAAGTAGCTGGGATTACAGGTGTACACCATCATGACTGGCTATTTTTTTGTTATTTTTAGTAGAGACAGGGTTTCACCATGTTGGCCAGGCTGGTCTCAAGCTCCTGGCCTCAAGCAATCCACCCACCTCAGCCTCCCAAAGTGCTGGGATTACAAGTGTGAGCCACTGTGCCTGGCCCTGAAGTTTTAATTTTAAAAGAAAGGTCGTGTCCACTTAATTTCTTGTGATCTTAAGGAAATTAAGGGATGAATCAACGCCCTAAAACCGTAGGAGAGATGATGAAATTGCTGGGCAGTGGAGAGGCTGTGGTGACGCACAGTGCTCGCTTCTCTGAAATCATTGTTTAGAATAATTTTATATGGGCCGGGCGCGGTGGCTCACGCCTGTAATCCCAGCACTTTGGGAGGCTGAGGCGGGTGGATCATGAGGTCAGGAGTTTGAGACCAGCCTGGCCAACATGGTGAACCTCTGTCTCTACTAAAAATACAAAAATTAGCCAAGTGTGGTGGTGCGTGCCTGTAATCCCAGCCTCTCGGGAGACTGAGGCAGGAGAATTGCTTGAACCCAGGAGGCGGAGGTTGCAGTGAGCTGAGGTCGTGCCACTGCACTCCAGCCTGGGCAATAGGGCAAGACTCTGTCTCAAAAAAAAAAAAAAGGAATAATTTTATATGGTATCTTACAGGTTAAAAAGCTTTTAATGAGTTAATAAACTGCTACAGACCCAAGTGTCTTTTCTATATAGAAGTCTCAGTATATGATGTGAAATCTGAGACAAAATAAAAAACATTTGTCACGACCACTGCCCAGCTCTGTCCCTGTTTCAGCTCTGATTGTGTTCCACCCAAAGACTCCTTGGAGGAGAGAGGGAAGCCCATGTGAACAGGCAGCAGAGAAGTTTGTGTACAATATATGATGTTTGGGGTCGAGAAATTATTTCAGAATAATTTATTTAATATCAAGCAATATATGCCTTTCCTGTCTGCTTCCTCTTTTCTGTTACTCTAAGCGATGAAGTGTATCATGCTTCTCCTTTTGCTTTTGTGCCAGCAACTCAAAATTAAATGTAATATTTACCCTGGTATCCTAAAGGTTAACATTTGTGCTTTTTCTTCTTCACATGCATAAAATCACTTCTGCTGCATATGGAAGTACGATGGTCATTTCAAAGGAAAGCATTACACTTGTCCAAGTCACAAGATGAACTTGCTGCTTTTTCCTTGGAATACTATTTTTACTTGAAAGTATGACTGCCAAACTATGGTTATTTAGGCCTGAGTATTTGGCAGATATTTTCTTAAAAATGAATGAAGTAAGCTGGCGCTCAGGGAAAATAACAGAACATATTTTGGTAAATAAATTTATAACATTTGAGCTTGCAAAAAGAAATCAGAATTTTGGACCATTGTATCTGCCATTATGAACTTGACAGTTTCCCAACATCCAAAGACTTTATTAATGATAACAATGGTGATATGAAATAATGTGATTTTTATATAATGAAATGTATCAACAGTTGGATGATCTGCATGGCTACTAGATGAACTGGTATTTTACAAATAACCAGTGTGTGAGGGTATAAAATTGTGCATGAGTAAAAGATCCATTCAAAAGAGAAAGTAGACCAGTGGATTTTAATGTAACTGATGATGAAAAATTCATCAGTATAGTTTCAGTTTCCATATTGTAACAACCTTTAAGAAACCACTACTTGTCAAATTTGATGTAATACCAGAGAAGAATATCCACAAGTATCTGAAAGATTATTAAAATATCCCCCCAGTTTTTCAAGTATATGTCTGTGTGAAATTGACTTTTCTTTATATACGTCAACCAGTGCATAATATTGGAACAGATTGAATGCAGAAGCAGGGAATCAGTTGTCTTCAGTTTAGCCAGACATTAATGAGATTTGCAAAAATATGAAGCAATACGATGCAATTTTTTTAACTTGGAAACATGGTTATTTCTAATAAAAATGCATTGTTAGCATGTAATGGTTTTTTTAATGAATTAAAAATATATACTTAAAAATTCTCAGTTTTAATTTTAGAAAGTATAACATTTTTGTCTCAGGACCCTTTTATACCCTTAAAAGTGACTGAGGACCCCAGAGAACTTGTGTTTATGTGGGTTATATCTATCAATATTTACAGTATTAAAAGTAAAACTGAAAACTAAAACTAAAAAATTTGAAAACTGTGAGATTACACTTCAGTTTCCACATCAAGTTTAAGGATTCCATATGGATGAATGTTAAACAAATTTTTTGAACAAAATAACCAGTACCAATACATTCTTAACTTTTTAATGGGTGTATTAGTTTGTTTTCATGCTGCTGATAAAGACATACCCGAGACTGGGTAATTTATAAAGAAAAGAAGTTTAATGGACTTACAGTTCCACATGGCTGGGGAGACCACACAATCATGGTGGAAGAGCAAGGGATGCCTTACATGGCAGCAGACAAGAGAGAATGAGAGCCAAGTGAAAGGGGAAACCCCTTATAAAACCATCAGACCTCTTGAGACTTATTCACTATCACAAGAACAGTATGGGGGAAACGACCTCCATGATTCAATTATCTCCCGCCAGGTCCCTCCCACAACACATGGGAATTATGGGAGCTACAGTTCAAGATGAGATTTGGGTGAGGACGCAGCCAAACTATGTCAATGGGTTTCATGTAGCTCATTAAGGCCTGTAGGGAAAGTAGGTTTCTGCTTCTCTTTGGAAGAATCCTCCAAGTGCTTAGCCTCCCAAGGTCTAGGTTGGTGTGATGCTGGGCTTGCAGTCAGAAGAGGTGAGGACAGGTCTTGGCTCCTGCTGCTCATTTGTCTTACGGCTTGTCCAAGTCACGCAGCTTTTCTCAGCCTTGGTTTACTCATCTGAAATGGAGGGGTGATAAGACTACTATCTGCTTTTCCTACCTCATTGAGTTAGGGCAATGAGCAGATAAGAATCACAGGGATTGCTATAATCCCAGCACTTTGGGAGGCCAAGGCAGGCGGATCACCTGAGGTCAGGAGTTCGAGACCAGGCTGGCCAATATGGCAAAACCCTGTCTCTACTAAAAAATACAAAAATTAGCCAGGCACGGTGGTGCACACCTGTAATCCCAGCTACTCACGAGGCTGAGGCACAAGAATCGCTTGAACCCAGGAGGCAGAGATTTCAGTGAGCCCAGATCACGTCACTCACTCCAGTCTGGGCGACAGAGCAAGACTGTCAAAAAAAAAAAAAAAAAAAATCACAGGAACTGAAGCTCCTTGGCTCCTTGGCTGTTACTTACTTCAGGGAGTTAAACCTTTAATGCCTACACAGGAGGGAAGCCCAAAGATAAAGGGGACAGTCTCTAGTCTTTCATGTGTGGCACTGTTAGGGGTGGCTGCGTTTTCCAGAGGGAGCATCAAAGACATGTATTGATGCCTTCTCAGGACAGCTCTAGGTAAGCATTCTCTATCATGTAGAAAGAGGAGAATTTTCTTTGTATTTTCTGCAAGTGGGCGTCTCCAGACAGGTCAGGGGAGGACTGGAAAACGCAGTGAACGTGGAAGTGAGGGAATTTAGCACCATCGAATTGCCGAGGGGGTCCCCTCAACAGGCGTGTGCAGAAGGCTGAGAATTTCTGTCTTCACTAGGGGATCGGGGCACAATGACTGCTCTGCTCCCTGTTTGTAAATCTCATTCGTGGTCACAAGAACTTGACGCCCTTCACAGAGAGTATATCTATGCATAGATGCTCTGGGACTGGCTCTTGCTTCTACAATACTCATCAGAGCCTAATGTTGCCTCTGAATAAGAATAAAACATCATTTGTGTTTGCACTGATTTCAGCCTGTATGGGAAGACTGACCCTTGATATTTGCCACTTTGTATGCAGAATCAAAGCCTTGGCTTTCCTGTTCAACTGCTGAGCAGGCAGCTACCTTCCTCTGTTTCTAATTCAGCAGAGAATAATTAGAACTACTCAGTGCCGGAGGACTCTAACAGGTGTGGGAAGTTATGGAGAGCAGCAGTTCTGAGTCCAGGGATGTGAGAGCTGCTCTATTTTGGGCAATAGCGTCAAGTATTACAAGGCTTTCTGGCTGGCCAGGGGGTGTCTGGGGCCAGGACCCCGGGTTTCCTATTTGCTTTGTGTGCTCTGGGTCCTGGCCTTCTTGTATTTTGCATGCAACCTTTCATTAAAATAACCTGTTCTATAGATTGAGTTGTGTTCCCCAAATTAGTATGTTAAAGCCCAAACTCCCAGTGTGACTGTATTTGGAGTAAGGGAGTAATTAAGGTTAAATGATGTTGTAAGGGTGGGGCCCTGATCCCATAGGATTAGTGTTCTTAAAGAGGAGACACCAGAGAGCATTCTCTTCCTCCCCTGTCCCCTCTTCACCATGTGAGGACATGGTGAGGAGTCAGCCCCAGGAAGAGGGCCCTCCCCAGCACCCCACCATGCCAGCACCTTGTCCCTGGACTTCCAGCCTCTAGTACAGTGAGAAAATAAATTCCTGTTGCTAACCAGTCTATGGTATTTTGTTATGGCAGCCTGAATTGTCTTTGACAGTTACTAATCCCTATGCAGCTTTTGGTCTGATGCCAACACGTGGACTAGAGAGAATATTTAAAAATGCAGAGGTCATTCCCTCTTTTCCTCACTCCAGGATTGAGTCACAGGAGGATTTTCTGACTCAGAGAAGCAGAGTTTACCTTCATAGGAACAACAGAGATGTGTGTGTGTGTGTGTGTGTGTGTGTGTGTGTGTGTGGGTGTCAGAGAGAGAGAGAGAGAGCGTTCTCGATGAGCTCTGGCCTCCACAGAGCTTGGCCGGTGGTGGAAGGTGAGTGAAAGGAGAGACAGTTCCAGTGTTTGTTCCTCTGACTGGGTCCCTCTGGGCTGATTGCCATGGGTCAGCTGACACCCTTGACACCCAAGGGCCGCAGGGTGATCCTCTCCTCCAGCCACTCTTTGGTGTGTTAGTTTTCTAGGGCTGCAGTGACAAATTGCTGGAAACTTAGTGGCTTAAAACAATACACGTTTATCACCTGATAGTTGAGTAGGGTAGAAGTGCAACCCGGGTTTCACTAGGCTGAAATACAGATGCTGGAAGGATGCATTCCCTTCTGGGAGCTCTAGGGGAGAATTCATTTCTTGCCTTCTCTGCTTCCTAGAGGCCACCTGCTGGGATTACAGGCGTGAGCATCTGCACCCGGCATGCATCTTCAATGTCTAGCACAGGTCCTGATATGTGAGAGGTATTCACCTGGAGAGCTGTCGTGATGATGGATGGGGCTGAGTGCCTGCAGGTGGCCTTGGGGCCCGCTGGGAAAGAGGGTCCAGAGTGGCGTGCCGTGCTCAGGGCCATGTGGGGAGTGCAGCATCGCACTGGACCCGGCTCTCCTGATGCTCTGCGGGGTGCTGAGGCGATGCAGAGGAACAGAGAGGACTCCAGAACCTTTCACGCGAGACAGTGGTAGAGTACAAAGTGGAGGAATTACTGTCTAGAAAGCACCATTTCCAGCACTCAGCACGAGGTGGTCTTTCCCTCCACACCTGCCACCAACCTCCTCTGGAGACAGAATATCCCAAGACAAAGAGGATAAATCTGGAAACAAGTAGAGCAGGAGAAAAGCATCCCGGGAACTTCGTGGCCTTGGGGAAGTTATTCAATCTCCGAGCCCTACTGCCTCTGAGGAGCTGGAGTGGGGAGGGCAGGGTACACAGTGCCCCGCGGCTGGCCGGCAGGGGTCATTCCCCCCTCTCTAGTTTCCCCTTCACAAAGGTGACAGAAACTGGCATCTTCTGGAAGTTTTGCATCCTGGATGTTGTTTGTCAGCTGGTCCCCAGGTAGGAGAGCATTTGCAATTCAACACTCTGCTCTTTTGCTGAGCCTTGTGACTTGGCCGGGGCTCCCGGGACTGGTGTAAAGGGAAGCACCGCCTGCCCAGGCTCCAGTGTCACCCAGCCCAGCCTCCCAGCTTCTGAGCCGGTGTTGCCGGGGGACATTTCTCTCCTGATGCTGGGTGAGGAGGCAGACAGCACCATACAGGGCGGGCCATGGGGGAACAGGACGGCATTCGCAGCTCCAGCTGGGAGACCTCGCAGGGCAAGAGCTCCCCAGACTCGGCTTGGTCATGGGTAAGGGCCGGCCATGTGGCCATCTGCAAACACAGCCCCTGCTCTTCCTCCTTCCATCCCCAGGTGCCCGCGTACTGATGGGACCCGGGGAACATTTGCGCCCAGAGCGCCTTGTTCGGGATGGGTTTGTGCATTCACGCTTCCCCAGATAGGTGACCGGCCCCGCTTGCTCCTCACAGGCTCCTATTCAGAAGGCTGCATTTATAGAGGAGGCTGTAGAACTTATTCAAGAATTAAAGGCTTTTTTCTTTGCCTTGGATGGAAAATGCATAGTGATTGCTTAATCTTCAAAATGGGACTTCAGAGCTTCGTGAGTGCCTCCAGCCCATCAGGCACTCTGCTAGAACATCCTTGTCTGTCCAGTTTGTGTGCAGGCCAGGAAGCGAGGTGTGGAGAGTTGAAGGGACCCCTCCAATGTGGTCATTTAACCAGTGCTGTCTCCAATAACATGCTGTGTGTGCTGTGGGGCTTCTGTGGACCCCAAAGCCAGCGGCTGTCCCTACTGCCCTTTTCAGATCTCATCCTAGCAGCCAAGGCTTTTTTGCTGTTGTTGCACAAAAGTAGTTATTTTCACAAAAAAGCCCAAAGCAGGAGTGGAGGGCGTTCGAATAACCCTGAGTGGCAGTGAGTCCCGAGGGTAGGGCCTGGGCTAGAATTCAGAACCCTGCAGTTTCTTCCAGAGGCCAGGGGGTTGGGCTGCAGTGAGGATAATGTGTCAAACCACTGCTCCAAATGGTGCGTCGGGGACACCTGCTGTGGTCCTCAGCTGCAGAGGCTGAGATGGCAGTGAGAGAGGGTTCAGCATGCTTAGGGGGCAGGGAGACCCGGGGTTTTCTGCATCCTAGGGGGATAGAGTGGCGAGGCAGGCCAACCTCCCGCTGCTGGACCCCAAGCACTTGTCGCCTGTCACTTCAGTCAGCTCCATCCTCAGGGCAGTGCCTTCCTTCAGGGACAAGAGGTCCTTCTGGGGCTGGTGTCCAGGCGGCAATGCAGTGAGGGCTCTCTAGGGAGAAAGGAGGCGTGGATCCTGCTCCCACCTCTGCACTGTTTTGCAGCTTGGCCCTTTGGGCAAGTATTTCCTGAATGGACCGGAGGCCTGCAGGGGAGAGACATCAGGCTGGTCCACAACATCCCTCTACATGATGGGGACAGGAGCAGGACCTTCTCTCGGGAGCCCCGTGCAGGTGAATGACACCCACACTCAGATTAAGTAGACCATTTTTGTGGTTAGTCAGGGATTATAATGGCTTTGTCTTGTTTCCTTTGCTGGAATGTCTCTTAAGTTTGCCCGGTGCTGACTGAGAATGGCACTCGCATCTTCCCAGTGGACAGGTGGGGCTCTTATGAAGCTCTGTCTCATGCCCCGCAGGACTGACTCTCTCGCCAGCCTGAGACGCAGGTGTTATTATCATGGCATCTCTCTCACACAAGCCTGGCAGGTGGGGAGCACAGCATCGCTATTCCCATTTGACAGCTGAGAAAACTGAGGCTATGAAG
This sequence comes from Homo sapiens, assembly GCF_000001405.40. Lineage (NCBI taxonomy): Eukaryota > Metazoa > Chordata > Mammalia > Primates > Hominidae > Homo > Homo sapiens. Next base: position 11,679,226 of record NC_000002.12, read on the forward strand.
TTGGGACTTTTGCACAGCACCTTGGGAGGGGAGTGGTGGAAGATGGGGAGAGGAACCCAGGCCTCCTGGGGCCCAGTCCAACCCTCGTTCTCTCCTGCACCTCCCTACAGATGTGGAAGTTTGGATTTAATACTGATTTAATATTATGTCTGTTTTCTGCTTATGTTTTATTGGATATTAATTATTTTTCTGATTATAAAAGCATGTTCATTGTAGAATATGTAGCATATACAGGAAAGTTTAAATAACATAAAAGCCTGGGGACTTTGTAAACAGAGGTGGTGCTTCCTTCACCGAAGGCTCCTTGTAATGAAGCTGCAGAGAGGATGTCAAACCCGCCACGTGTCCCCTTGTATTCCATCGCTCTTCCAACCCCACAACCTTCCTGTGTGTTTGATAAACGCTTGTTGACAGATGGACGGGATACTAAGCCCCAGGCTAAAACCCTCAGCAGGCCCCTTGGCTGATCCACCGTGGTCTAGATTCCCCCAACCCCTGCCCCGGCAGTCTCTGTGCGGTGCCCATGGCCTTTTGCCTTGGGGGAGGCAGGCCTCCATGGCTCTGAAGGGTGATGGGGGCCGGGGGAGTCTGGCCTGCTTCCTCTCAAGCTGCAGAGCTGGCTTCCTGCAAGGCTCTGCTTCTGAAGGGGCCTGGTGGCCTTGGCCTTGGCTCAGGCTGGTGCTGCACCTGGAGGAATCTGGCCTGCTTGCTGAAGGGTGGCTGCAGAGCCGTGAAACTGGGAGCGTCACTGGGAGTTGCTGCTGGGGACTGAGTCTGGGACTAGTCCTTGGATGGCAGGGAGGGCTGGGCCCAGAGTTGGGGCTTCAGCAAAGAAGAGAAACTGGGACCTAGATCAGGCAGGCCCCCGATGGACTGACAGCAGTCCAGGAATGCTGAGGGGGGATGCAGGAGATGTGGGTGGGAGAGGTGGGAGCTGTGACTGCCCTGGCCAGAAGCCCAGGCAGGGCTGGCTGGCTTCTGGGAAGCGTAAAAGTGGCTCAGCCACCATAGGGCTGTTTTCATTCCTGGGGCTGGAAAATGGCAGCTGGCAGCAGCGTGAGCCCTCGGAGGCACCTGCTAAGTTGGCAGCATCACCTGTGCTGTTGGCCATGGCCATTCCCAGAGACTCTGGGCTTGGTCTCTGCGCCACAAGTATTTCTGGGCCCTGAGTGTGTGCAGAGCTCTGTGGTGGGGTAACGGGGCGATCTGGGGGCGGTGCGTGAAAGGCCTGGTCTCTCCCTCTTCTGCAGGAGGTCAAGGTGGAATGGGAATGGGTGGGGCTGCAGCTGGCAAGCCACAGAGTTCACAGGGCACAGGTCAAGAGTGATTCAGCCTGGCAGGGCTGGAGGAGGCCTCTCTGAGAAGCTGGCCTTGGAGGAGGAATAGGATTTCAATAAACAGAGCTGACGGGGGTGGAGCTTTCTAGCTGCGGGGTCAGCTTGAGCAAAGGCTGGGGAATGAGTACAGTGTGTTCCCCTAAAGCTAAGTCTGCAGGGGTTGTTCCTTGGGGCGTTGGGACTTTATTTTTTTCTTAGTTGGGGTGTGTGTGGTGACATTCGTCTTGGTCAGGCACCCTGCCTATGAAAGATAGCAGGCAGTCACGGGCCGAATATGTAAGACCCAGAGTGAAGGCCAAAGTTCGGGGGCCACGAGGCCTGGACTCACACCCTAGCATTGTCAGTTACAACTTTTGATTTGCTGAAAATGTAGTTGTCTCATCTATAAAATGAAGCTTATAATACCTAACTATATACTACTCACAGGTGCTTGATAAATGGTAGCTATTATTAATACCAGCACTACACCTGAAAGCAGATGGCCTGTGGTGACAGGCTGGACTGCAAATACAATGGTGCCAAGACACTGAATCCCTCTACACTGGCCCAGTGGACTCAGAGAGCACTGTAGGGGAAAATGCATGGAGCCAGGTCCTGCATTTGTCTCTGTATGAAGAACTCTGAGTTCAGTCTTCCTTTAGTCACTTAGCTTGGCATTCAAGGCCCCTCAAAGGCTGGCCCCACCTCTCCGCCTGATATGGTTTGGATGTGTGTCCCCCACCCAAAGCTCCTGTTGAATTATAATCCCCAGTGTTGGAGGAAAGGTTTGGTGGGAGGTGATTGGATCATGGTGGCCGACTTTCCCTTTGCTGTTCTCATGAGAGATCTGGTTGGTTAAAAGTATGTAGCACCTCCTTCTATTGTCTTCCTCTTCCTCCTGCTCCGGCCATATAGGACGTGCTGGCTTCCCCTTCGCCTTCTGCCGTCATTGTAAGTTTCCCGAGGTCTCCCCAGCTATGCTTCCTGTACAGCCTGTGGAACTGTGAGCCATTTAAACCTCTTTTCTTTATAAATTACCCAGGTTCGGGTATTTCTTTATAGCAGTGCGAGAACAGGCTAGTACACCCCCGTCGGCTCTGTTCTTTCCTTCTACCACGTCCCCGTGCTGCCCCTGGGACGTGCTGAGCCAGGCGTGTTAGTTGGGTCTCCAGGGAGGTGACCATTCAGGACCCTGGACCCATTTTGTCACCTCCAGTCCATGTAGGCTTGGGGGTTGGACTTGGGGCCCCATCTACTCAGAGCTTTTGTTTGCCACCTGGGTTCATTTGGCTTCACCAACCAGAGGCCTGAACAGAGGCTGGGCGACGTCCTCTCCTCTGGGGCCCCTTTCTACAGGGACCTTTGGAGCGCACGCCCCTGACGGTGGCCGGGTGTGGAGACAAACCCAGGGAAAGGGTCCACTTCTCCCATACCGCGAACCCCCTGAAATGCCTGTGTGGGCTGCCCCCTGGTCCTGGGAGGGCTCTCGGGAGGCTGCTACCTCTGGCCGGCCTGAAGGCACTGGCGCCTGGGGTGTTCGTTGTGGGTGAGATGGAAACAGAGAAGAAAGCTGCAGGCCTCCGTGGGGAGCGGGGCTTTGGGCCTCTCTCTCCTCTCAGCGTCCTGGGCTTGCCCCACTCCTCCTGCAGGTGAGCCGTGGGGAGGCCTTGAGCGCCCCCTGGAGGTGACACTCTGCCACTACACATAGGAAACCACCTGGAAACCCAACCACAGTGTCTGATGTGACTTTTCTTAGTGACAGGAAATTAGGATGAGCACGAGCAAAGTCGGTGGTCACAAGGGAGCAGCCAGGCCAGTCCTGCTTAAACTCCTGCTGTTACATGTTTGCGATTGAACTCGTAGCAAGCTGCCGATGGAACACAACCTGCCTCCGGCACAGACGCCGATCTTCAATCCCTTCTCCCCAGCACCGGTGACAGCCCTAGTCATCCTTCAAGGCCCAGTTCAAATGCCTCCATCTCCATACCATTTCAGTTCGTGGTTGGGGATAGGAGCTCCCGTCGCGATCGTCATCTTTCTGCTGCAGACAGATTTTGTTTCCCTCTGTAAAGTTGGAGTGCAGGGGACAAGGCTCTGAACATAGCATTTAAGTGACAGAGATGGTTGTGGTCATGTCCCAGTATGTATTTATCTATCTCCTGCTCCAGTAAATGTCACACTCCCCGGGGCAGCGAGGGTGTCACCATCTCGGTGTCCCCACAGCACCTAGCACAGTCTCCCAGACGATCCAGGGCAGACCCTTCGCATGGGAACGCAAGTCCCTGTTTGTCCGGGTCACTCAGGTTTACGCCTATTGTCCTGTAATTATTTATGCACCCTCTTTTGCTGTCATAGGTGTTGGGTTGGAACAGTCACCCTATTTAGCACACACCTATTAAGCCAAAGCACCTTAGTGTGTAGGCTTCCCTCACCCAAACCTGTTCCCAAAGGTCCTTTCTCACCGGCTACTTTGGGGGCCCCAGTAATCTTCCCGACCCCTCTGGTCAGGGCCAGAGTGGGGAGCAAGTGTCTAAAGCAAGGCCTTCAACAAGGTCCCTTCCCTGAGAGACTCAGTTTGTGACGCTTGTGATTGTGAAGCTCAAATGGATTATGTGACTCCACATAACTCTGCAAACTGTGGTGCGCCCTATTATTGCCGTTTAACTTGTCAGTGTCGGTTCTGCACCCCTGCAGGCTCTGTAGGGGCTGGAGAAGAACACTTGATTTGGAATTTCGGTAATAGCCAGTGAGCTAAGAACCACATAAAATAATGCAGATCATATGAAATGCGTCATGTGTCATTTTGTCTTCTGATATTTAAACATGCTCAAGTGTATGGTAGAGAGCGTGAGAGAATGGGCTGAGCTGGGCTGGGTATACTTGAAATGATGACTCCAGACATGGGAGATGGGAGCGGCTGAAGGGAGGCAGCCCATGAGTCGCCCTTTGGGAGCAGATGGCCTGGAGTTGAACGTGAGGGATGGGGATGAGGGACTGAGAAGGAAGAAGAGAAACAGGGAGGTCTGAGATGGCTTTTACTCTGGGAAGTAACGGGTCCGCCCTTCTTTGTCCCTGCCTCCTGCCTCCTCCTGGACTCTATGCAGAGGAGAGAAGATGGGGCGTGGCTTCCCCCCAATGCTGTGGTCGTCGAGGTAAGCAGATTTGCCCTGCCCTGCCCTGCACTGCCGCTCTGTTCCTCCAGGACGGCTGGTGTTTATGTGAACATCCTGCTGCACCTGAGGAAGGGACAGGTGTGGTGAAAGCCAGGCTTTGTCATCCAGGTGCCCTGGCTTGGAATCCTGGCTCTGCTGCTTCTAAACTGAGCTGTGACCTTGCCCAAGTTGCCTTGAGCCTCTCCCAGCCCTGGGCTCTTCATCTTTAAACTGGGGCTGATGACGCTGCTTTACCAGCCCAGCATGGGGGTGAGTGAGGTGAGCTCGGAAGAGTCTTCTTACTTTTCTCATAGCAGCTGCATGAAAGGTGGATTAGAAGAAGCTGCCAGGCAAAGTATCCATTTAGTGAAAATTCAGTGTGAACTGTACAGTCTGTGAACCTCTGGCAGGTATCACGCTGTCTCTTGTGATCCGAATGGCAGCTCTGGGTCTGGGCTGGCTTCTGGAGCTGGAGCCCCCACCCTTCCCAGTGCCAAGGCTGCTTCTGACGTAGTAAGCAGGTGTGTCTGCTAGAGCAAGGGCCAGCCAGGGTGATGGACTCTCTTGTCTCCTGGGCTCAACCAATCCTCCCACCTCATCCTCCCAGGTAGCTGGGACTACAGGTGTGTGCCACTGCAACCAGCTAATTTTTTTTTAAAGTTTTTGTAAAAACAAGGTTTCTCTATGTTGCCCAAACTGATCTTGAACTCCTAGCCTCAAATGATCCTCCTGCTTTGGCCTCTCATAGTTCTGGAATTACAGGCATGAGCCACTGTGCCCAACTCTCTTGTTTTTGAAGGAAGAACCAGAGTAACACAGAGCTGGAGGGTGGTTGGCATGGAGTATTGGTGCCAAAGTTTTCACTGACCCGTGGTGAACAAAGAAAATAAGACAATGTTGTGGGGTAGATATGTTCATGTGACTTGGCCCATTCAAATTCCCTGGGAAAGACTATTATTTATCCTGGGAGAAGGCATTTTCTATTTTGGGGAGGTTAAAGTATCTTTTATGAAAAGAAAAATACTTTCCTTCCATCCCTCCCTCCCTCCCTCCCTTCCTTCCATTGTTTTTCATTTTTTAAGATTAAAAGTTGACAACCTTATGTCAGTTACCACGCATGCTCCCTGAAATGAAAATTGTAAAAGATTATTGTCTTTTCACTCATTTGCTTATTCTAGTAATAAATATTCACTAGGCGACACTGTGGCCGGCACTCTTCTAAGCACTGGAAATGAGCCGTGAATAAAACAAACATCCTGCCCTCCTGGAGCTTACAGTCCAGGTGGGGGAGAAAAGAATAAGCAAGTGTCTAAGTAACATGCATGTCAGATGGGGAGAGGGGTTGTGGAGAAAAAGAAAATGGGGAAAGGCAACGGGGAGCCCGAGACGGGAGGATGACGTAATTTTCAATGGGGAGGTTGGGGAGGTCACAGAGAAGGTGACATGTGAGCAAAGACTTGAAGGAGCTGAGGAGTGAGCGGAGGCCTCAGGAGGTGTCAAGGGTCCTGAAGCTGAAGCATCTTGGCAGGTTTGAGGAATGCCAAGAGGCCAGTGTGGCCAGAGCTGAGAGGACGGGAAAAGTGGGAGGAGATGGTGTGAGAGCGGTGTGGAGGCTGGCGGAGCACAGGCCAGCATGGAGGCATTGGCCTCGACCCCACCTTGGGGTGTCATGTTAAGGGGACCCACCTCCTGGGCTTTCGGGGCAGGGCAGACATGATGGACCTGTTGGGAGGCTGTTGCAATAATCCAAGTGGGAGGGGATGGTGGTTTGAACTAGGTGGTAGCAGAGAAGGGTTTTGAACCATTTACTCGAATAAACTCTTTAGAATTTTATTGTGCCTCAGTTTACCTTTTAACAGAATTCAGATGAGAAATCTAGGCTGGAGATACAACTTCAGTCCCTGAAATACAGAGTTTAAAAACTCCAGATCTGGTGCATCCTTTTGTTTTAGAGACGGGTTACCGAGTCCCCCCAGAGGGTAGCAGGTGTCTTTTCTAGGCATGCCTATGGCAGAGCTAAGACTAACAGTCACTTCCTGATTTCCCATCGAGGAATGTGTGTAAACTCAGGTACCATTTTGAACTTCCCTTTGCATTTAGATTTGGAATACACTTGGTCTTGTTTCTCGTTCCAGAGATTTCCCTCTGTTTCTCTTTTCTCAGCCCTTCACATTCTCCCCGTGCCTCTGCTTATCCAACCCCATTTCTTCTTTTGGGGTTGCATTCAATTGATAGAGCACTTGGACATCCTGGGAGACAGATTGCCACCACCAATGTCCAGTGACCCTTCCAGGCCTTGTGTAAGTGCAGCCTTCTCCAGCCGCCTGGAAACCCCCCAGCTGGTGGGATACCTACATTCTCAACCACACAGCAGCTCGCTTTTAGAATTTGGCCCCTACTTTCCATTGTGGTTATGTTGGGATGGGCCACTGGCACACAGCAAGCGCCTGGAACTTGCTGAAGAAACAGATGCAGGAATGAAATGACCAGGTGAGCGTGCCTAGGTCTTTGGTGAGCTTTGGCCTGTTCTGGGCTTCATCAATGTGCTGAGGATCCCCGACCCCGCTTTTGGCACTTATCATGTGATCACCCACAGCCCCTGGGCTGTCCCTTTGAGAAAGCCCTGCCCAGCGTGGGTGGGATGTGCCTGGAGAAGGGGGAACCAGAAAGTGGGTGGGCCCAAGAGCAATCAAGAGGTGCTCTGTAGTTAGCCCCCAGGGTGAAACAGGAGAGGAGGGCTAGAACGCTGGGTTGGACGGACTCCGGGAAAGATGGAGGCTGGTGGGGAAGGACGGTGCTGGAGGGTCTGGCACACCTGAGGCCTGTGTGTATTGGCCCTGGACAGAGGTTGTGTGGTGACTTTTGTGGATGGGTTGTCCTCGTTTAAAGGGACAGGAACAGGGTGGGTAGCCATGGCCTGGGCACCACGGGCAGAGCACACACCCGCGGGAAAGAGCACTCTCCTTCTCATGCGAGCGAGCAACGAGATGCCTGTGGCTGTGTTCCGAGGGGGTCTGACGCTCACCTTCTGCTCTCATCACTCCTATGTGAGGACCCATGAATACGCCCCTCACAGTGTTTGCAGTTGGAATGTGTGTCCATTAGTGATTAATCGATATGGGTCCTTTTGTGGGTAAGTAGAGCCCAGGCACTCACCTTTCCTCTTCTGCCCCAGCTGCTGGGGGCAGAGTTTTGTTTGGTGCTCAAAGGCAGGATTATCTGTGGTCTAGATTTCAGGAATCATTCTCTCCACTCCCTCCCAGCATTCTGAATCCTGCTCCATGTCATAGCTTTTGATCCTTTTTTTTTTTTTTTTTTTTTTTTTGAGATGAGGTCTTGGTGCGTTGCTGAGGCTGGAGTGCAGCGTGATCACAGCTCACTGCAGCCTCGAATTCCTGGGCTCAAGTGGTCCTCCCACCTCAGCCTCTTAAGTAGCTGGGACAACAGGTACACACCATCATGCCCAGCTAAGTTTTAATTTTTTTGTAGAAATGGGATCTTGCTCTGTTGTCCAGGCTGGTCTTGAACTACCGTCTTCAAGTGATCATCCCAAAGTGCGTGAGCCACTGGGCCTGGTCCTGATCCTGATCTGTTTTTAAACAATTCTATTACCCAGTTTTGTTTTTCATCATGCTTCTTGAGATCCTTCTAGGCCTTGATAAAGTATATAAGAAAATAATACTGAAAGTTTGAAATAAATACGACTGTGAGACTCTTGTAAGTTGCTCTGCGGCTGGGCTCAGGGAGGGGCAGGCGGATGTGATATCTCCTATAGCATGGACAGCAAGGCAGGGACAGGGGGCTTTGTCTCTGAACTTGGGAAGAGTTTGTTATTACTAGGATGAAGAGAATGAGACTCTGTAGAGGGGAGAATTGCATTTAGTAGGAGAGAAATACAGAGAATCTGAACAGTTCAGAGAATCTGGCTCTATCCCTGACCAAGTGGTTTTGACCAGGCCTGCAATACATTTGTAGCAATGACACCTTCCCCATAGGGCTGTCCATAGACTGCGTGAGACCCTGTGTGGATGCTGCAAGCACAGGGGTGCCCTCAAAAGTAGCCAAGCTCACCAACACTCACGGGGGAGGCAGCATTGGAGACCAGCCTTATCAGGTGGGTGGCTTGTGACATGCACTTTTATTAAATGAGGCCATGGCAGGGCCGCAGCTAAGTCTCTGCAGTTTATGGTCTGCATGGTGTGCTGGCCGAGAGGACACCGGGGGCTGAAACCCAACCTGTGCTTGACTCATCACGCCCTCCGGGCTCTGGGACTGAAGCTGGCTGGGACATTGAAGGGGAAAGGGCACCTTGTTGAAATTTGTCCACCCAGAGGTCCTCTTTGTTAATTCTGCCTGGAGGGACTCTGAGTGTCAGTGGTGGCCCAGGGAGTTGAGCCTCTCCATAGTTCTCAATGCTTCACTCTCCGACGCGGAATTCTTGTTATAGCTGAAAATATCTGCAGGTCCCTGTCTATAAATGGAATAAGAATGGAGCAACTGCTGGAGATAAAAGGACGGAGAGCTTGGAGCCCTCCCTTCTCAAGCTTCCTTTCTTTTTCCTACATCAACCCTGCCACCTCCTTGCCAGCTCCACCCTCCCTCTCCCCACAGTCACCCCAGGGCTCCTTGCAACATCCTTTGAAACTCCTAGAGGAAGTAACCTCCCAGAGCTACCACTCTGGAGTTGCAGGCTAGAATTCTTTTCAGAGCAGCACGGAGTAACAGTCTTCAGACTTCAGGACTGAGACTCTCTGCATGGCAGTGGCTGGGAGGATCCAGTTTCCACGCCCTGCTGTATTTTTCAGGCCCCGCCTGTTCCTCATTTACCCCGTAAAAGTGCAGCCCTTCGCAGAAACATCTTGCGGTCGCTCGGGTCCCGGTGTCCTGGCCCAGAAATACCCTCTAGAGGGCGCTGTCACGCTGAGACCCGGGACAGGACGCACCGGCGCGAATCAGGGCCCCTCGCCACAGGGGAGTGTTGACAAATGGAAAATGAGTTAATACATACAACATTTTCAGCCGATAATAAGAGAGTTTTGTTGAAATTCTTGAGTGAATTCTCTTTATCTAAGGATAAGGTGATTTGAGTTTCAAAACAGTTCAAAATAAAGGAGAAAGGGACTTGGCTAGTCGGTTTCTTCACCTGATTTGACCCAGGCAGAAATTGAGTTATTAATAGCCATTTGATAGGCACTTCGCAGTTAATGGTGAAGCAAGACGGGATCAAGTTCTAGTTTCTACCCAATTAGAAATGCCCACTGGGTGAGAGGTCACCAGATACAAAGAAAAGGAACAGCAAGTCTTCTATGCTGAACACTGAATTTGAGCAGCCGACTTGTATAATGGTATTTTGCAAACACGACTTATTCCAAATTTATGGATAATTCGAAGTGCTTCGAAAATGAACAATGTCCAGGTTGATTATTGTTTTTGTTTACCGAGTGCTCTCTCTCCATGCCAGGGCCCTATGAGACATTTTCCATATTTTGTCCTACCGATCCTTGTAAGAAACACACAGGTGATTCTTAGCCTCAGTTTACACATGGAGGAGCTTTGAGAGATTAATGAACTGCCCTGGTCGTTTCAAAGTATTCTGATTTTTTCGCATGAATTGCTGATGGCTAAGGCTTTGCCATCTGGAAGTTCTACAATGGACTTTTGAGGCTTAGTATATTTGTCTTCAATATCATCTTGTTGGTTTTAGACCTGACGAGGTCCTTTCAGATTTTGATTTTGTTATCCAACATACTGATTTTGTGACTTTTAAAAATCTGACTGACTTGCTTTCTTTTCTTGACTTCTGTTGAATTTATAATTTTAAAATATAATTTTTCTATCCTCTTTTCTGTTTTTGCTCAGTTAATTCCATAATCACAGAACAAAATTATATTCTTTTAGTGGTTCTCCTTAGCTTTTGAAAACATACCTATAGGCTGGGCATGGGGGCTCATGCCTGTAATCCCAGCACTTTGGGCCGAGGCAGGCAGATTGTCTGAGGTCAGGAGTTCAAGATCAGCCTGGCCAACATGGCGAAACCCCATCTCTACTAAAAATACAAAAAAATAGCTGAGTGTTGTGGCGGGTGCCTGTATTCCCAGCTACTTGGGAGGCTGAGGAGGGAGAATCTCTTGAACCCGGGAGGTGGAGGTTGCAGTGAGCCAAGATCGTGCCATTGCACTCCAGTCTGGGTGACAGGGTGAGACTCTGTCTCAAAAAGAAAAGAAAAGAAAACATACCTGTATAACAAATATTGTCTAACACAGTTTGAATTTATTTATTACTTCTATACTCCTGCCAAACAGGGCCTAGGCCTCAGCTCACTTTGAAAACCATTGGGTACACCCTTATTTTATTAGTCTTGTCCAGAGTTTTAGTTTTTGTTTTAAAGAAAACCTAAAAATTTCAGTTATTGTTTTCAGTAAAAAAAAGAAAAATGTTAATTATAATATGTCCAACCTCTTGTATCTTTATCTACACTTTTTGCATCCCAAACCTTTTGTCTCAGTTCATGATTTCATGGTTCTTCTAGGGACTGTCTATGGAAGACAAATTCCTTTAGTTTTTGTTTATCTGAAAATGTATTTTTTTTTGCACTTTCTTTTCTTGAATGGTGGTTTAGCTCATTATAAAATTATAGGTCAACAGTTGCTTTCCCTCAATATTTAAAAAAGCATTAGTCTTCCATGAGACATTTAAATATTATCCTTTGCCATGTGTGCTCTGTGTTTCACTGTAATGTGTAGGTGTAGATTTATTTTTATTTACTCTTCTTAGTGTTCAGAGTCTGCTTTTTTACTCATCACTCGTTCATCAATTTTGGAAGATTCTCAAACATCTTTTCAACAACTTCTTCTTTGTGATCTCCTTAATTCTCCTTTCTGGCACGATTAGACACAAATTTGAACCTCACTGTATCCTCCATGCCTCCTAGCTGCTGTTTTACTTCTTTCTTAATCTCTTTGACTTGCTGTGCCTGCTGGATGCTTCCTTACTATATTTTACTTCATTAATTCTCTCTTTTATGTTTCCTGTTAGGTTTTATCTACTATATTGATATTTATGTTTTAATTTCAATGACTATGTTTTTCATTTCCAGTATTTCTAATAGATTCTTTTCCTTTATTTCATTGTTTAATTTTTGATATGTTTCTGTTTCATAATTTCTCTTTTTAATGGAGGTTATTCCTTAATCTGTGTCTATATGTATCTCAATTATTCTCATTTAACAGTCATTATCAGATTGTTCAATAACCTGATAATGACTGTTAAATGAAAATAGGATACATCATGATGTAAGTCTATATTCCAAATATTTATTTTGTGTGCTGTCCTTAGCATTAGACATTTTGCTTGAGGGCTCATTTTGAGTGGATTTAAAAATCTTGTTGTGGTTTTTTTTTTTTTTTCTCTCTCCTTTAATACCCCTCACACCAACTCCTAGTCCTTTGTTCTCTAGCAACAAGGCTGGGTGATTTGAGGGTCCACCCTCAGTCCTGTGGTTTGTAGTTGCCTCCCCAGGTCCGGGGGCACAGTCCAGAGCCAGGCCTTATAACAGCACTTCCAAGCTCCCGTCTTACAGTGATATGGGGAAATCTGGGCTCTGAATGAAGCAGCCTTTGGTTTCCTTCCTGCTTGAAAGGTTGGGTCACTTCCCTCTATTGCCTTGGCCCTAAGCAGTAGGGCTGCAGACATGTTTAAGCCTCTTTTCACCAGCATAGGAAATCCCTTCCCAGGATTACCTTCAGTGTGAAGCCTGGCTCCCGTGTCCCATCTATGCTTTCCTCCTCAGGTGCTGACCTCCAGCCATTACCTCTTTCCAGGCCAGAGACTGTGCCGGGCCTGTGGCTTCAGCTCCATTCACCATGCACACTTCTAATCTGTCTTTGGTTCTTGCACACTGACTGCTGTTGGAGCCCGGCTATGTCATATTTGCTTATCCATTGATATACTGTGGGCTTGGATCAGAGGGGGTGATTCAAAATACAAGTTCACTATACCATCTTGACCATGAGCCACAAGCATGCTTTCTCTCCCACTTCAATATTGATCAAATATCTAAGAAGGAAAGAAAGAATAGAGCCAGTGGCCTGGCATGAGAAGCCTCCATCCAAGTTGATTTCCATATTTCTTAGAAATAGGAATGTCTAAATGCTGTGCTTGATACACTATTACCCAACCCAGGTTATCCAACTATCCTTTAGAGCATCATGAAAGATCTTATCAAATGCTTCTCTGAAACCCTGACCTACAATGCGAGTGTGTGTGTGATTCCCTTGATTTGCCAATCTAACTATTCTATGAAAATGGAAAGCCTTTTCCTTAGCAGAGTTGTTACTGTGAGTTCTGGGGGCTGTCACTTTCTTACAGGCTGTTACCCTAACCCTAACCCTTGTTTTCCGATCTGAAGAATGACTCACTTGGGGGAACCCAGGATGAAGTCCACACACTGAACATACCTTGCTGTGCATCCTAAGGAAATGCTGGCATATGTAAAGCAAAAAGGCATCTGTCCTTACTGCCCCAGGGATTTTGAATATTTTTGCTTTCTGTGAAAATGCCACTAGAAAGTTTGGTCCCCTTTCCTTCTTGCCTTGGCACATACTTGGCACATACTTGGCACATACTTGGCACATACTGGCTGTGTGGCTTCAGTAAGTCACTCTGCACTTGGGTGGCGTCATCTATAAAATGGGTTGCTGTGCAGATTAAACAAGGCAGTGCAGTGGTTCCCAAATACTAGAAACTCCTGGGAGCTTTGCAATGTTCCGGGTTCTACCCCTGTTGATGTTGACTCAGTAGATTTGAGTGGGGCCTGGGAATATGTAACGCTAGTGAATTCTTCAGTTGAATCTGATCTTGTGGCATAAGTTTCTAAAGTGCTTAGCAAATAGTGCTTAGCAATAAGGAGCACGATACGTGCCCTACACATGCGTCCACCTCCTTCTTTCCTCCCCCACCTGCTGTCTCCTCTGCTTTCCTCCCAGGTACATGGTGCTCTGGGTGTTCCCAGTTTGTGTCACAGGAGAAAACCATAGGACAAAAATCATTTAAATTGCCCTTCTCCAGATGTTTTTGATGAAAATAGTCAGAAAAAAGGACAATGCTTACCTCAAAGTTTTCATTTAAATTCTACCTCCAGATATCAGGCCTATCCTCTTCCCTTTGTTAAGCCCCATGATACAGAGATAAATAGGATTCTGGCTCTGCCCCTGAGATCTTAGGAATATATTTTCAGCCTGAGAAATTTAAGGCATTGAGGCCAGCTGAAGTTGGAGAGAAATATTATTTTTGGGTAGGGACTGGCCAAATCCTACCCTAGAGGCTTTCTCTAGACTTGGGCCCAGTTTTGATTGGAAGGAAGATTCAGGGTCACTGTGACAGACAAGATGGGTCCGATAGGTGGAGCTAGAGAGTCGGAGAAATAGAAAAGGCGGGGCACTCGTCCTCAAGGTCCCAGCAAGGCCAGGTACAGTCGTGGTCCAAAGGTCTGTCAGAATCACCTGAACAACATTTTTTTTTTTTTTTTTGAGATGATGGAATCCTAGGTCCAGCTGAAATTTCTGGCATTGAGCCTTGGGCATGTTTAGCAAATTGCCCATGTGACTCTGATGTGCAGCCAGGCTTGGGAAACACTGATCTGGAGATCCCAGAATTTTCTAACGTGACCCGGGCACTCTGCTGAAAGATCTGGTCAGCAGTCTGAGCTGGTCTAAATCTAGAGCCCTGCACTATTCGGAGGAGCTAATGAGAAATGCTGACTCCCAGGCCCCACCTTGGACCTGCTGAATCAGAATCTGCATTCTCAACAAGCACCCCCTTCGGTGGTTCGTAGTTTCCTCGTGGTGTGAGTGGTCACCTGGCACAGAGCTTCTTGTTTATATCTGAAACTATCCCTACCATGGGCACTCCCTGAGACAGGGATCACATTTTGCCCTTGGCACCTCTCTGAGCCTCAATTTCCTCATCTTCAATGGGGGTGGCAATGATATTTGCTGTACCTCCCTCTCAAAGTTCGTAGGGGCACTAATGTCTGACTCCCACATTAGATTGTGAATTCTTGGGGGCAAGAGCCATATATGTGTGTGTGTGAGTGTGTATATATATATATATATATATATATATATATATATTTTTTTTTTTTTTTTTTTTTTTTTTTTTTGAGATGGAGTCTCGCTCAGTTGCCCAGGCTGGAGTGCAATAGCAAGATCCCGGCTCACTGGAACTTCCGCCTCCTGGGTTCAAGTGATTCTCCTGCCTCAGCCTCCCGAATAGCTGGGATTACAGGCCTGAGCCACCACATCTGGCTAATTTTTGTATTTTAGTAGAGGTGGGGTTTCACCATCTTGGCCAGGCTGGTCTTGAACTCCTGACCTCAGGTGATCCACCTGCCTTGGCCTCCCAAAGTGCTGGGATTACATGCGTGAGCCACCATGCCCGACCAAGAGCCATATATTTTTAAAATTTCTGCATGCCCAATGCCTAGCATTGCATGAATTAGTCATTTTGGAACAGAATGATAGAACCCTTGAAACAGAAAAGACTTCATAGATTGTACAGAATAATCCACTCCAAGAATGTGTGAAGAAACTAAGGTGAGGTTTAGGTTGTTATTGTTACTCGAGCCTATCTGAGAGGCTCATGCAAGGATTCAAAGAGCACGCCACCATGGCTTCTAGTCTCCATGATGTCCTTCTTCTTCCTTGACTCTTCAGAGCTCAGCTCTGCTCCAGCATCTTGGTAAAGCTCCTCTGACCCCTCTGGCCACTGCCACTTCCGTGCCCTCTGAACTTCTGCAGCATTGAGTGTCTGTGTCACGTGTTTGCCTGCAAATCCTGGGCTGGTTTCCTTCTACCTTCTGTCCTTGTGTATGTATCTGAAGCTTGCAGCGCTATATCATAATGCACCTACCAAGTTCTCTGAAGATGAGTCCATGGTCCTTGGTGTACCCCCATCTGCTTCCCAGCCCAGCACCTAGCACAGGGCTGAGCACATGATAGGCATGGCTAAGTTTTAAAATATCTGTTAATTTTATACTCTGGGTTCTCTTCAGATTGCATGCATCTTTTGCCTTTTACTAAACATCTGTTAATTTTGTTAAAATATAAAATCTCTCACACATACAAAAGTTATAAGAAATAATATAAAAAATTCCTGAATCCTCACCACTACGTTAAGAAATATACAAGCAGTATTACAGCCGAGGTTCTCTATGAACCCATTTTCTCCACCCATTTTTCTCAGCATCCATGAATCTCGATGATCATCCATCATCTGGGCTGTCACATGGCTTCTTTGGTGCTCCTGCCCATGAAATAAATACCTGAAAACCAAGGCCCCAGGTGGTCATGAGGCTACAGTTCATTCAATTCAGTCGCTGCAGAATATTTATTGAGAGCCTATGATGTGCTGATGACTGTGTTGGGAACTTGGAGTACTTTGGTGAACAAATCTGCCAAATATAATATATCGAACAAAACAACTCAAAAGTAAACACCGCCTTCATGGAGTTCACATGGTGGGCAGTTCATAAACAATTAATATAGTAAATATGTAAATGATAGAACATGCCCAAGGCTAAAAGTGCAATGGAAAAAAATGAAGCAAGGTACAAGGACCAGGGATTCGGACAGGGAAGGGCCAACCATGGTCGGCAGCTTCATTGAGTAGATGAGATCTGAATGAGACTTGGGGATGAGGGAGCTGGCCATTTGATTTTGGAGGAAAGGAGTTGCAGGGGGAGGAAAAGCCAGTGCAGAGGCCCTAAGGTGGAGTATTTGAGGAATATGAGGAGCTCAGCATGGCTGGAATGGAGGCAAGAGAAGGCATCTAGAGATGCAGTCAGGGTATGAGGGGGAGGGGAGGAGCAGATTGGTTAACTTCAGGTTCTTTCCTCACATGGGTTAAAGCAGAGGGGATCTCCCTATTACGCCAGCTTAGGGTAGCTGGGCCCCTTTTGACTGATTGCTGTGAAATTCTGTTTTTTTGTTTTATTTTTGTTTTTGCGGGTGGCCAGAGGGAAGCTGGCCTGTTTAAGGATTTGGCTATCATCTCTGTCTTGATTTATTGGCAGTTCAGATCTCACAAGGAAACAGCTTAGGTTTTGGTTTGGTGAGTGGAACCTTAGCATGAGTGACTCCATTTTGGGTTGGTCTGTTGGGACCTAGTGCAGGAGCTCAGTCCAAATCAGTATCCTCCCATAGATTTTTTTGACCACTATAAATGTGGTCTGAGTTTTGAAGTATAACTGATAAAACATGTTTCTCCTCTCTACCCAGTGGCCAGGCCCTTTCCCACTGCTGTGAGGTCGGCAGCATCCTTCACCATCCTATGGCTCTGACAGTTGCTGACTCTCCTTTTTTTTTTTTTTTTTTTTAATTTTACTTTAAGTTCCAGGATCCATGCGGAGAACATGCAGGTTTGTTACATAGGTATACGTGTGCCATGGGGGTTTGCTGCACCTAATGACCCGTCCTCCAAGTTCCCTCCCCTTACCCCCGCCCCCAAACAAGCCCCAGTGTGTGGTGTTCCCCTCCCTGTGTCCATGTGTTCTCATTGTTCAATTCCCACTTATGAGTGAGAACATGTGGTGTTTGGTTTTCTGATGGGGTTGCTGACTCTCGAATGAGCTGCTCGAGGGAAGGATAAGGTGCAGTTCATGCCAGAATCCCCAGCTTCCCATGCAGGCTGGGGACATAGTGGGTTCTCCTGAAATACTGGGTCACTTGAATTTGATATGATGTATATATATTCACCTCTAGTCCATAGGTACATATAGTCTATATATTAAAAAGACATTGGATTTTGACTTAAACTAGATGTTTCTCAAGCAGCACCAAGACGGTGCTAGAGCCTGGGTTTGGCCAGAGAATTGGGTCCCGGTCAGAAGTGAGTGGGGATGGCTGGCGAGCAAGGTGTCTGTAGGGCAGCACAGGATGTCTGGTGAGCAGACAGCAAGCTTCTGTCCTGCCCCGAGTGCTGAGGAGCGAGGTGACTGCCTACATGGTGATGCAAAGATTTGGGCACGCTTCCGGCTTTCAGGCCAAACAACTCCTCGCTTGCTCCATGGCACCACTGATCCCAGCAGTGGCCCGAGGGAGCTCCTTCCTGCTGCTTCATGCTCTGACACTTTGGGGGGCTCCTTTCCCCACCACGTGGGTCTCCTGTCAGCCTCGAAGTGTCCTGCGCCCCTCCCTGGCTACGCCCAGGTGTGCCTCCCCTGGCCGCACCTCCTCTGTGCTCCTGCGTCTCTCTGTTCTTCTTTAGAGTGGTTCTGCACGTCAGCAGCATCTGTGGTGTGGGCCTGGGACCCTTCAGAACAGGGGCTCCTGCCCAGCCTCTGGGTCCCCCACCTGTGGCCCAGGGAAGGCTCTTTGTTCCTCAGCCCCAAGCTGTATCTGGTGAGAACAGATGCGTAGTCCCGGAGCTCAAGTTCTGGGAAGGGCAGTGCCCTTTTCTGTGGGGCCCTGGGCTTGTTCTGCATTGTTTCTAAGAGGAGCTGCCACTCAAATAGGCAGCCCTGCAATCGGAGGGCTGCGTGCTCCCCCTGATCAGCCCCCAGCTGCTTCTGGATACAACCGCACTACCCAGATGCTTCCTGGCCTCGCCCAGCTCTTGTGCTCCTGGCAGCCCTGAGCTCTGTCTTTGCTCCAGGCTGGAACAGCAAGCAAGCAGCTCCTGGTGGCCTGTGGCCAGTGCAGGAGGAACAGGAAGCAGCCCCCGTGGGCCACTGTGGGGCTGCACCAGGAGCTGTGCTCGGCTCCTGCTTCTCCCTGGTTTGGCCTAGAAGCTGGAAGTCTGCCCGAATCTGTGCGTCGTGTCTTGGGAATTCATCCCTTCCTCCCTAGCACTTGGGTGCCCAGTGCTTGCTGAACCGTGGTGACCTGCTGACTCCTTCCCTTGCCTGCCACTGGTAGTGACCTGGCCTGGGGACAGGGAAAGGACGCCCATTCATTGGCAGGGTGAGTGGAGAAGTGCTTGGTGGGCTGGTTTTGCAGCCACTGAAAACCTGAATCACACTGAGTCATCCTGTTGGCCTTGCTGGTGTGTGAGTGCTGGCAGAGTCTGGGTACCAAATGCCCCGGGCCTTGTGTCCTTCCCCATTTACAACCCCCTCCTCCCCATCTCACCAGGCCAGGGAACAAGCCCTACCGCACATTACATGGAAGCGAGTGTGCTCAGAAATGCAGGTTCTCCCGAGGGGCAGCCCTCAGTCACAAGCCAGACTAGTCACGCACCCCCGGCTGTGGGTGGCTTCCTGACCCAGAAGTGCCCAGTTTTGCCTACAGTCCTGGTGGAGCCGGTGGTGGTCAGAGAGTTTCACTGTCTCCAGCGCTGTGTTGTCGTTTCTGTCAAGCGATGGGCCCATTTCTGTCTAGAGCCCCTCTCTCAGGTCCTGATCCTGCTGGGATGTTGGTGTCTGTGACCCAGAATAGCTCAGTCAGGGGTGTGCGGGGCGGCTCCGGTGGCCATCCTCACTTGACGTCATGGCAAGCCCTGACTCAGGCTGTCTGTTCTCCCCTGGCCGGGCCCAGATGAGCCGCACGTGGCCCTCATTCCTGACAGCTTTGCTGCAGGTTGCAGCTGTCTCAGGAGACCAGATGCTTTGGGAGAAGGCACTGGATGTACTTGAAGTCAAGGGGCTGTGTCCGAGTTCTGTATTTAAAAATCCTCTTTAGAGTCAAGGCTTCTGTGACTGGCTGCCACGTCCTACGCCTCTTCCGGGAAACGTAGGAACAGCACACAGTAGCAGGGACAACACCACGTGGCTCCAACAGTTTCAGAAACAGCTGTTTCTTCATGTTCCTGGTGCTATTTCTGCAGAAGAACCCACTCACGTGTGAGCTGGTGGATCAGGCCCAGGTTGTTAAAAGCTGGTCTTCTAGATTGCCCGACACCATGCCTCTGAACACGGAGTGAATTCCTTTCTTCCGCGTTATGAAATACACAGTGTTTTTATCAGGACTCCCGCTGCTGGGCACTTCTATTTAAACAGAATAAGCTTTGTTGATTAGGGTCCTTCTCATGTGGAATCTCTGGTATTTTGGACGAGGTCAGGGCTTTGCACATTTTGTGAGCAGAAGGTGGGTCAGGGAACTTAGGAGTCTAAATGATGCCTATCAGCTGTCTCTCTGGTGTGTCAGCCTGAGCCAGTGGTTGGCCTTGGGCCCACTGCCTGAGCTCACACCCTGCCTGTAGAACTTGTGCCTCCTTCAAATCAGCGTCCCCTTTGGGGAAAATATATGGAGGCCATGAATCAAGCTTGGCCAACCAATGGTCCGCTGGCCGTATGCAGCCAGGGATAGCTTTGAATGTGGCCCAACACAACTTTGTAAACGTTCTTAAAATATTATGAGATTTTTTGCAAAGAAACTCAGTTTCTTCAATTAAAAAAAATGCAATTTTATTTTGTTTGTTTAGCTCATCAGCTATTGTTAGTGCATTTTATGTATGGCCCAAGACAATTCTTCTTCCAATGTAGCCCAGGGAAACCAAAAGATGGGACACTCCTGCTATAAATCAGTAACGGGTCCTCAGGAACTATTGAACCCCCATTTACATGCAAAATGTTTGTACTTGTTAAAATAAATCCACATAAGGACCTTTCTAGGGAACACTTTCTTGCTGAGGATAAGTCCTTACATGTAGTTGAAAACAGTGAGATATGTCATAAGTTGATGTCAGGGTCGACCCACAGCTTAGACTTGACCGGCGCCCTGATGTCAGCGGGTATGGGTATGGAGTCCCTGGGGGGGGCGTGCGGAAGAAAGAGCAGAACAGGGAGGAAACAGACACCAGAACGCTCACCTTTTACGGTGCTAGTGTGAGTCATGGGAGCACCTTTCCTTCTCGGTATGGTTTCGACACCTGTTAGATGCAGCCTCTCTGGTGAAGCCATGTCGCCGAGGAAGCATGAAGATGGTCTTGGGTATCGGTTGACTGTGTGCAGTCACGCCAGCCACTCACTGTTTCCTTAGACATTCACCATCGGACGAAGGGTCACTGAGTGACCACCGTGTGCTGGGCTCTGAAGAACAAGAAGCCTGAATCTGGGGCTGCTTTTAGGGAGCTCCCAGCCTAATGGGGCACAGGCAAGCAAAGTGATATAAGCAAGGGCAATAGAAATGACTGATTCCGCCTGCAGGAGACGGGCTGGGGGAGGGAGAGGAGCCGGTTGGCTGGACAAACGGTAAGCTGTGTGGCTTTGGGAAAATTACTCAACCTTTCTGAAACTCAGTTTCTTCAATTAAAAAAAAAATGGGATGTAATACCCACAGCATTTGGAGAACTAAATGAATTGACTCTGGGAAGCACCTGGCACAGCCCTTGGCACATGGTAGGTGTGTCTTTCTTTGATTGTTATTCTAGGCAGAGGAAGCTGCCTGGTGGCCATCTGTCTGCCTTGGTGCACAGGGTGAAGTCCCTGCAAGTGAGCCCAATGGCCTCTGATAGCCATCCACGTGTCAGGTGTGACTCAGGTTCTGGAAGGCCTGTGTCCATTGTTCATAGTCACCTGCAATCCAAGAACCCACTCTTTCCCAGGTGAAGCCTCAAGAGTCTGCCCAAGTACAGAAACATAGCTTTGCATCCCAGGGTACTCTTAGACTTAAACAACCTCAGTCAGGTGGTGCAATGCCCAGTGTCTATGGGGCATCTCCCTTCTGGGGTGAGCTGTGTATTAAGGCTGCCCAGAACACTGGTTTGTGTGACCTTCACAACCTGTCTCATCCTGACCTCTGGTCCATTGCACTATTTCTCATTTTCTCTCTCTCTCTCAGCTCTCTCTCTCTCTCTCTCGCTCTCATTCTCTCTCTCTCGCTCTCTCTCCCTCTCCCACTCTCCACCCCTATGGGCTTTAGTGCCAGCCCCAGCGCAGGCCTCCCTGCCTCTCTGGAGGCAGTATCACAGATAAGGAAGGGTGAGGGCCTTGGGGCTGGACAGGCCTGGATTCAGTCTCCACTTGGCCACTTCCACAGTGTGTGGATAGGCTGTATGAAGCCGCTCTGAGCCTCAGCATCTTCATTTCCAAGCTGATGCTAATTAAACGTCCCCCTGGGCAGAGAGAGAGGCTGAAGGAAGGTATAAGTATACATGCCCAGCACAGCACGGAGCACACGATTCGTCCTCGCTCTGTGGCAGCTGTTGTTACCCACATCCCTCCACCTCCCCAGAGCCACTCCATATGCCTAGGCTCCCAGACAGCTCCTCTGCAACCAAGACTTGGGTCCTTTGTCACTGTCCTGGGCGGGATACCTCAGTGGAGCCCTCAGTTCTCAGCTCTTCTCCTGAATCGCAGAGTCTAATCTCTGTGCAGCCTCTCCCTTCCTTGGCCCTGCTCCCCCTCACTCTGTGTTCTGGTGTCCTCACTGGCTATAAGGCCAAGGTTATTCTTGTCTCCTTGAAGCCTTTGCTTCTTGACACATGCTCCCTTTTCCTCCTGGTCAACTCTTACCTGAGCTCTTCCCAGATGTCTTTCCTGACCCCTCCCCACCTTTCTCTAGGAGGTTTTTCCCCTCCTGGGTACCTGGCCCTTTGTTTGTGCCTGCATGCAGCACGCATCATGTTGGATTACAGATACTAGTTTCTGCATCTGTTTTTCCTGCTTGGCTATGAGTAACTCAAGTGATCCTGTCTTAGTTATCTTCGTAATTACCCCACTGATGAACTCAGTGCCTAGCACAGGTCATGACACCTGATAGATGCTCAATGAATGTGTGACTGGACTTGCCTAATCCAGTCCCTGCTGGTCTCTCTGCTCTGAACCGTGACAAACACTCATGCTTGTCACAGCGCCGGCCCAGGTGGCACACACAGTAGACTCTCAATACAAATGAGTTAATGCATCATACTGTTGCTATTTAGTTCTATGTTTCAGTAGTAGTAGTAATAAAAATATGACATTACTGAATGCATACTATGTACTAGTTTCTATACTAAGTACTTTACCCTCATTCTCACTTAATCCTCACGACAACAGTACATCATCATCTCCATTCATGAAAAATGTGAAGCAAAGAAAAGTTAAATGACTAGGTCGAGGTCACACAGATAGTGCCTAGTGGGCCTAGGATTTGAGCTTAACCAGTCCGATTCTAAAGCCTGTGTGTTTAGATTACAGAAAGCTGCTGGTATTATCCGTGGGTGTAGCCGGGGCTGCCATGTCCTTTCCTACTGGCTGAGTGTCTGTTTGGTTTGGTCCGTGCTTGTGCTAAAACTCTTCCTGAACTATTCTGTCTAATCCCTCCTGCGTATGTCAACTTTCTGACGTCATTGTGCTCATCTCTGCTGAGTTCTGCCTTCTGGTCTTGTGGCTGTCGGATGCCAAGTGTCTTAAGAGTACTAGAGATTTGTTTTAATTGGGTATGGGAAGACAGACAGGAAAATGACTTTCACGAAGGAGGAAGTTTGTGGTGCTCACGGGTCCCTAAAGACAGGAGGCACGCCACGTCACACAAGGCCACATGGGGAAGCACTGGGTTGGTCACGAGGCAGAGAGAGCAAAGGGAAAATGTGGACAAGAGTCTTTATTGTGGTTTCTGTGGAAAGGAACAGGTGAGGCAGGGTAAACGGGCTTAGGGCTGGCTAGTGTGAATAATTTCAGTGGGTTCCGGAGTACACAGGCTGTCCCTAGTTGTCTGATCCCAGGCCCTGGGGTGAACAGCACAGTGGATAGTGGCCCAGAGGGTGACGTCCTGACAAAAGAGGTGATTGGGGTCTGGGCTCTGGACTGGTTGGTTTGCATGTGAAAGGTGCACTCACAGACAAGGCCTGGCCCTGGGAAGGTCTGCAGGCCAGCCACACCCTGGATAGCAAAGCATCAAAATACGGGAGGTAAAAAGACACAGGTAATATGTGAGACAACGCGGATGCTTGAGAAAGGGAAACCTTGACTGACTTGTCATGGCCTAGCTAAGAAGGAAATCTTCATGCATGCCCAGGAGGCTTTTTGCAATAAGGACTGCACAAAGAATATGCACTATGCTAACAGTAATGTTAGCAGGGCAGGCTGGGTCAACCTCCCCTTGCTCTGACCTCAGGTCACTCTCAGTCTCTATCTCTCTGTCTCTGCTTCTCTGTCTCTCTCTGTCTCTCTGCCTCTCCCTGTCTCTCTGTCTCTCCTCACTATGGCACAAGCTACTCTTGTTTGCCAATCATTTTTATTGCCCTTCTTCTCTCCTAACTCTCACGTGGATCCTTTTCTGAGTCTCGCCATAGACTTGAATATCTCGCACCTTATCTTCCCCAGGGAGACAGATGGAGATGGAAGTGTGGATGACCGCCTCCCAGGCTTGGATATTTCTGCAGCAAGATTTCTCCAAAATGAGTTACCTGACATGCAAATACCACTATTTGCTCAGTAAGAAAGGGGTTTCAAGATTAGAGGTTTTGGCAAATGCTTCATTCTACATTCCCTGTTAGAGACTGACAATGTAGTGATGTAATAAAGGCATTGAAAAACTACTAGGGAAAAGTCATCTTTATCTCTGTTTTATCTAGTGTTTCCAAATGTATCTGACCCACCATGGAACTGGTTTTTGCATAACACTTACTTCTAACCCATGAGAAATCCTCTGGGAGCTGCTGCCTGCTGGGGGGATTGGAGTAGGGATAGCGTGGATCTGAGTTGCCCACTGCCTGGCTCATAGTGACCAATCCTAGGCTTAGAGGGCAGAGGTTCAGGGTGCCCAAGGAGCCTGACGCAACTGCTCTGAGAGCCCTGGGGTCCAATCTTAACCTGTTCCTCAGTCATACTTTCTCCTTGTATAGACACATATACATGTGCATACATCTCTGGTCTGCACTGGCTCTTTTCATAAATAGGCAAGGAGGTGATAAAGCAATAGGATTAGATTTTATACAGAAGGACTTGCCTCATTATTTTGCCATAAACATACAC
This sequence comes from Homo sapiens, assembly GCF_000001405.40. Lineage (NCBI taxonomy): Eukaryota > Metazoa > Chordata > Mammalia > Primates > Hominidae > Homo > Homo sapiens. The sequence continues at coordinate 11,703,588 of NC_000002.12, forward strand.
ACAAACGGGCACGTATCAAACTCACGGAAGTACAAACTGTATAACAGGCAAACTCATAGACACCTGCAAAAATAGACACAACTAGTCTGTCCTCATCATGATACAAATACATAGATGCAGTTACACACAGAAACACACAAACTAGACCTGCCTCCCTTCCTCCTCCCCCCACATACATGTTCTATTCTAGTTATCCCTCCAAAACAAACTGACTCAAGATTTAGTGGCTTAAAACAATAATTATTTTATTATAGCTCATGATTTAATGGGTCAGGAATCTGGGCTCAGCTGGGTGATTTTTCTGTTCCTCATGGCATTGACTGAGATGACTCTGCGGTATGTGACTGGTGGATGGGCTGGCCTGGAAGGGTCAGGATGGCTTCCCTGACCTGACTGCTGCCTTGGTGGGGGTGGCTGGAAGGCTCACCTGGGACCATTGACAGGATTCAGCACACAAAGCCTCTCAGGCTTGGCATCTCATGGTAGTCAGACCTCTTACCTGGTAGCTGGCATCCCCCAGAATGGGGAGGGTGCTTTAGGCTTCTTATGACCTAGCCTCAGAAGATGAAGAATGTCACTTGTCCTGCATGTTATTGGTCAAGCAAGTCACTTAGGTTAGCTCAGATTTAAGGGGAGGGTTATGAGACTTTATCTCTCAACGGAAGGAGTAGCAAAGAATTTGAAGCCATCTTTAATCTAATATATGCACACACATGCATCTCATGTGAAGCTTAAGCCTTCCATATTGAACTCACTTTTGTGGTTGCATCTGGGCCTGAAATAGTGGCAACTGTGAGGCCCCACCCGGGGGAGGCAGAGCGGGGTAGCACATCACCACCCTGGATTGTGATGTGTCCAGTGGGATATGAGGCTTGGGTAGCAGCCCGCACTGGAGGTCACTTCTAATGGGCAGAGATTTCTATTCTGGGACTTAAATTCAAGTCCCTTCCACATACTAAATCTAGTTATATCTAGGGTCTCTTCTATGTGGAGTGTCCATGAAGTCTGGAATCAAAGATTGTGCTAGATACTCACTAGAATCACAGAATGTTCTAGCAGGAAGCACCATGCATCCAGCCCCTCATTGTACACTCAGGGACAATGAGGCCAAGACAAGGGGGTAAATGTCTCACAGTCACACAGCTGGGATCCCCAGCCCTGGGTCCTCTATCTCCCCGGGATCCCCTGCAGGGCTCTGCTCCATGGAGTTTCCTCTGCCGGGGATCCTGCTATCTGAATACCTCCAGAGGCCACACACACTTATGTGTCAGATGTCTGGGTGAACACTGGACACTGGGGACTAGCTAGTCATCACTGGTCAATGGCGAGGCCTGGAGGAGCTCACCTCTCAAAGTGGCCAGGAGGACATAACCAGGAACAGAGGAGAACTTCCACATGTTACTTGTGGGAACTTCCACTGGTTACCGGCCACAGGATTGATCAGACAAAAGCCCAAGGCATGAAGCCCCTTGAGGGCTACAGAGATCAATACCACCTTCATCTTTTTCACTGGGAAAATTTGATGAATAAAGCCATCTCCAGCCCCCTCCCATAAATAGTAGCCTGAAATGCAGATGGTGTGGTGTTGTGGCTTTGAAGTCAGTCAAACTTGGGTCAAATCCCAGCTCACCCATCCCCCAACACTTTAGCTGGGTTGCCTCGGCCAAGTCCTTTGACCTTCTGAGCTCAACTGTATATTGAAAAAAAAATCACCTTTATTTTTCCATTCAACAAGTGCTTATTGACTACCGTGTGCCAGCCACTGCTGTGAACACAATGATGAGACCAACAGGCACTGTTCCTTTTGAAGGATGCTGTCATCAGCTGAGTACGCAAACAAATGTAAATTTGCAAACTGCGCTAAGTGCCATGAAGGAGCTACAACAGTGCCCTGTGAGAAGGTGCAGTCAGGATGTGAGCAGGTTGAGGAGGCCAGGGACAGCCCCTATGAGGAAGGGACACTTGGCTGTGGCCTGGGGGGTGAAGAGAGGCTATCCAGTGGAAGCGTGTCTCGGACAGGGAGAGTAGCATGTGCAAAGGCTGTGGGGCTGGATGTAGTAAGCTGAATAGGAGGGGTTGAAATGCTAGTGTGACTGGGCCAGAGAGATCAAAGGGAGCAAGTGGGAAATGAGACTGCAAGTGTGGGTGAAAACTGTTCACCAAGTTCAGGAGGGTTTAGAAAATTGCATGCTTTTTTTATATTTACTTCTAAAAGCAGTGGGAAGTTATATAATGGCTTTAATCATAGAGGTGACTGATAGGGTTTGGCTGTGTTCCTATCCAAATTTCATCTTGAATTGTAACTCCCACAATTCCCATGTGTTGTGGGAGGAACCCAGTGGGAGGTAATTGAATTATGGGGGCAGGTCTTTCCTGCACTGTTCTTGTGATAGCGAATGAATCTCGCAAGATCTGATGGTTTTAAAAATGAGAGTTTCCCTGCACAAGCTCTCTCTTTTCCTGTCGCCATCCACTTAAGATGTGACTTGCTCCTCTTTGCCTTCCAACATGATTGTGAGGCCTCCCCAGCCATGTGGAACTGTTAAATTCATTAAACCCTTTTCTTTTGTAAATTGCCCAGTCTTGGGTATGTCTTTATCAGCAGTGTGAAAATGGACTAATATGGTGACATAACCAGATTGTGTTACAAAAAGAAGACTTCGGCTGCAGCAAGGCGAGTGAACTGCAGGGTGGTACAGGGAGGTGTGGGCAAGCCCATTAGGAGGCAGGCAGAATAGTGGTCCCCCAAAGATGCCCCATCCTCATCCTTGGAACCTGTGAATAAATTACATTGGGTGGTAAAGGAAAGAATGAGGGTTGCAGTTGGAATTAAGGTTACTCATCACTGGCCTTAAAATAGGGAGATTATCCTGGATTACCTGGGTGGGCCCAATGTCATTAGATGAACTTAGAGAGTGGTCAGAGGTGCACACATTAGAAGCATTCAAACTGCCCTTGCTATCTGGGAAGATGGAGGAAGTACTATTAAGCTCATTTTATAACTGAAGAAATGGAACTTCTAAGACATAAGGTGCTCAAGACCTACTCAAGACCAAGCATTATTAAATATTATAACAAGGGCTTAGATCCAATTCCCTTGAGTATGAATTCTCTTTCCATTGCCATGATAATCTGGGGAACTCCCACCAGGTTAGAGCTGTGTGACCTTGAGCAAGCACTTACCCTCTTGGAGCGTGGGGTGAGGAGGTGGTCTATATCTGGGGGCTCATTAACTAAAAGATGTTTCTAGGTAATCTGACAGGTTTTTGAGACCCCTAAAATGATGTGCAGGTTTCTGGGTGAATGTGCATTTTGTGGAGAGAGGATTCATAGCTTTTATCAAAATATCAAAAGGGCCAAAAAGAGCTCTTCCTCCCAGTTCTAAAACTTTATGACTGTCATTAAAAAGTGGAAATAGCTTTGGTGAAAGAGCATGGGTACTGACTAAACGTTACCTTTGTAGCAATTAGCCATACAGCACCTCTTAGAGCCTGTTACACGTGAGGCATTATCACAGGTGCTGGGAGTATGGCAGGAGAGAAAGGAAGGTCCTATATTTTAGTAGGAAAAACAGAAAACAAAGAATAATGATCTAACGTCAGATACTGATAAAGTGCTAAGAAGAAAAAGACAGCAGGGTAAGGAGACGGGGGATGATCAGATGGACCAAGGAAGTTCCTTCCAGGAAGGGTCACTGGAACAGAGACCAGCATGAAGTGAGAGAAGGAGGCTTAGGGAGAATCTGCCAGGCAGAGGAACAGCTCATGCACAGTCTCTGAGGTGGAAGAAGCCACCATGGATGATGAAGAGGTGGCAGGAGGTGAGTCCGGAACCGTGGCCAGACCCCCTGAGGCCACTGTAGGGCCCTGGAATTTACTGAGCAGACCGGGGAGCACGGGAAGTTTTGAGCTGAGGAGTGGTGTGATCTAACATTCCAGAAGGTTCCTGTGGCTGCTGTGAGGAGCAGAGCTGATGAGGAGCAGAAACAGACTGGCTGTGGAGCCATTGCTGGAGCTGCGGGAGAGAGCAGCGTGGCTGGGACTGGGTGGTGGTGCACGCACGGGGAGAAGTGCTCGGGGTCCCCCACTGGAGGTGGAGCTGCAGGATTTGCTTGTGACTGGATGTGGCTTGGGAGGGGAGAAAGGGAGTGGCTGGGGCCTGTCCCAACCAAGCGCTGCTGCTTCTGTGAGCACCACAGGTGCTCACCTGCCTGCTGGGATGGACCTTACCATTGAGCCAGGCATGATTACTTCCTTCAAATGACTCTTCTGATGTGTTTCAATGATGAGTGAGTGGTCTCCGCTAATTATGACTGGGTAGGCCCCTTAGAGAAGCCTGGCTGGACTTCAGGAGTTTCATGTGAGAAAATCCTGGGGAAGTGAACTGAACTGGGCTTCACTGAGAAAGATCCTGAGTGATGATCACAGTTTCACATCAGATCCGCATCCGAGACCAGCTGTGTCAGGCAGTGGGGCAGCAACCTTCACCTAGACCCTTGGAGGTCATCTCTCCTAACTAACAGGACAGAGAAGGAAACTAGGCCCTAAGAGGAGCAGTGATCTGCCTTCAGCCACCCAGGGAATGGGCATTACCCTTCACTGTTGGCCCCCCGACAGCTGGAATCCAGCAGCTTGACTCTCATCAATTTCACTTTTTGCCTACTGCACTGTGGCCTTCTCTTTGGAATGCTGAGTCAGCACAGAGGAGGGTGATTATTTGCCAAGGGGGGGACTCTGAGAAGGCCCCATGGAGAGCTGGGTTTTGAGTCATGGAAATGACTCCAAGGACAGATTTGGGTGGAGGGTCAACCTTCGACTGGGAGGAAGCAGGGGAGCCTAGTCACTGAGATGGGAACCCTGTACATGTCCCGGGAGTGGAGAGTGAGGCATGGGAGAGGAGCTGAGGCAAGGGGGCAGGCAGGAGTGGATCATGCAGGGCCATGCATGCCAGACCTGGGCCTTAACTCCTGGGCAATGGGGAGCCATGAAAGGTTTTCAGTGGGGAATGATGTGGTGTGATGTGCTCAATGGAGCAGGAGGCACAGGAGATGGAGACCAGCTGTGTTGCACTTGGCCAGTTAGGTACCCTTGCTTTGGTATAATCCAGGCATTTGATACGTAAGAAAGCTGACCCAAAGAGGGGGAAAAACTTGCCAAAGTCACCCAGCAAGCCAGGGTTAGAGTTAGAACCCAGTTTATCCACCTCTCAATGGGAGGAAGGGAAGGTGATGATGATGATGTTGGTGATGATGATGACAATGATGATGATAACGAATATATATTGAGCACTTGACATTAAGTATCTTCTTTAATCCTCACAAGGGCCCTATGACAAAGCTACTACTATTATTATTGTTATTATTGTTCCCCTTTTATAGAGGGGAAATGGAGGCTCAGGAATATTAAATGAATTGCTCAAGACCACACAGATGGTAAGTGGTGAAGCCAGCATTCTACCCTAGATCATTCTACACAGTTTGACTCCAAAACCCATGCTGGGGACCACAAGTGGTTATCTCATCAGATTTGCCAGAACTGTCCCAGGAGGAGTCCTCTTACATAAAACATCATCCCTTTCACCCCATCTCCCCCCTACTCAGAGCAAACCTTCCTTTATCCTCTTCCTTTATCTCAACAGAGGGTACCAGGCTACCAAAGAAAGGGGGTATCATTGTTGGAATCATGGTGTAGGAGGGTGTATGCATGTAGATGCAGAATTTTGGAGATGAAAACCCTTAGAAACCACTGAGTGTAACTCGAGCCTCCGTTAGATGGAAAAACTGAGACCCAGAGAAGGGCGGTACCTTGTCGATGCCTTGCAACAAGTTAGCGACACCAGCGCTAAAGCCTGGATTGCCTGATCCCCAGGCCAGGGTTCTCCTCTCACATTTTGGACAGTTCCCACACATTCCTGGAATCCTCCATTGGACTGTGAATGGGTTTTCCCATGAAAGCAGACTGTATAAACCAACCATAATGCTTTTAGGTCCCGAGTTATATGCTGCCATTGTTTCTTCAGTAATGCTATAGTTTTCTCTGCCTCTCTTGTCCTGGAAAAGCTGACTTTGGTAGTACCGTTTCTATATGAAAATGTTACCCTGCTTTTACAAAAATCTACAAATGAACGTTGGACAACCCATTTGTAAACTGGGAGCAGCCCACGACTTTGAGCCTGATAATCTGGAAACATTACTCTCTGAATTCTCTCTTTTCCTTCTGTGTTTGTGAGATTTCTGCTGTTTAAATGTTGCACCATCAATGAAACAGCAGCAAGAGCTTTGGAGTCCCACAGACCTGAATGTGAATTTGGACGTAGGCTCCAGATATGTGACTTCCAGCAAATCATGGCAAGAACGGTAGCAGTGAGCCCAGCTACATGAAGATTACAAGGAACTGTGACCTGGGTCTTAATCTTAATGAGGCTGTGATGGGAATTCAATTTCAGCTTCATTGAGTATCTGCCGTGAGCTGGTCACTTTCAAGTACATTTTCCATCTGACTCTCATAGCAGAACTTACATAGCAGAGTGAGATTATCTTTCTCCTACCCTTATAAGGGTAGTAATCCAATTTCTGAAGGCTCCATCTTCATCACCTAATCAGCCCCCACCTTCTGCAAGACCACACCTCCAAATACCATCACCTTAGGGATTACAACTTCAATATATGCATTTATGGTGGCAGGGGTGTGGGTGGGGACACAAATATTTAATCCATAGCGTCACATAAGTCTATGTTAAATGAGAAAGAAAAGGAAGAAAGAAATCAAGACAAACAATAGAGTTGAGAAGGAGGTTAACACAAGCATGTGTTTCATGGAGTCTGACTCACACCGAGAACAGGAATGTGGCTCTGGCAGCCAATGCACTGAACAAGGACCTGAACAGTCATACAGCTCAAGGTTCAAGCAAGGTAGAAGCAAACCAGCTGCTCTGAAGATGCTCACCTACTTCTGACCTTGAATCTTCCACTTCATGACCTTCATCCAGGAGTAGCCACTGACATCTGTATGGTACGTTACTGTTTTCACAGTATTCTGTCTTTTGATTCTCACATCAGTTCTATGAGGTAAGTATTTTATTGTTAGCCTTTCTTTAGAAATGAGAATATTGAGGCTTAGAAAGGTAATTTCTTGCCAAAGGCCACACAGCTCCTAGTAGAAGAACTGGAATTCAAAGCCAGGTTCATTTTTGGCTTCCACCGTGACTGCCAACTGCTTGATGCCAGAATCCAAATGGCTGAGCTTCACACTTTATGTTGGAATTTTGAATTACAACAAATAGTTGTGGGCAGAATGAGCCTATTTTCTACTTAGCTGTGAAAGAAATTATTGTTGAAATATACTGGGTCACCATTTTTGGTGTTCTTGTGTTTATATTTAATCTCTGAATTCAAACCAGACTCTTGGGGGTCAGAGATATTGCTCCTCTGGCAGTCCAAGAATATATCTTGTATTTGATTTAAAACTTCATTTTGAATCAGGGCCAAATCCAAACACTGTGAATTTAAACTGCTGGCAGCCTTCCTAGCCTACCTCGTGAGTGCAAAATCAATCCAACTATTGTACACAGAGAATTCTGGTGCCCGTGTGACTGTGTTGGTGGCCCCTGAAGAATTTGGGTTGGATGGTCCAGAATATCTGTACCCAAGTTGCATGACTTTTTGCAGCATGCTGAAATATTCCACAGGAGCTGAAATAGAAGCAGCAACTGGATTCCAAGAAGTGTTTCAAATGCATTGCTCAGTTGAAATGAGGACTTCATTAGCTGCCATATTAAGCAACGTATAGATGAAGAAATCAATGGCCTTACCCCTGCTACCCCAGCAAGGATCCAGATTGGATACAATCCTATAACACACATCTGCCTTCTTTCCCTGGTTCTGTCTTAAAGGAAAATCTATCCTTTTTATTTTGGGTGTGGTTCCAAGAGACTAGAATATTCCTCCCTAAATTCATCCCTCTTGCTTTCCTAATTTAGTGAATGATATAATCATCTACCTAGTCACCCAGACTAGAAACTTCAGGCATCCTTGAAAATTCCCTGTACTTCAACCCCCCAATCCAAGTTGCATATCATTTCCTGGTGATTCCATCATGTGGTTGTGTTCAGAGCTCATCTTCCTCTTTGTCCCACTGTCATCACCTTGGTCCATATCCCAGCGATCCTTTGCTAGAATAACCTTCAAATTCACTTCTCTGCCTCGAATCCATCCTCCATGCGGAGGTCAGTGTGGTCCTTGTAAGACACAGATTTGATCATCCCTCTCCTCCTCTGTAATCCCCAGTGGTGCACAGTGACTGCTCTCACACTGCTCTGAGAGCCTCAGGTTTTCTGTAGCCAAGACTCCAGTCCCCTTCCCCATTTGACCATAGCCATTTCCCTTTTTTCTAATTACATAATGTGCTCCAGCAAGAGTTGTTGTTTGAGGAGGGCATTCTTAAAAAAATGAAACTGGCCGGCTTAGAGCACAAGGCCAGAGGTCCTCCTGGGAGCACGCGAGGCCTTCGCCATGCCGGCCTCACTCACCCCTGCCTCCTTGCCCCCTGATCCCCCCGGCATCCCCTTATGCCCACTGCATGTGCTCAACTACTCTGGAATCATGAGGGGCACCGTGCTGTTCCCAACATATGTGCGATGACTTTGTTATTTTGAATATGCTCTCTGCTCTGCCTGGAGCGGCCTTTCTTGTCCTCTCCTCTCCCAGAGTTCCCACTCACCCTGCAGAGGCAGTTCAACTGTCCCCTCCTGCAGAAGGCACGAACCTTCCCTACATTCCCCACAGGCAGATGCTTGGCTGCCTCCTCTGTGCTCTCTCTGGACCCTGGGCATATCTTGATGGTAGCCCTGGCCACAGAGATCTTTGTTACTTGTCTTCCTGCCCTCCACTAGCTTATGAGTGACTTACGGACAAGATTTGCATCTCATTTGTTGCTGTGTTCCCAGTACCTAGCGAAGTACATGACCCCTAGAGCTATTCTATGTCATGATGTAAAGCAACACCATTAACTAACAGTCAGTCAACAAATATGTGCTGGAAAAGCTAAGTGGGTCAGATGAATATGAGGTGGGGTGCAGGGCCAAGGAGGAACAGGACAGGGGAAGAGGTTTAGGGGCTTCTGGGGCTGTTTATTCTGGGCTGCTGGCAGTTGAACTCAGAGCACACATGTTTTTGAGTATAATTTTAGTAGAATTTTAGGCCTAGGACAATACATCCCTTAGGAAGGCTGGGCCTACTCCCTGTGCCCTTTGTGTAGTTCTAACTGGGACACTTGTGAGAAAGGACTACTGCATATGTCCTACCTGCTAGGATAACGCCATGCCAACAGTCCTAATAGCTAGTACCTGAATTGGGCTTTGCCCTTTTGCCTAAATGAGCTCACTTAATGCTCACAATAACTCCTGTCACTTGGCAGGGCAGGGGTTATTGTTACCCACATTTTACAGGTAAGAAAACAAGCCCTGTGGCTAAGAAACAGCAGAGGCAGCACTTGAGTCATGTCTTCTGCCTTCCAATCCCATCATTTTCTCATGCAGCCTGACCTTCTTATGATCCATGTGCTTTGGGGAAGACATGAAGATGGAGAAAGAGTGAAAGAGTCAGAGAGACAGGGAGTTTCCAACCTCATAACGCACCCTATGTAATTGACACATCATAGTTGAATGTGCTCAAAGAAAAGACACCACATTCTTTGTGTTTGTTTGAGATGGATTTTCACTCTTTTGCTCAGGCTGGAGTGAAGTGGCACTATCTCGGCTCACTGCAACCTCCGCCCCCAGGGTTCAAGTGATTCTCCTGCCTCAGCCTCCTGAATAGCTGGGATTATAGCTGCCCAGCACCATGCCAAGCTAATTTTTGTATTTTTAGTAGAGACAGGGTTTTGCCATGTTGGCCAGGCTGATCTCAAACTCCTGACCTCAGGTGATCTGCCTGCTTTGGCCTTCCAAAGTGCTGGGATTACAGGCATGAGCCACTGTGCCCGGTCACACATTCTTCTTCTTAATTTAGTTTTTTTTTAATTGGCATATAGCCTACATACCACCGAATTCACCATGTTCAAAATGTAGAGTTCAGTGAGTTTTTAGTATATTGGCAAAGTTATGCAACCATTACCACCACCTAATTCCAGAACATTTCTATTAATTAATTTCTAATGTTTTTGTTTTTCAGATTCCAATAATGAGAGACCCTGGGTGGATTCGAAATGTATGGTCTTCAAACATTAACGTGAGTGCCGCTGTGATAGAATGTCGTTGTTATGCTTTTACATTTTAAGATTAGAGAAAATACTCCATGTCCAGCTGTGGTTTGTCGCCATGGCTATCTGCAGTCTCCAAGGCAGGCCTATTCCTTTCCGCTGATGCTTTCAGAGATTGCCCGCAGCACTTGCTGGATGCTTGATTAGCTCCCCATGGAGCTGTGAACATTTTGGCTGGTTTCTAATCTCTTCTTCCTGAGATGAATCCTCCTCCAGGCAGAGAAAGGAGTTTGTCACCTCCCTGATTAAAAAGCCTTCAATGGCTCCCCAGTGCCAAGAGGAAGAGGTCTGCATTCACACTCATGTCATTGGTTGCCTTTACTGGACGATCCTTACCGCAAATGCAGTTGCACATGACTAATGAGAGCCCTTGCCTCACGCCCTGAGCCCCTCAAGGCCCTTCCCCAGATTCTGCCTCTTCCTCCCACCGCAGCCTCTTTGCCTTGCACCTGGTTCCCAGGCTTTGGTGCAGCCCCTTCAGCATCTCTGGGATTGTTTTTCATGCTTTGCTCTCTGTCTGCCCCCGAGGCTGTCTTTTTGGCTCTTCCTAGACCCCATGTTCCACAGCCCAAAGGCCATCACTACCCTCACTCCTCAAACTCTCTGAGCCACTGTTGTTTGGGTGGGGGGATATTTTGTTTACACCCTCCCTCGCCCCACTCCCAGAGGTGGTCCCAAACTCTGTCTCCCGTTCCTTTCTCCTCGGGCCTTCACCCTGCCCTGGAGCTATAGCTGAAGCTTCAGGGGCATCATGTAATTTGCTACAGGCCCACAGATCTTACCCCTGAGATGCTTCCACTGTGGGGAAGAGGCTGGAGGCAGCGTGTGTGGATAGGGAGGTTCCAGAGGGGCTGTGGAATGATCCAGGGTAGAAGTGATGACGCTGGAATGCTTAGTGTCCCTACTGTGGCCTGGTCCAAGCCTTGTGGCTACGGAACAAAAGTAACACTTAGTCTCCACCCTCGAGGAGCCCACAGTTAGAAAGGGACACTGAAACAGAGTGTGGACTAAGGATTTGCAGAGGACACCTGAGGCTCAGCGCGGCCGCAGGCAGAGTGAGAGGTTCGTCGTTGAGACGAATCCAGAGGCGTCAGTGACATGGATGAAGAAGGCTGCAAGGAAGGCCTGGCCTGGGCACTCTGTGAGGAGCAGAAGTTTTATTTCCAAGGGGATTGGCAGGGACTGGGGCCAAATGGAGGCCAGGAATCCTGAGGAGAGAGCAGTTAGTGGCAGTTATGCCTGGAGGGAGAGAAGCTCCGCTCTGTGAGAAGGTGCAGGAAATTGAAGTAAGTGACCCCCTTCACCTGTGGGTGGGAGCGCAGGCCACATAGTCATGGAGGCGGCCTCGGGCAGCTTCCCGTGGTTCAGTCCCATTCTCCAGACTGTGGGGCAGGAGCCCATGGCTACCATGTTTCCACCCCAGCTTCTGGCCCCACGTGCAGGACACACGAGAGGCAGGTAAGGAAAGGCAATCCGCTGGCCTCCATCCCCACCCTGCACAGAGCTGGGCTCCCAGCAATACAGGGAGCTCAGGACGGGAGGCGCCAAGCAGGAGGCTCCTGCTTCAAAGGTGAAATTACAGAAAGCGTCCGCCATCCATGGTAGGGGTGTTGGATCAGGAGTGCAAAATCTGGGCCATGGCTCTGCCACTTACAGCATGTGTGACATTGAGCAAGTTACCTGACTTCTCTGAGTTGCATTCCACATGCGTACAGCAGGATTTCAGTGAATCCTGAGCAGAAAGTGCTTGCTGTCCACCATGGGCCTCATGGGAGAGGAGAAGTAGGGCTTGTATCAGCTTGTGTGGGTGGGGGGTTCAGAAGCAATTTCAGAAAAATGCTTCCAAGAGAAGGTGAGTGTTCTGCAGGGTATTGAAAGAGCCATACCAGTTGGCCAAGCACAGAGGTAAGAAACAGCACAGTGTCTTTGAGATTTGGGGGATGTGATTGGAAGAGGGGATGAAAATGGAGGAGGAGGATGGGTACCGATGACCAGGAGGCCTCGTCTGCTTTTCTGAGGACCTTGAACTTTATCCTACAGGTAATGGTATACAGGGGGCCGGGGCAGGTGGATTGAAAGGCCCCAAGCAGGCAATGTCCCCTCCAGATCTGCAGTCCTGTGAGAGTACAGCTATAGGGGTGGACCTGGAGGCAGGGGGGCAGCTTGGGGTCCACTGTTAGCCTGGCTGAGTGTGAACTGCTCATGGAACTTCCCAAGGCAGGTGACCAGCTGGCAGTTGGATGCATGGTCTGGAGCCAAGGGACAAGGTCTGGGCTGGAAACACCGAACTGCAGTCCACAGTGGACGGTGCGGATCAGGTGTGCAAGGTGGACAGACTCACGCTGGAGGGCGCATGGCATGGGGAGGTGGCTGGGGCATCAGGCAGGCTTCCAACCCACACCTCTCCTTCTATCCCGGCATTGATCATTGTTGTGTCCCGCTGTCCGCAGAAGGTAGGTTCCTAAATTCCAGGAATGTTTAGTAATGAGAAAACCAAAAATGAGGAGGAAGGGCAATAGGGGCGAAAGTAAGACTCAAAGTCTCTCTCTCCTCCTGCTCTCCCTCTCCCTCTCGTTCACTCTCTCTCTCCCAGTCTCCTCTCTCTCTCTGTCCCTCTCCCTGACACTGTCCCCCTCTCTCCCTCCTTCCTAGTGACTGTGCCACTGTACTAGGCACTGGGGACACAGTGATGAGTGTGTCATGGTTAGTCTTTTCCTTCTGGAGTTCACCAAGCAGGGGAGGGGGTAGTGGGATCATAATGATGGTGCCGTGTGTCAGGTGCTATGACAGGGTTGCCTGTGGACTCGTGAGTGCAGAGAAGCCAGCGATTAATTCTCCATGGACTGGAGACATGTTTGAGGGAAAGTTTTTCTAAGAGGTCAAGCTCTTGGTTTGAAGAATCTAGCTGTGAAATACAGAAACTCAACGAAATACACACTCACCAACCCACCTCCCCCGGCTCTATCCCCAAACAAGATTCAAGACAGCAAAAGACCTGGAATGCTGGGACAAATTGCTACACCAGAAGCAACACCATTCACGTTGTGCCTCCCTCTTGGCTGATGTGTACTTTGATTGCGACATTTCTAATAAGAACAACAATTCCCAGAATTCTAGCTTATCCTGGCCCAGTTACTGGAAACCATATTTTGCTTATTTCTTTTATTTCTTGTCTTTAGGTTGGGAAAGGACTGGACCTAAATTTTAGTTTTCTTGGAGGGAGCATGTTTTGTCGGGGGAGGAAGTGAAACTTTGTCTAGATTTACATTTATTTTTGAAACATGTGATCAAAGCGATTTATGTGGCTGGTTCTATAGAATCAACTGGGAAATACTGGCTCACAATGAAGGCCGCAGTCTCCTGTTCCTACCCAGTTAATTGATGCGTCTTTGCACATTGCCCTGTGGATTCACACCTGATAGAGGAGGGTCTGGCTGATTCTACAGAGCATCAAATGCCAATGATCTTCTTTCTCATAATCTAGCATTTATGTGTAATCTCATCATATTTTAGTTTGTTCTATGTTCAGATACTGCCTTACTTGTAAAGAGTTTTCTTGGCGGGGAGAGATATGGGGGGTGTTTTTCCTGGAGGTTATATTTGCCTCTCTTTTTTATTGTTAGAAGAAATACCACTACCTGCCCATCCCCCCACCCTCCAAACACAGAATGTCCTTAAACTTTGACATTAGCCTATCACGTGGAAATCATCGCATTCTTTATTTTTAAGCCTGTAACCTTGTTACCATTGGAATCTATTCCTTCTATTTGGACGACCATATTTTTCATATGGCTTTTAGAATTTTTAAAAAAAATTATTTAGCAAATCTTATATACCACAAATCAGGTGACAGGTTTTTTTTTTTCTAAGAGCATTAGAAATAATAACTCATTTATTCCTCACAACGGCCTTCTAAGTTGGTCCCATTATGATTTCTGTTTGAGAGCTGACAAACCAAGCACAGAGAGGCTGAGTCATTTGCTCAAGGTCACACAGCTAGAAAGTGGCAGGGTTAGAATTCAAACCCACAGATGTCCAGAGACCTTGTTCTTAAGCACTATTCTACCTCTACAAGAAGTTGCTCTCTTTCAGTAGTTTCTAGTTCTTTCCATTGCTTCCTTGCTTTTAGTGCCTTTATCACACTCTCTAGTTTCCCCAGACTGACAGCTCCCTGTGTAGGTAACCCTGTTTTCCCAGGACCTCTCTCCAGGAGATCTCTCTCTTCCTGCTTGCTCCTAAGTCCTCCCACAGAGCTGTCCTCTTGGGAGGTCCTCACTGGAGCCACTGTGACCGGATTGCTATTTTCTTCTTTCTTAGTTTCCTCTTTTACAATAAGCAAAAGCTGGAGTACATTTCCAGGTAACCTCTCAGGAAAAGGGGGTCAGGATATATATATATATTTGAGATGGAGTCTTGCTCTGTCGCCCAGGCTGGAGTGCAGTGGAGCGATCTCAGCTCACTGCAGACTTCATCTCCTGAGTTCAAGTGATTCACCTGCCTTAGCCTCCCGAGTAGCTGGGATTACAGGTGCCCACTACCATGCCCAGCTAATTTTTTTTGTATTTTTGGTAGAGACAGGGTTTCACCATGTTGGTCAGGCTGGTCTCAAACTCCTGACCTCAAGTGATCTGCCTGCCTCTGCCTCCCAAAGTACTGGGATTACAGGTGTGTGGAGATATACTTTGAATGCTTGCATGTCTTAATCTCTAATTTGGCTTTACATTTGAGTTGGGTTGAATTTAGAATTTGAGGTTGATGTTCAGTTCTCACAGAATTTTGTACACATTGTTCCATTACCTTCTAGCAGCAAATGTTCCTTCTACGCCTGTCTGGCTTTGGTTTCTTTGTAGGTGAGCTTTTATCTTATTTTTTCCTACTGGAAGCTTTTAGGATCTTCTGCTAACTCTTTGTGTTCTGAAACTTCACACTGATGTGCCTTGAGGTAGCCGTTTTTCATTCATCTGCTCAGAACTTAGTCTCTTGGGGGACAATTCCCTTCTCCTCTAATAGATATCAGCTGATGAGATATTCCGAGAGATGAAAGGAAAATGGAAAAACAAGCAAAGGGTGGTGGCTAAGGACGCAAGGAGTGGTTCTCTATCTCTTTTATCTTCTATTGCCCGACTTTTTTGGTCTGTGATTTGGCAGATTTTATAAATTTCACTTTCTATTGTTATTATTTTCATAATCCAAATTGTTTACTTTTCAAACTTCTTTTTTTGTTCTCTAATTATTTCTTCTTTACAGCATTATTCTGTTTTTGTTTTATGAATGAAATAGCAACCCAAATCTGAGCTTCTGATCTGGGAATTTTTTTTCCTAGTAATTTCTCTTCTATTCCCTTCATTATTTTTATTTATTCTGGAATTGTTTCCCCTGTTTGTTATTTTTCCTCTTTCACATTGCAGGGTTTCCTCAAATGCCTGGCACTTTGTGGTTGTTTTTATTTAGCATGAACAGGATAAAAAGCTTGCCTGGAAGATCCAACTGGTAGAGTTCATTCTGGAATAAAAAGTCCAGGAGCTGGCTGTTATCTGGGGCTCCTGAGGCCAGTGCCTGCTTGAGTTCTGTAGGCAGATGGGCCCCTCCCTCACTGAAGCCCCCTTTGCAGGAAGTCCAGGGTATAGCTTGCTCTATGTTATTTTAGTCAGACTTTCCCTTTGCTTTCACTTTCCAAATTTGATGAAGTATCTTCTCCATTGAAGATGCCCCTCCTGTTCTTTACATTGCTGTGAGTTTTAAATTCTGAAGTTTCCTTGAAATTTAATGAGTTATCTGGAGTAAACGGAAAATAAATGCATGTTTGTCTCTTGCTCCGTCTGGCATCTGCCCTGGGGTTTTCTTCCTTGCCTAGCATTGTTAATGGAGCTCTTACGCAGGTGCCCCTTAACAGTCACTGAGCTCTTATCTAGAAATGCACTGTGGTGGCTGTTATAACCAATTGCTTCTTTTTTTTTTTTTTTTTTTAAAGCATGAATCATTGTGGCATGGATTAGCGACAGGCACTAGCACAATCAGATACAACAATAATGCATTTAATTGGAATCGTATACAGAATGGTCATTTTTTGTTCAGTGAATTCTGAGTTGTGAATAGAAACGTTGTATGAATGGTGCATTTTGGTGTATATTTCCAATCCTCCCTTTTATCATTCCCTTCTCCCACCCCAGTGGGCAGCTTGCTCCGACTTGCTTGTCCTCCTTTCTCTTGCTGGAGACATTATATATTTACTAGCTCTTGTATTCCTAGACTACAGAAGTCTCTCTTAATTGTTTACCCCTACTGTGCCTTGCATCCTAAAATGGCCCACAATAAAGGCAGTGATACCTTTAACACCAGTATCTGCCTAGTTCATTTATTTTTATGATGATGAGTATATTTTAATTATAGTTTATTATTTTTATTATGATGAATATCTTTTTGCAACCAGACATGACCCATGATATGGTATTTAAGCATTCATTTAAAAATTTTTGTTGAGCACCTATTAAGGGCCAGGCACTGCACTAGATACTTAAGCAGAAAAGGTCTCTTCCCTCCTATAGCATCTGTCTGCTGGGAAGTAATTCTACAATAATTGTATGCACAAATGGAATGCTTTAATATGTAACTACTTTGAATAAAAGATATGTGGAACAGCCAGGGTGTCTAACAGGGAGAACTGACATAGCGGGGGAGGTTGATGATGCTCGAACTAAGGTTGAAGAATGAGTGGCTGTTGACCAGGTGAAGAAGGGGGAAGATCCATGTTGAGGCTGAGCTTGCACAAAGCCCCTGTGGTAGAAGGGAACAGAGCAAGCATGAAGAAATGGAAGCAATGCAGTGCGGCTTAAGCTTAGACCTGGGGAGAAATGGTGGAGCCAGGTCAGCAGTGGCTGCCGACATGTGGTCAGATGTTGGATGCTGGAGCTGGAGCAGTGTGTGTGTCTGGCAGAGTGATGTGTGTCTTTCTGAAGCTCTCTGGCTGATCCAGCTGTCTCCCGAGGATGCTGCAGCTGAGTTGAGCAAAGACCAAGCAGATGTACGGTGTCAGGTTAGGCATATGAAGCAAGGTGCGAGAGAAGAGAATTCAGACTGAGTAATGTTAGGACAGGGCGAGTCCTTGTCTGCCCACGCCCTGCTCTCTGACTGCCTCCCTCTCTTCCATTTGAGATTCCAGAAACTCCCAACTGATTCCTTATCTAGACTGTGCTGTACTCTGCTTAGAACTCCCTCCAATTGGGTTAGCTGTGCCTGAATCTTCACTTCCACGTCCCCAGGGGAGGGAGAGGAGAAAATATTGGGCGGGATGTTACCTATTTTAAAATCAGGTGAATTCGCATTAATTCCTTCTTATGAAATGATATCAATATCCCTTGAGATGAATAGAGATGCGCTGGGGTATCTTGGACCTGAGATTGACAGTTACTGTACTGCATGCGTGTGTGTGTGTGTGTGTGTGTGTGTGTGTGTGTGTGTGTGTGTGTCAGGGGTGAGGATGCAAGATGATCTGTGCCTGTGAAGTCACATCATAGAGATGTTAATTATAGGCCATGGCTAAAATGTGTCCTGGTGGTCCTCTGTTTCCCATTGTGTCACTGTCCAGTGTAAGGACCGAGTTCCCCAGGTGACTTGTGCAGGGTCTCATAGTAAGGGACAGAGAACTAACCAGAACCCAGGTCCCCAGTTCCTCACACCCTGTCCAGCACACCCCAGACTCCAGAAAGACTTGTGGGATTTTTTTTTAACTGGGTCTCTATCCTCACTGTTCTAGGAGGAAAAAACATTGAGTTTGGTTGAGGCCCAAGGCAAATTTAATGTGGAGATTGGGGACAGACACTTTTCCTCTGGTGACTTGGGTCACCTCATGGACAGAGCCTGATGTCTGGCCCATGGGCAAATCTACAACTCAGAACTTTCAGACAGAGTCCTCCTGTCCCTTCTCTTCTCATGGGACAGAAGCCCTGGTCACGTAGAAGGGTGACACAAACCTCCAAATGTGGAGAGGATTCTCTAAGCAGGGTGGGGAGGGGAGAGGAGAGGAGCTAATGCCAGCTCAGCACAGAGAAGTTCAATGGCAGCTCTCAGAAGCCAGACTTGCCCATCTCTGCAACAACCATCATTCATCTGTGGTTGCTCAGGGTGGGAGACAGGAAGCTTAACACAGAATTATCCAATTGGTTTTGCAAGAGATACAGTAGTTCAGTTTGGAAGGCAGAGAAAAAGAAGGAGGGAGCTATTTCATTGATTTATGGCTGGATGGAGCATTGAAGGAATCTAGCTCCATTTGCTAAGTCATGTTCAAGACCCCTCCACAGCCCCTTTCCAATTGAGGGTGCAGCTGGGGGCTTCCAGATCACCTCTACGCAGGCCTGACTTACTCATAGGTCCTTTTCATGGTGATCCCAAATCCACCCAGCTCCATCCTTCCTAGCCTTTGAGATTACAGACAAATGTAATTCTTCCCCTGAATGCCAGCCCTTAGACACTAGGCCTCCACATCTCCATCTCCCATTCCTCACACTGGGTTTCCTTTTGCAGATTAAGCAGCTTCAGATATCACACTTAGACCATGGTTTGGTCACCCCTTTTGTCCTGGGTCATTCTCTTCCAAACAGGAGATCCATCATTGTCACGGCTCTGCAGTGTAATGGCCAGTAGGGACTGCAGTTTGTCAAGGGTGGTATGACCTGCAGAGAAGCCCAGGGGAAATGAATTCCTTTGTTTCAGGCTAATAGGTGTGTATTTGTGCAGCCCAAGATCACAGGGTTGGGAAAATGCAAAGCTACATGATCTTACTCTACTAAGGCTGGCGGGAGTGTTACATAAGCCAGAATCTTGTAGCCCATTGAACATGCAGGCTTCAGTAACACCCCTTTCAGTCTCAGTAGAATACTGTACACTTTTGAGGATGAGAATCATGATTTCAGAAGCAAGTGGATGTTTTTTAGCTCCCAAATTTTAATAAGGAAGATCTGAAAATACTACAGAAGAGCCTAGCACTTAGAACAAATGATTGGTGAATATTTTAGGAACAATCACACTCTCATATAGGACAACTGAATGTGCTAGATTAGCACATGACTTAAAAGGTGCTGTTGCATAATAAAAAGTCAACAAAGCATGTGCAAATCCCACGCTGTTACTAGAACCTACTACCCTGCCTTTGAACATTAGAGCATACTTTGTAGGACTCTGCAGTGAACACACATCTATCCAAGGTACCATGAACTAGAGACAAAAGAAAAAAAATCTCTTCCCTGTAAGAATTTACCTTCCAAATGTGGCTTTTCCATCAAAGTTCAAAAGCACTGTTCAAACTGGGGAGAGGCAAGGCAGGTTTTGTATGCCTGGAAGATCAAGAGAGTTGGCTTGACTCTGTGTTTTCCCAAAGAGTGAGATGACCCATGGTTCATGAACTGATATTTCTAAGTTGCACCTTCTTTCCTGAATGTAGAGATTTGGTACTAGGCATAGTGATTGTGCCTAAGTCTTGCTAATGAGAAGAAAACCCCCTTGAATCCTAAGCATCTATGTAAAGACTGGGAAGGCGGGCTGGGTGCAGTGGCTCATGCCTGTAATCCCAGCACTTTTGGAGGCTGAGACGGGCAGATCACGAGGTCAGGAGATCGAGATCATCCTGGCTAACATGGTGAAACCCCATCTCTATTAAAAATACAAAAAATTACCTGGGCATGGTGGCTGGCGCCTGTTGTCCCAGCTACTCGGCAGGCTGAGGCAGGAGAATGGCGTGAACCCGGGAGACGGAGCTTGCAGTGAGCTGAGATCTCGCCACTGCACTCCAGCCTGGGCAACAGAGCGAGACTCCCTCTGAAAAAAAAAGAGACTGGGAAGGAGGAGCACAGGGATGTTCCTTGCTGTTCCGTGAAAAGTTTGGGCTCCCAGGGTCACACCTGAGCAGACTTCTGATGCTTAAGTGGCAGTTCCATCATATTTTAAAGGATTCCATTCTGTTGAATAACTTTCCATTTTAGCATGTTAAAAACTTCTAATTTTAGTTGATTGGACAATAATTCAAAAATTGTATACTGTAATTATTCTTCATTTTATCTCTCTGATTTAGGCATCTTGATGCCTTTTTTATTCAACAACATTTATTACAAAAATCTCAATATCAAACTTAGCCGAGATACCATCAAATTTCCATATTCCCTCCCTCAATGTCTTTCTCAGTTTTTTGGAGTGCAGCATTCTGAATTAAAAATCTCTTCTAGTTAGCTTGCTATGAATTCAGAAATCAGTGGAGAAATTTGATTTCGTGAAAGAACCTGCCCCTGCTGTAATCCAAGCCTTCTATCGGCCTCTGGTGTGGACCAGGCTCAAGTCTGAATCCAGGGCTGGTCTCCTGCGTGCCCCCTCCTGAAACCTGGCTCACTCCTCTTCATCTCTTTCTCTCCTCCTCTGAACACCACCAAATGCTGATGTCATAGTCCCCGTGGGGGGCATCAGAATCCTGCCGCCCAACAATGGCCTTTCCCAGGAGAGCCCATGCGCAGGGCATGGATGAAAGCAAGCTGGAGAGGGAGAGAGGATGGGAGGCGAGGAGGCAGCCTGAGGGAAGGAACAGGAGGGAAGAGAGATGAAGGGCAAGACCGGGGCCAGCCATGCCTGTCCTAACAGCAGCCACCCAGCAGTGGCCCAGCCTGCTGAGAACTAGAAAATCAGAAGAAAAAGGAGAATCCACCAGGAGACCCAGGTTCGCATGAGCAGGGGCCTTTATCTGAAGTTAATGGAAGCTGAGCCAGGTCCTGACAATGTGCCTTCTGATGGGGAGATGAGACTTTCCTCTGAAAGCTAAGGTAAAGGGCAGGCAGGGAGGGTGGGGAATCACGATGCTTCCAGAGCTTCCCGGTGACACAGGTCAATGTGTCCCCCATCGGGCTTCTCAGGCCCTGGCTTGCTGAAGGGGGCAGTGACTGGAATTTGGGGAGACTGGAGCTGTGCAACAAGACAGGGAGTTTTGATTCTGTTTGCTGGTTCGCTCTGGGCTTTTAGACAGGTCTTGCCAGCTTTTCAGTGTAACTGGATGCTTTCTCAAGGAATTCTTGTAAGAATGATAAACTATGGTTCACATTTATAAAATTCTAATGTAGACAATAATTTTCCCCCCAATATTTTATTAACATGGGGAATGCGTGGCCGGGCGCGGTGGCTCACACCTGTAACCCAGCACTTAGGGAGGCCGAGGCGGGCGGATCACAAGGTCAGGAGATCGAGACCATCCCGGCTAAAACAGTGAAATCCCATCTCTACTAAAAATACAAAACATTAGCCGGGCGTGTTGGCGGGCGCCTGTAGTCCCAGCTACTTGGGAGGCTGAGGCAGGAGAATGGCGTGAACCCAGGAGGCAGAGCCTGCATTGAGCTGAGATTGTGCCACTGCACTCCAGCCTGGGGGACAGAGCGAGACTCCGTCTCAAAAACAAAAACAAAAACAAAAACAAACAAACAAACATGTGGAATGCTAAGGAATTGCCATTAGATGCATGGGCCAGCCTGTGATGTTGAGAGTATTTTCAGGGACAGGGAACTCCCCAAGTTGGATCCTGACAGGAATCCTCAGAGCCTAATTCCTTTTAGAGGGATGAGAACAATAGGTACCGGAACTTCAATTCCTAAACCAGGACTCAGAGAGAGCCCACAGCATGGTTGGAAGTAGGCGACATCTGTCTCTGGGCCCCCTAACCCTTTCCTGACTTGATCCTCTTTCCCTTTCCATGGGAAAGAGGGGTCCCTAGAATTTTATGTAACCCTGGGAACCATTAATCATGCAAAAACAATCAGCAAACACACATTTATAGGAAGCGCAATTCCATTGGGATTTTAAAGTCATGGATTTTTTTGTTTGTTCTGTTTTGTTTCTGAGTTGGGAAAAGGTGGCTGTCAGAGACTTTTTGAAACAGCCAGCCAGTGTGGTCTGACACTCTGAGGCTCCTGGCAGGGAAACACGTGGGCACAATCCCGGAATCACTTTTTTCTCCCTGGATTTCTGGCCCTTCTTTTATGGATGAATGTGGAAACAAATGAAGATTCAGCTTTCCTAAATCCAAGAAGGACATTTAAGAGATAAAGCTACAAGGACTCTCATCTCAAAGGGCGGGATCAGGAGTTAACGCACGGCAGAGAGGCTACTGTGGCCCCACCTTGAGCCTGTGTGGTGACTGGCAGCGTTATTGCTGGAGTGATCCATTCTCATAGACTCAAGATGATGGAAATGCACTGTCCCTTCATCAGTTCTCCATGGCAATCAATTCACAGCCATAGCTTGACCTGATCACCAAGCATCTGGACCATCATAGAAGCCCTTTCTACCTCAGCTGCTGCCCGGCATATGAAATGTCCGCCATAGCCAGATTCATTTAATAAAACAGAGGTTTCATAATGTTTTACTTCCTGCTTAGAAGCTTTTAATGGCTCTCCCGGACCTTCAGGACAAAACGCTAACTCCTTAGGCTGCCATCTGAGGCCATGACGAATCGGTCTCCATCTGTCTTCCCATATTAACACCTCAACAAACCCATAGGGCTGTGTGATAACCTGCAAGTGAATCCTAAACACGTTTTGAACTTTCCCATTACCTAAGGTTTGCTAAACGTGTTGCTCCACTGTTACTCCCAGCCACGCTCTCCCCCGCCCCCCATCTCTTCTCTGCTCATCTGTCCTGGTTGTCGTCCAAAGCTCCTCCAGGTCTGGATCAGATCCCATCTGTTTAAGAGCAGCTTCAGCCTCTCTTCCCACCCCAGCACCCTCTCAGCCCTCCTCCCCCTCCCAAACTCCTCGAGCCTCTGGGACTTTAGCAATCATGTGATAGTAGGCATATGTGGCAATGTTGAGCCAGTTATTTTTTTAAAATAAGCCATAGAATTGATTCAAATGTTGCCAGTTTTTCTACTAGTGTAGGTTTTCTGGTCCAAGATCTGATCTACGATCCTCAATGTAGTGAGTTGTCATGCCTCTGCAGTCTCCTCCAAGCTGTGACAGTTCCCTATTCTCTCCTAGTCTTTCATGATCTTGACACTTTTGAAGCGTGCTTGTCAGTCATCTTGTTAGAGGGTCCCCCAATTCAGGTTTGTATAATGTTTTCACGATTATGCATTATTGGGATGAAGGCCACAAAGGAACGTGCCCTTTTCAGTGCCTGTTGGGCACATGGTGCAGACATGCCATGCTGGAGTTGTCAACCCTGAACACTTGATTAAAGGGGTGTCTCCCAGGTTTTCTACTGTAATTTCCCTTTTAATCGCTAGAAATGTTTGAGACTATGTTAATATCCCCTCTTTTCTTTACCTTCGTCCATTCGCCTTAGCTTCCCTTAGTGGATCCTGCTGCAGTAGTGATTAATGGGGCATTCTAATGGTGATTTTCTGTTTCCCTCTTTCTTTCTACATGTACTAACTGGAATTCTTCTTTAAGGAAAAGTAGCGTCTTCACCATTCATTGTTTTATTCAGTTATTACTTACATCAGTATGGATTTATATATCTTAAAATTTATTTCGGTTCTAATCTAATTTCCTGTGTTCTTTCAACATCTTTGCTCGCTTGTTTCTTTTCTTTACTTTTTGGCACCTCCTTACCATAAGATCCTCCAGGCTCATGTGGCATTTTGTCTACTCTGGCCCTGGAATCAGTCAGTTCTCCAGTGACCCTTTTTATTGGAAAACCAAGACGTGGGGTGCTTGTGTGCTCACTGCTAGTGGGGTGTCACTGTTTCTAGTCCCTCTCAGTGGAAAAGAGAAAATATATTTATTATAGGAACCATGAATACACACATGCACCTCTACTTTATCCATACATCCGTCTTATCTATTATCTTTCTATATTTTAAAGTCCACGAGTTTATATCTGACTCCAATTCAGACCACAAGGTACATTCAGTTTCCCACTTTCCTTATTTGCAACTTCTTTCTCCAACAGTGAGAAACTCTGCTTCTATTATCTGAAATTGATTTGCTTATTTTTTCAATCCTAGTACCCAAATAAAGTACAGTTAGCCCTCCATATCCACCAGTTCCACATCCATGGATTCAACCAACCGCAGGTCGACAAATACAGCATTCGTGAGATGCAGAATCTGCAGATGCGGAGGGCTGACTTTTTGTATCCAGGGATTTTGTGGGTTTGCTGTACAGTTTTTTTGTCTTCTGCATTATGGCACCCAGTTGAAACACTTTTTGCCAGAGTCACTTAGGCCAGCTCCTTTCTACTCTGCTCTCCTTTGTGTGGTTATGAGATTCATGTGTGATACCGAGAGATTCACTTGTCAGTCTGCATGCCATCTTTACTACCACATCCCATTTGGTTTTTAACATTTATATAACAGTAATATTCTTCGTAGTGTAGCATTCTGTGAGTTTGGACCAATGCATAGAGTCATGTATCCACATCACAGTTCCGTGCTAATATTTAAGGTAGGTTTCCTGTAGACATTATACAGCTGGGTCTCGCTTTTTTATCCAATCTGACAATCTCTGTCTTTTAACTGGTATATTCATTGTGATTTTTGACATAGCTGGTTTAAATCCTCTATCTTACTACTTGTTTTATTAAAAAAAATTTTTAGACAGAGTCTCATTCTGTCATCCAGGCTAGAATGCACTGGCATGATCTTGACCCACTGTAACCTCCCCCTCCCCAGGTTCCAAGCAACCCTCCCACCTCAGCCTCCCAAGTAGCTGGGACCACAGATGCATGCCACCCCACCCAGCTAAGTTTTTGTATTTTTGGTAGAGATGGGGTTTCACCATGTTGCCCAGGCTGGTCTTGAACTCCTGAGCTCAAGCCGTCTGCCTCCCAAAGTGCTGGGATCACAGGTATGAGCCATTGCACCTGGCCTAGCTGTTTTATATTTGTGCTATCTGTTCTTTGTTTTTTTTCTCTTTTTTTCCCTTCACTTGGGTTAACTAAATACTTTTATAATTCTATTTTATCTCCCTATTGATTTATTCTATATATCTCTTAAATACTTTTTAGTGATTGCTCAAATACCTCTAATTCATATCTTTAATTATAATTTATCTTAAAATATGTATAAGTTCCTTGTAGATTCTGGATATTAGACCTTCATGAGATGAGTAGCTTGCAAAAATTTTCTCCCATTCTGTAGGTTGCCCGTTCACTCTGATGCCAGTTTCTTTTGCTGTGCAGAAGCTCTTTAGTTTGATTAGATCCCATTTGTCAATTTTGGCTTTTGTTGCAATTGCTTTTGGTGTTTTAGTCATGAAGTCTTTGCCTATGCCTATGTCCAGATCGAACAATGAGAACACATGAACACGGGGAGGGGAACATCATACACCAGGGCCTGTCGGGGAACGGGGGCAAGAGGAGGGAGAGCATTAGGACAAATACTTAATGCATGTGGGGCTTAAAACCTAGATGATGGGTTGATAGGTGCAGCAAACCACCATGGCACATGTATACCTATGTAACAAACCTGCACGTTCTGCACATGTATCCCAGAACTTAAAGTAAAATTTTAAAGAAGTGGAAAAAAGTATAATTTACCTTAAAATAATACTTATAACACTTTATGTAAAGGGGGAAGACCTTACAATCATATATTCCCAAGTCTTTCCTCCAATCCTGTCTGCTTTTACTTTCACATATGCAGTTAACATACAGAGCATTGCTACTGTTTTTGCTTTAGACCTGGGATTGGTAAACAATGACACATGGGCCATATCTGTTCTGGCACTTGTGTTGTAAATCAAGTCTTATTGGAGCAAAGTTATGCCCATTTGGTTATATCTTGTCCACAGCTGCTTTTGCACTATAATTAATGGCAGAGTAGAGTAGGTGCAACAGAGACCATGTGACCTGCAAAGTCTACAATATTTGCAGTCTGGCTCTCTTATGTGGTTTCTGATGAGAAGTCTGTTGTAATTCTAACCTTGTTCCTCTATATAATTTGCCTTTTCTCTGGCTGCCTTCAAGATGTTCTCTTTGCCTTTATTATTTTAATTTCAAATATAAAATTTTGTTTTCATTTAAATTCATTTTAATTTTATTTTAATTTCAAATAGAAAATGCCTCTGTGTGTGTGCATGTGTGAGTGTGTGCTGATATTTAACCTACTTGGTTGTTTGGTATTCTCTGGGCTTCTTGGACCTATAGCTTGGTGTCTGTAATTAATTTTAGAAAATTCTAGTCTATTATTTATTTTTAATTTATTTAGGCTATTATTTTAGGCTATTTAATAAGGGTATTAATTATTATTTATTCCACCCTACTCTTTCTCTCTTTCTCTTCTCCTCCTTAGATTCCATTTCACGTATGTTGACATCGACCCACAGCTCTTAGATGCCCCATTCCTGTTTGGTTCCTTTTTTTGTTCTCACTCTGTTTTCCTCTGTGTTTCAGTTTGGGTAATTTCTGTTACCTACCTCCAGCTTCAGTGATTCTTTCATCCCTGCACTGAGTTTCCTGAGGAGCCCGCTGAGGCCGTTGCTCACCTTTGTTAGGACAGTTTTGTTTCTGACATTTTGACTTGGTGCTTCCAGTTCTCTCCATGTCTCCTGTGAAGGTTTTCATCTGACCCCATCTACTGCACACCTCATCTCATCTGTTACATTGTATACCTTATGCAATTAGAGACATCAACGTATTAAGCATAATTTTCTTTTAAAAAGTCCATGTCTGATAGTTCCAGCATCTGTGTCATAGCTGAGACTAGTTAGTATTGCTGTCTCTTGGAAGTGTGTTCTTTTTGCCTTTTTCTTCACTTTATAATTTTCTCTTGAAAGCTGGACATCTTGTGTAGAACTGTAGAAATGAACATCATTTTTTCTTCCCTCTGGAAATGGTGCTGTTTCTGCTTTTTCTACGGGTAGGCTTTTGCTGTTGGGGGCTTGAGTTACTCTAGGTAGAAGTTGGGCTAGGTTTGAAGTTCATTGTTGCTATTGCTGCCCTCCATGCAGCACAGCCGTCACTTCCTGCGGAAGTACCTCATATTTTAGGGTGCAGTTTGGTTTGTCAGAGGAATACCTGCTTGACATCAGCTTTGGACCTACCCTCTGCACTACACCTTGGAGAGTGTCTTTCTGCATGTCACTCTCCTGTTCTGCTGCTCTTGTTCTAGTCAGCTCGACGATGTGAGGTGGGGAGGGGCAGAAATTCTCTGCTGTGCTGATTAAGACGCAGCGGTAGGCAGGCACCCTGCCCTTGGTTTTCAGATGGCTGACTTCCTCAGTGTTTTTGCTCCTGCAGTAGGTTTAGTAACAAACACAATTTAAAAAAATTATTTTAAGTTCCGGGATACATGTGCAGAATGTGCAGGTTTTTTACATAGGTATACATGTGCTGTGGTGGTTTGCTGTACCTATCAACCCGTTATCTAGGTTTAAGCCCTGCATGCGTTAAGTATTTGTCCTAATGCTCTCCCTCCCCTTGTCCCCCACCCCCTGACTGGCCCCGGTGTGTGTTGTTCCCCTCCCTGTGTCCATGTGTTCTCATTGTTCAACTCCCACTTATGAGTGAGAACATGCAGTTTGTTTTCTGTTCCCGTGTTAGTTTGCTGAGAATGATGGCTTCCAGCTTCATCCATGTCCCTGCAAAGGACATGAGCTCATTCTTTTTCATGGCTGCATAGTATTCCATGGTGTATATGTGCCACTTTTTCTTTATCCAGTCTATCATTGATGGGCATTTGAGTTGGTTCCAAGTCTTTGCTATTGTAAATAGTGCTGCAATAAACATACATGTGCATGTGTCTTTATAGTAGAAGGATTTATAATCCTTTGGGTATATACCCAGGAATGAGATTGTTGGGTCAAATGGTATTTCTGGTTGTAGATCCTTGGGGAATCACTACACGCTCTTTCACAATGGTTGAACTAGTTTACCACCAACAGTGTAAAAGCATTCCTATTTCTCCACAGCCTCGCCAGCATCTATTGTTTCCTGACTTTTTAATAATTGCCTTTCCAACTGGCCTGAGATGGTATCTCATTGTGGTTTTGATTTGCATTTCTGTAGTGACCAGTGATGATGAGTTTTTTTTTTTCATATGTTTGTTGGCTGCATACATGTCTTTTGAGAAGTGTTTAGTCATATCCTTTGCCCAGTTTTTGATGGGGTTGTATGGTTTTTTTCTTGCTTGTAAATTTGTTTAAGTTCCTTATAGATATTGGATATTAGACCTTTGTCAGATGGGTAGATTGCAAAAATTTTCTCCCATTCTGTAGGTTGCCTGTTCACTCTGATGTTAGTTTCTTTTGCTGTGCAGAAGCTCTTTAGTTTAATTAGATTCCATTTGTCAATTCTGGCTTTTGTTGCAATTGACAAGCACAATTTTTAAGTAATGATGAGTTTATGTAATATCTTGCAATATGTGCAACAACTTTGATGTGGTGTGAACATTTCTGTTATTTTGTTGTTGTTGGAGGTGGTGGTCGTGTGTATCATTAATACTATTGCCATTTGTTACCTATATTTATAACAGAAAGAAATACTGCATTTCAGTTAGAAGTTAGTGAAATTAAGATGTAATTTTCCCACATCCAAGTTCATGCTTCTGCTTTGTATCTGTGGACCCTTTGGACTTCTGGTTCAGAGCTATCTACTCTAGATTATAACATCCTTGAAGTCAGGGACTGACAGACAGACCTGGGCTTTATTCCCAGCTGTCTTTGTTTTCTGTGTGACATGTGTTTCCGCATCAGGTTGTAGAAATAATAATAGTACTTACCTAATGAAGTTGCTGTAGGATCAAAATGGTTAGATAATGTCTGCAAAGGGTTTGGAAATACCTATTCCAAAGCAGTATTCAATTAATAAATGTAAGCTCCTTTTGTAAATTGCTGTCAGGCCAAAGGACCACCTGATAAATGGCAATGTCATAATAAAATCCTGCTGGTTGGTGTCCAAGATGCATGTGTCTTGTGCCACATTACACTGTGGTGAAATATGCCTTATTACCGATACCTAAATAGATACTCCCTAGTTTAAAAAGAACAAAAGAGCTGGTCATTGTTCTTGTGTAGAACTTGAATTTCCTGATGGACTGTTCCAAAAACAATAACCAGAATTACAAGTGTCCATTTCTCTCTCTCTCTTTCTCTCTCTCTCTCTCTCTGTGTGTGTGTGTGTGTGTGTGTTTGTATGGGGGCCAAACCAAAACTTGTGAGGTCCCTCCGACCAATATTTCCACATATATTTGGAAGGAAAGTCATGGGGGAAAAGACTGGATGGGGGGAATTGCTGGGGTCAATACCTGGCTCTTCTACCTTAACAATTCCATTCCCACTCCCCAGAAATGTTTATTCTCCACTCAGAAAAATGCACCCCATGACCTGTCGGTTTAGCAACCACTTGATCTAATTTGAATATGTGTCCTATGGTTTCTACTCCCTTCCCCCTGCAGCTGATCCAAGTATTCCTTTTGAAACTAGATAGGGTGTTATTTCCAAGCAGGATTATGGGAAATAGATTTTCTATCTTGCTATGTTCCCAGGAATGTTTTAACACCTCATATACATTGGAGCCTGGGCAGATGAATCTGGTTTTAGTGTGGCAATATGAAAGTGTATGGACACAAAGACACACACACACCCCTAACACTAGTTGGCCTACACAATCATGCATTAGTATTGTCCTATACACACATAATAATTGTCCAGTTGCATGACTCTTTACTGTGTTTTCTTTCTCTCTCTCTCTCTCTTTTTTTTTTTTTTGACAAAGTCTTGGTTTTGCCCAGGCTGGAGTGCAGTGGCGTGATCTCAGCTCACTGCAACCTCCACCTCCTGGGTTCAAGCAATTCTCCTGCCTTAGCCTCTCAAGTAGCTGGGATTACAGGTGTGCACAACGACGCCTGGATAATTTTTGTATTTTTAGTAGAGACAGGGTTTTGCCATGTTGCCCAGGCTGGTCTTGAACTCCTGGCTTCAAGCAATCTTCCCGCCTCGGCCTCCCAAAGTGCTGGGATTACAGGCGTGAGCCACTGCACCCAGCTACTGTGCTTTCTTTCCAAGGACTGGAGGCCCACAGCCTTTTGGCACTCCCCGCAGAGCAGCACATTGTGAGCACCCAAGTTCCATTGTACAAAAAGCAACAATGAAAGGAATCCAAGAGATCTCCTTGACACAATCAAACTGAAATTCAATGCGATTAAATGTCTTGACAAAGTCACACAGCTAGTAAGGGGCAGGGCTGGGACACAAAGCCAACCTTTCTGATGTCAAATCCTATGTTCTTTCTCCCGTACCACACTTGATGATTCTACACAGGAAAGAGTATTGTGCATTTGGCCATGAATCAAAACAGACCAGTTTGTATTAAATTAGAGACCTTCATTCACATTGCAATGTGACATTTTGAAGCTACTGTTAGAGCATGAGGGACTCTAACCAATGACCAACTTTTCTTCTGTCCTCACTCATGCCCTTTGGGAACACATAGGATGAGGGATGGATAATAGTAATAATAACGAGCATGAGGGACTCTAACCAATGACCAACTTTTCTTCTGTCCTCACTCACGCCCTTTGAGAACACATAGGATGAGGGATGGATGATAGTAATAATAACGTGACAGAGAGAAACTCACCCTTTTTTATAGCCAAGCAAATACAACCCATTGTTTACATGTTCTGAAGATAAACCATAACTAGTCCTCAAGTAAGAGCACTTGACGGCACCCTTTATCCTTCTCAGTTCATCTTGAATTCACCTGGTAATCTGCATTAGCTAATTGCTTTTACCCAAGACCCAAGAGGGAAAAAAATCCATCTGGACAGGAGATAGTTTTGCATCTTGGAGCAAGTCTCCTGCCAGATAGGCTCTCTTTTACCTTCTCATGGAAGGTAGAAGATGGGGTGCTGTCTTCCCTGATGTTTACATTTCAAAGAGGCGGCCTCCAGATCTCTTAGGAAACACTCCTGAGTTTTACAGGTGGCCACAGGCTTATTTAGCTTTTCAAAAGATTTACAACATCTCAAAGGGACAGAGAAAGAATTTACAGTGACATGTATACTATAGTAAATGCTCTTAGAGAAGCGGGGGGAAGGCAGTCTCTTTCCCTTATTGCATGAGAGAGAATGCAAAAAAATTTTTTGATTTGTATTTACCCTTGCGTTAGAAAGGAACAGTTGAGCTACAGCTGCACAGCTCCTTTGACGAGACAGAAGGAACAAGGGATGCAGAGACCAGAAGGTTATTCAGAAAGTGTTCCTGGCTGGGCGCGGTGGCTCATGCTTGTAATCCCAGCACTTTGGGAGGCCGAGGCGGGCAGATTACCTGAGGTCAGGAGTTCGAGACCAACCTGGCCAACACGGTGAAACCCCGTCTCTACTAAAAATACAAAAATTAGCCGGGCATGGTGGCACACGACTGTAATCCCAGCTACTTGGGAGGCTGAGGCAGGAGAATTGCTTGAGCCTGGGAGGCAGAGGTTGCAGTGAGTCGAGATTGTGCCACTGCACTCCAGCCCGGCTGACAGAGTAAGACTCTGTCTCAAAAAAAAAAAAAAAGAAAGTGTTCCCATGGTACCCTTGGAGGGGGATAATGTTCCTCTTACATCTTTGATGCTCCTTTTAGGTGTATGTGGTTTTGTTAAGTATTATATTAATGTTATGCTTTAGGTTAAAGGAAAATTCAATTTTGCTTTCCTAAGTACACAGGAACATGTATTTGAATCTAGGAGATTGACAATAACTCTCCTAAGTGTCTTGTCCCTTTCCTGTGATAGCTTAGCTTAGCCAATCAACCCATTAGTCCTTCAACAAGTCTTCTGAGACCTTTCTGTGGGTCTGGCATACACTGGACATTGTCGAATAGGGGAAATGTGAGACGAATGAAGTCCTCAGAGTATAGTTACTCTCCTCACCAACCCCAGGTTCTAGGTCAACGATGAAAGGGGTTGTGTTAGGCTCTAGGCAACAGGCACGTGCCAAAGTGAATGGCTATATAGGCAAACAGCATTTACATTCTTCCCATGAAATGATATGATTTGTTAGCAAATTCAGTCTTTTTCTGCTTTCCTAATTCATTCTTTAGAGCTGATAAATGGTTATATCACTTAGCACTGTAGATTTTATCTTAACTGGGTTCAAAGGTCTATCTGCTGAGGCATTTAGTGGCTGAGCTATGACTCTGGGGGGCTGGCTCAGGTGTCCTAGTACTGTCACAGGTTGCACAGTGTCTTCTTTGCAGAAACCTGATTTTATTTGGAAGTCAGCTTCCCTCACTGAGGCCAGAAACTGATCACTCAGCTGACTGACACCTTAGCTTTGGGGTTCCAGTTTCTATGGCTGGTTGGTGAGCTCTGTGTTGGGGCAGCCTGGGGAAGAATTGAGCACTGGGGTGCCTTCAGTCTAGGTTGATTCTGTGGATTTGAAACCAATTTGATGCCCTTTAGGATGCGAGCATCTTTTCAGGTCTCTTTAGAATGCTGTCTTAGGTCAGGCTGCTAGAACACATATCATAGGCTGGGTGGCTTAAAAGACAGAAATTTCTATCTCATGGTTCTGGAGGCTGGACCTCTGCCACTGGGGTGCCGGCAGGGTTGGGTTCTGGTGATGTCCACTTTCCTTGGCTTGCAGACAGCTGCCTTCTCCCACTGTCCTCACATGACACAGAGTGAGCTCTGGTCTCCTCCTCTTCTTATAAGGGCACAAATCCCATCATGGAGGTCTTGCCCTCATGAGCTCATCTGAACTTAATCACCTCCCAAAGGCTCCACCTCATCATACCAGCACAGTGGGGACTAGGGTTTCAACAGATGAATTTTGGGGGGCACAAAGATTCAGTCAATAGCAGATGCATTTCTCAGTTGAAGCTAAAAAGCAATTCCAAAAATGTTTTCTTCTTTGGTAGATTCATCCGGTATACACTGCTATGACCTTGCCAATGATTGAAATACTAGAAATTTAGAAATATCCATTGCAGTCACTGTCCCCAGTCCCCTAAGTGGCCTCATTCCTGCCATCTCATCTATTCTCTTAGATTTGCCCCCTTCCCTTTGCAGCCCTCTCCATAAGCCAGCAGGTCCCTGCTCTGCTGTGGCTGGTGTCTGCTCTGATTGGCTCATGTTCATGGCATGCCTAATAGTTTGAATATCATCCCTGGGACTGGCAAAGGAGGCAGTGTGGACTACAAGGCTGGGGAAAGCTGGGAAGAAGGATGAAGCCTGGAGTGCTAGACACAGATGTGCTGATCTGAAGTGTATGCCAAAGGGCATCACTTTTATAGGGAAGTGGACCAGGAGGAGGGAGCGAGGTAATGTCAGATTAGAAGTGAGGGTGTGACATCTACAACCATCTGATCTTTGACAAACCTGACAAAAACAAGCAATGGGGAAAGGATTCCCTATTAATAAATGGTGCTGGGAAAACTGGCTAGCCATATGCAGAAAACTGAAACTGGACCCCTTCCTTACACTTTATACAAAAATTAACTCAAGAAGGATTAAAGACTTAAACATAAGACCTAAAACCATAAAAACCCTAGAAGAAAACCTAGGCAATACCATTCAGGACATAGGCATGGGCAAAGACTTCATGAGTAAAACACCAAAAGCAATGGCAACAAAAGCCAACATTGACAAATGGGATCTAATTAAACTAAAGAGCTTTTGCACAGCAAAAGAAACTAGCATCAGAGTGAACAGGCAACCTACAGAATGGGAGAAAATTTTTGCAGTCTACCCACCTGACAAAGGTCTGATACCCAGAATTTAAAAGGAACTTAAACAAATTTACAAGAAAAAAACCAAACAACCCCATCAAAAAGTGGGCAAAGGATATGAACAGACAGTTCTCAAAAGAAGACATTTATGTGGCCAACAAATGTATGAAAAAAAGCTCTTCATCACTGATCATTAGAGAAATGCAAATCAAAACCACAATGAGATACCATCTCACGCCAGTTAGAATGGCGATCATCAAAAAGTCAGGAAACAACAGATGCTGGAGAGGATGTGGAGAAATAGGAACACTTTTACACTGTTGGTGGGTGTGTAAATTAGTTCAACCATTGTGGAAGACAGTGTAGCGATTCCTAAAGGATCTAGAACCAGAAATACCATTTGACCCAGCAATCCCATTACTGGGTATATACCCAAAGGATTATAAATCATTCTACTATAAAGACACATGCATATGTATGTTTATTGCAGCACTATTTACAATAGCAAAGACTTGGAACCAACCCAAATGCCCATCAATGATGGACTGGATAAAGAAAAAGTGGCACATATACACCATGGAATACTATGCAGCCATAAAAAAGATGAGGTCATGTCCTTTGTAGGGGCATGGATGAAGCTGGAAGCCATCATTCTCAGCAAACTAACACAGGAACGGAAAACCAAACACCGCATGTTCTCACTCATAAGTGGGAGTTGAATAATGAGAACACATGGACACAGGGAGGGGAACATCACACACTGGGGCCTGTTGGGGAGTGGGGGGCTAGGGGAGGGATAGCATTAGGAGAAACACCTAATGTAGATGATGAGTTGATGGGTGCAGCAAATCACCATGGCATGTGTATACCTATATAACAAACCCGCACGTTCTGCACATGTATCCCACAACTTAAGGTATAATTAAAAAAAAAAAAAAAGAAGAAGAAGAGGGGAGGGTGTCAGTCTCCCCTCTGCTACATGGCCGCTGACTCATTTTCAGGAGCCAGCACCGCTGCTGGGGAGTCCCACTTCTGGTCCTGATGGAATAACAGGGAGCAGGTTTACCCTCCTGTCTTAAAAACAGCCGGAAAGCTGGACAAGTATGTGAAACAACAGTTAGTGGACACTGGACAATAGGCAGAACAGGACAGGGATTCCTGGGAGAGGGGAAGCAATAAGAGCAGCCTCACAAGTGTCCACCTCAGCAGTGCCAGGAGAGGGAGCCCAAACAGAGCCTGAGGGCCTGCCCAGCTCAGGAGATGGAGTGTGGGCTTCCGGGAGGCCAAGGGAGCTAGAATTTGCAGGGCAGAGATCTGCAGAAGAAGGAGCCACAGAGAATGGTTCAGAGATCTGCAAGGAGTGCCTTGAGTCTTCAGCTGAGTACTGGTCTGCACATGAATGTGAGGAAACCACCAAGGAAGGAGCTTGCAGGCAGAACGATCTCCAGAAATCACTCAGGCCTGGGGATATTGTGTGTCTGTGAGAGCAGCTTAGAAATAGATCCCTAAATTATCTGATAGTCTTCCTTTCAAAAAGAGGCGCCTACACCTACCTCCCTTGAATGTGGGCTGGGCTTACTAATATGTTTCTAAAGGACAGAATGTGGTGAAAGTGACGATGATGGTTTGTGACTTTAGAGACTAGGGTGTAGAAAGCCTTGTGGCTCCTGCTTGCTCTCTCTTGGGTCAGCCCCTCTGGGGGAAAGCCAGAAGCTGTATTGCTCAATCAGCCTCCGGACAGGTCCATGAGGCAAGAAATGGAGCCCCTGGCTACAGCCATGTGAGTCACCGTCCTGGAGGCAGATCCTTTGGCCCCAGTCAGAGGGCTCCAATCCAGCCATCACCTTGACTGCGACCTCACGAGAGAGCTTGAGTTAGAGCCACCAGCTGGGCCACTCCTGGATTCCTGACACAAGAAACTGCAGGGAATAAATACCTGTTGATTCAAGCTGCTAAGTTTTGAGGTAAATTTTATGCAACAAAAACTACATTTCCATCAGCCAGACTGGGAAGACCCCCTAAAATTCAGGACATCGAGGAGAAAAGTAGAAGAGAATTGCCTCAAAGAGGTGACAAATTAGTCCTAAAACAAAGGCTGTTCTGGATCTGCCGTAACAATGTTGAACATCAAGGCTCAAAAAGATCAAACTAATCGTAAGTAACTTTACTGCATCTCAGAACAAAGCACAACACTGTTTAAAGGAATATAATAAAATCTAGCCACCAACAGTACAAAACTGACAATGTCCCGTGTCCAAACAAAAATACTGGGCTTGCAAAGAAGCAGGATAATATGACCTAGGATCTGGAGAAAAATCAATCAATATAAACAGATCCAGAAATGACATTCATGATAGAATTAGATGAGGGTGTTAAAACGGCTACTATTTATATAACCATATGCGAATGACATTCAATGTAAACCCTTTGTATCAGGATTCTCCAGAGAAACAACCAAATAAGATAGATAGAGATATAGATAAATGAGAGGGGATTTAATTTGGAAATTGGCTCACATGATTATGGAGGCTGAGAAGTCCTATGATTTGCTGTCTACAAGCTAGAGAACCAGGGAAGCTGGTGACATAGCTCAGTCTGAGTGCAAAGGCCTGAGAACCTGAGGGGCCATCGGTGCAGGTCCTGGAGTCCGACGGCTGGAGACCCTGGAGTGCTGATGTCCAAGCGCGGGAGAAGGAGGGTGTCCCAGCTTCAGAAAAGGGAGTGAATTTGCCTTTCCTCAGCCCTTTTGTTCTATTGAGGAATTCAACTGATTGGATGGAGCCCAGCCCACACAGGTGAGGATGAATCTTCCTTCCTCACTCAGTTCACTGATCCAAATGCCAACCTCTACCAGAAACACACTCAAAGACATCCCCAGAGACAATGCTGTACCAGCTATCTGGGTATCCCTTAACCCAGTCAA
The DNA here is from genome assembly GCF_000001405.40 of Homo sapiens. Taxonomy (NCBI): domain Eukaryota; kingdom Metazoa; phylum Chordata; class Mammalia; order Primates; family Hominidae; genus Homo; species Homo sapiens. The sequence continues at coordinate 11,740,385 of NC_000002.12, forward strand.
GTTGACACCAAAAATTAACCATCACACCCTTCAATTATAACTTCCCCGCACTTTGCGAGGTCGAAGCAGGCAGATCATTTGAGCTCAGGAGTTCCAGACAAGCCTAAGCAACATGGCGAAACCCTGTCTCTATAAAAAAAAATACAAAAATTAGCTGGGTGTGGTGGGACTCATCTGTAATCCCAGCTACTTGGGAGGCTGTGGCAGGAGGATTGCTTGAACCTGGTAGGTGGAGGTTGCAGTGAGCCAAGATCACCCCACTGCACTCCAGCCTGGGTGACACAGTGAGGCTCTATCTCGAAAAAAAAAAAAAAAAAAAGGAAGAAAGAAAGAAAAGAAAAGAAAGAAAGAAAGAAAGAAAGAAAAGATCTTCTTATCAATTGATATGGGGTTAAATAATTGGGGGATAAAAAATTTGAAGCCATCTTCCCAGAGATGACAATAAACAGAAATAAACAAGTGAAAACCCAGAAGATCTGTGGCTGCTAATCAGAGGAAGCAGGTCTGAACAGGGAACCACTTAGCTGTAGATACCAAGCAGTGTCCAACAGGTTGCTTAGCAGAGGCATAAAATCATGACTTTTCTCAGGCACTTCTCATAAATTTCTTCCCAGAGCAATCAGAGATGCTGCATCCAGTTTACTTATTCACAATTTGGGCACGAAAGAGATCTTCCTCAAGCCACGGAGAAGACAGGCTTGACAAGGAGCAGGACGGCCTTCACAGCAGCACAAATGGGAGGCCCTGTGAAATTCTCCCTGGAAGGCAGAGCTAAGAGATGTCAGCCCTGAGGCTTAGCATCCCCATAGAGGGACTGACCAGGAGCCCGGGAGTCCTGCCCCAGCTGTGTCCCTAAGTTGCTGGGTTAACCTCTGTAGAATGTGAGGATGGCCTGGTCATTTTCATTCTCGAGAGACACTGGAGAGAAAAAGAACATTTTGTGAATGATGTCGTGTGTCCACAGGTAACTCTGAAGCGTGAGCTGCCAGAATTCAAGGCCACCTGCTTAACAGAAGACAACTAGAAACCTCATCCATGAGCAGAGTAAGCACTGCTGTTCAGTAGTTCTATTACTGTTAAGGTGTTATGACCATTAGATAAATAATATTGTTTGGCAACTGCAAGGAAAAGAACTGCGTAAATTGGTTCCAAACATTGCCACTCGAGCTCAGGAGTTTGAGACCAGCCTGGGCAACATGGCGAAACCCTGTCTCTATAAAAAAATACACATCCTGGCTAACACAGTGAAACCCTGTCTCTACTAAAAATACAAAAAATGAGCCGGGCAAGGTGGCGGGTGCCTGTAGTCCCAGCTAGTCAGGAGGCTGAGGCAAGAGAATGATGTGAACCTGGGATGCGGAGCTTGCAGTAAGCCGAGATCGTGCCACTGCACTCCAGCTGGGCGACAGAGTGAGACTCCATCTCAAAAACAAAACCAAACCAAACAAAACAAAAATTAGCTGGGTGAGGATGTTGCCCAGGCTGGTCTCGAACTCCTGAACTCCTGAGTTCATTCGTCAGTGATAAGTCCATGCAATCACTGAGTGGTAAGAGCTTGAACTGGTAAAGTGATTTGATATTTTATTGGTTATCTGGATCCCAATATATCTCATTTAATTTCCTCCCAAAGCTGCTGAGATGGGGATGGTTACCTCTGTTTAACAGCTGAGGACGCTGAGGTTCAGACAGCACTCAGCCACGTGGCTGAGCTGGACTTGAATTTGAGCCTGTTGGATTCTGAACCCTAGACTTCGTGCACCTGACCAGGTTGCCTATTATTAATGAGAAGATCTACAGTCATGTGCCGCATACCAATGTTCTGGTCAACTACAGACTGCGTATACGATGGTGCTCCCATCAGATTCTAATACCGTATTTTTACTATACCTCTTCTATGTTTAGATAAGTTTAGACACACATACTGACCCATTGTTTGCCTCTCTGGGCCTCAGTTTTCCTATCTAAGGAAGGGGGGACTCTTAAGGGTTTTCTACTTCTGAGCTCTCCTTAGCATTCTGTCTGTGTAGCTGTTTTCTTAGCACTGGAGAATGTGAGACTTGAGATGTGCTGCTTAAGGCTGTGACAGCCCCACACTTGTTTAGCAAGGTCATGGGTCATGGCGACTCAGAGGACTGACTCATGGTGATATGCGGGGTCTTTTTGTTCCTCCTGGAATTAGAGCCCACTGTAACAGTCCACACTTCCCAGCATAGCAGCCACTGTTTCTAAGTAATGGAGTTCTCTCCTCCCATCCCTGGTCATGTTGAGGTCTCTTTCCCTGTCCGCTCCTCGCACCTTGGTCTCTTTCTTCTTTCCTGCCTCTCTGCTGTTCTGTGTCTTAGCCCCGCTCATTATGAATTGTTCCCAATCTGACCAGAGGAGAAAGGGCGTTCCAGACCCCCTCTGGCTTCATCCAGTGGGAGACAGGCATGGGGCTTGCTGTGAGCTCCCGAGCTCCCCCGCCCACCAGCGGCCAGCCACGGCCTTCTTTCAAGCACCTGTGCGTGCCTGACTGCTGTGCATGTGCTGCTGGCTGGCCCGTGGTTCATTCTGCTCCTTGACACCTGGCCTAGATTTGCCTAGGTCGGTGCCTGCTTAGGCCACCAAGGTCAGGTGAATCCTCTTGCTTGGGGACAGGGCAGGTCAAATCCTGCATCAGTGCACGGCCCTTCAGTTCACAGCGGCCTGAAGCACTGTGACAGTTTTTACGCGATCACAACCCAGACTGTGCACTCCCTGAGGACAGACACTGTGTCTGGTCTGCTCCCCTTTGTAGCCCCCAGTGCTCAGCCTAGGGCCTCCAAGATGCTCCTGTGTGTCCAGCTGTCAGCCTTTATCACTCTGCCACTTCCTGTGCCTCAACTCTAATCTGCAGGCCCTGCCCTAACTGTGAAGTGGGCCTCTGGATAGCCCGGGTGACCGTCAAAACCTTCTGTGCTTTGGTTCCAGCTGTTTGCTCTCCGAGGATCACTGTCCTCTCCCTGCGGAACCCAGAACCTTTTACACCTGCCTCTTCCCCATGAAACTTCCCTGCTCAGCCAGCCACAGCACCCAGGGGGCCCCATTCCACCTTGGGTGGATTCCCAGGCTGCTCTGTTCCCTGCCACCAAGGTAGTGAAGCGGCACCAGGTGGCCCCTGGTTCCCACCTGGTTCTTAAGAGAGTGCGCAGGACAAAGTCACCTCGTGAGGGGCCCCCAACCAAGGAGTGGCCTTAGACCCCGAGGAGATGCCCTCCCTTCCCCGGAGCCCCAGGCACTGGTGCCAGGGATAAAAGTCTGCACCTCTAGGGGAAGAATTCATTGTCCTCTCTTTGGGATCCTTTCTGCCCGGGCAGTTACAGAGCTAACCATGCTCAGAGTCCTGGGGGATCAGCCAGTGTTTCTCCTTCCTACAGTAGCTCGCAGGGCACCCGTGAAGAGGGATGCTCATTCTTCCCGCCTACCTTGCCCCAGGTATTCTGGGCCTGTGTAGGTGGTTGATCTGGACAACTTCAGAGTTCTCGGGATACAACAGCTACTGTCACCAGCTGGGCTCAGCAGTGAACAGATCCTTCTGGGAATGGCCACTCCTCAACTTATGGGGTTTTAGAATTGAAAAATCTTCCAACCCCACAACTGTGACAGCAGCTTCCCATGATGCCTTTTTCATCCTCAAAGCAGATCTGTGTCATGTGCACCTGCAGCCCATTTCCTGGATTGTGAAACTGAGCCTCTAGAATCAGGATGCTTGTGCTGGCTTTGCTAAGGCATTACTCAGCCCCTCCTTCCTCCTCCAGTCAGCTAGAGCAAGATTACTCATCCCTGGAGTTCCTTCTCCTCTTCCGAGTGCAGCTAGGTCCTGGGATTGGCCAGGGGGATCGCCTCAGCTCTCCTGGCTGAGTCACTGCTCAGTCAGGCCTGGTTGCTGATAGCACAGCCAAGGGCCCTCCCAGGGGGACTCCAGCCAGTGCCTGATCAAAAGCGCCAGGGCTTTGGAAAGTCCGGTTTCGTTTATCGCCTGGGAGTGCACTGTGATCTAGTGAGTGTTTTCTTCTCATTGCTTGTTTATACAAAAGGCTCCCCCCAACCCTTGGCCTTCCCCGAGGTGGTAGGCTGGGCAGCAGCGGGACCTAATTTGCTCTGAATCCAGCCAGACCCTGCTCATCAGAGCTGACCCTAGCCGTGCTGGGCCCCCCAGCTCATCATTTTCAGAATGAGGGCTTTGAGTTGAATTGTCCTATATTTTCAGACCTCCCATCTCCACATTTGAATAATGGACTTATTTTACACAAAAAATAAACTTAAGTGGCCTGAAGTTGGACTGGCTTCCTGGAAAGCCTTTCCACATAGAGTAGACTTCTTCCCAGGCCAGCTCCTCCCTGGAGGTGGGAGGGGAGGGTGCAGGAGGGCTTCCTTCTGGGGCCTTGCAACCTCAGCAGTTTTGGGCAGCCGTGATGCACTTGAAACTCTGGTCTCTGAGAAAACCCCTGTGGAGGTAGCTCACCTACAAACTGCAAGATTCTCTTTGTGTAGCTCCCACGTCTGCAATGTCAGCATGGGACAGGCTGCCTAGATAGGAGCTGCCCCAAGCCCAGCGGGAGCGTGTCCACACTTGACCAGATGGACGGGAGCCGCGCCCCTGGACAAAGCTCTCCAAGCAGCTGTCCCCAAACATCTATCTCAAGCTTGCTGGCTTATCCAATTCACTAAGCTGCCGCATTCGATGCTGTTTCTAAGCTGGCCTCCTCCCTGGCCCTCTGCATCTCAGCAGAGCAGCGGTTCCATCTCCACACTGAGACTTGCCTTTGAGTATCGCATCACACACCTCCACCGGTTCCATTCATCAGTAAGCCTGTGGGTTTTGCCTCCAAATCTCTCTGAAGTCCTTCCGCTTCTTGCTGAGTAGCCCCTGTAATCTGAGCCACCATCATGTCCCCCGGTTTCCTGCAGTGCCACCTGTCTGCTGGCTTCTACTCCTGCAGTCCATTTTCCATGGAGTGGAGGGGTGACTTTTTAAAGAAGTAAATTAGATCATATAATTCCCAGGTTTAAAATTCTTTTTGGACCAGGCGTGGTGGTTCACACCTGTAATCTCAGCACTTTGGGAAGCCAAGGTGGGAAGACTGCTTGAGCCCAGCAGTTTGAGACCAGCCTGGGCAACATAGGGAGACCTGGTCTCTACAAATAGTTTGAAAAATTAGCTGGGCGTGGTGGCATGCACCTGTGGTCCCAGCTACTTGAGAGGCTGAGGCAGGAGGATTGCCTGAGGCCAGAAGGTGAAGGCTGCAGTGAACCGAGATTGTGCCACTGCACTGTAGCTTGGGTGACAGAGTGGGACCCTGTCTCAAAAAGAATTGGTTTGGAATAACATTTAAATAATACCTAAACTCCTTGCCTTGGCCTACAAGACCTGAATATTTGGCCCCTGCCTTCCCTCCAGCCCACAGCACCGGCCCCAGGACCTTTGCACCTGCCATTTCTGCTCTCCAGAAAGCCCTGCCTCCTCCCCATCTTTGTAGTCATAGGTGTTTCTTGTCATTTAGAGTTTCAGTTCAAATATGACACCCTCCCATTGATGGAAATCATTTCACCACCAGACGTTATGTGGCTCATTGTTTATCCGCTGCCTGCCTCCCGGCTGGAGAGGCGCAGGGAGCTGCCTGTCCCTCCTGTTCAGAGCCACCGTTCCGCACCTGGACCACCGCTTGGCAGAGGCGGGAGTGGAGGCTGTCACCATCAGGATGAAGGACAGGGGTGGCCCGGCGTGGAGAAGCTAAGAAGAGATGGCGATAGGTCAACGCGATTGCGCCTTTAAGGTGGAAGAAACGAAGGGCGAGGGTCAGTAAAGTCAAGGACGGGCTCAGATCCCGCCACTGGTGATAAGCGGGACCCATAGGACCGACGTGATCGCGGCCAGGCCCTGGGTGGTTTACCTGGACTTTTACCTGGCTGCCTTTTCTCTGCACCCCTCCGTCCTCACTCCCCCAGTCATCGGCATAGGTCAAGTCAGAGTGTTGAAGAAACACACGAGTTTGGCTCTGGAAAGGAAAATCAGAAAGGCGGCCTAAGGGGCCCCACCCCCAGGAACGCTAAGATAGGCGGCCAGGGGTGAGCGGGCAGGGCCGGCCAGCAGGCCCTGAAAGCAGCCGGGCCACCAGCGCGTCCCGAGTCCCCCTCGCACCGCCCCGCTTGCCCCGCCCCTGCCCTCTGCCCCCGCCCCTGCCCCGCCCCCGAAGGCGAGCTGCGCTGACAGCCGGCGGCGGGCTGGGTGTTTGCAATACAAAGGCGGCCACGCGCGGCGCCGCTCGGTGAGTAGCCGCCGCCTCCAGCCTCCCGCTGTGGAGCAGGGGCCGCAGCCTCGGGTTAGGCGGGGCGGGGCGCGGCGCCGGGGCGCTGAGGACGCGTGGCGAGGCGGGGGCTCGGCCCCGGGGCCCGAGGACCGACGGCCGGGCTACGTCCCCGGGGCCCTCTACGGGAAGTGGTTCGGGGGAGGGAGGCGGGGAAACAGGCCCCGGAGGCCGGGAGGGCCTCGCGAGCATCCCTCGGGCCTGGCTTTCCTGACGCGCCGCGAGGCCCGGTGTGGGCCCGGCTTGGCTGATCTCGAGCGGCGTAGGGGCCACTGGGGGCTGCCGCGCAGTCCCAGAACCGCGGGGACTAGCTCCAGCCGGCCAGCGCGGGTGCGTCCTGGCTCTGCGCGATCATCCCCAGCTTTGCGCCGGGGACTGGGATGAGAGCCTTTCTTTCCCCCGGAGTTAGGATTCCAGCGCTGCAGTTGAGGAAACTGAGGCTCAGGGAGGTTGACCTCTGTGCCCAAGGTCATACAGTTGCCGGGCGGCAGGGCAGGCTGAGCCCAGGTTGGAATCCCGGTTCTCATATTACAGCTCTCCCCTGCGAGGCCTCTGCACCTTTCTTGCAGCCTAGGAGGTGCTAGGCCTAGTGAGCTCCGTCAGCTGCTCCTGCACGTAATTTTATTATGGGCAAGGCCAGGAAAATGCAGGATGAGAAGTAACGTTTTGGGAGTAACTTAAGTGCTGTGGAGCTAGAGTAGGTAATTTGTGTGGTCAGTAGTTGCTGGAGAAAGCAGATGTCAACCCTGTTTTTGATCAGCAAGCAGGAAACCAACTAAGACAACTGGCAGTATTAATTTGGAGATGTTTTAGAACCCGGCAGTTTCCCACAGGATAGAAGTGTTTTGGGAAATCAAAGCTTGTAGCCGTTTTTTTAATTGGGGGTGTTGTGGTATGGTGGTCTAGGGGTAGTGATTGTGAGATTGACTGTTTATCCTTTGTTCCGTAATTTGGGTCTTATTAATGAAAGTAAGCAGTTGAGGAATGTATAGTATTTGAGAAATAAGCACATCCACACATGAACACTTTTCTTGCTCCCAGATTCTTGTTGAAAGGTGTAACAGTTGGATTTATGATTATATACTTTGATAGCACTTCACGTTTGCCAGCATTTGTTATTGAGTGTTTTTGTGCATGGGTTGTGTGTTTTGGCGCTTATTATTCCTATTTGCATGTGGGGCCCTGTGGTCCTGTGGAGCCAGGCCTGGATATAGCCCTGGACTCGGGTCGGGAGGTCTGGGCTCTGCCTGAGCTCTGTGGGACCCTGAGCGAGTTCTTTCACCCACCCAGGTCTCGCTTATCAGCAGTTCCTTTCTTTTAGAAAAGCACAGGGGGACAAGGGGCGGACCTGCTGAGTCTTGTGGTGTGGGAGAGAACGCGAGGGTTCAGGTGAGAGACCGCAGGGATTCCTGGTTGTAGGGGGGACCTTGGAAGTGACTGAGAAGGAGCCTGCCCTGGATTAGGTGGGGACAATTGGCCTGGCCCAGCCAGAAGGAAGTCTGTGGGTCCTGCTCTCCTGCTCTTTGCGTGGTCAGCTGCACAAAGGGCCCAGAACAGACGGCAGGGGAGGGTCAGGAGATGAAAAGATATTTCAGAAGAAGGTCCTGAGGCCACCGTGGTCTGAGATGCGCCGAGGCCGGCACAGAGCACTGGGCTTTGCAGTTGTTGTTCTGACCACTCACAGATGTAGAACTTGGGCAGAAGACTTCAATCCTCTGAGCCTCAGTTTTCCCATCTGTAAAATGAAGGGATAATCATACCCATTCACAGGATTGTTGCAAAAATTAATTGAGATAAAAAAGAGCCCCTGGAACATAATATGGGGTCCACGAATCATTGTGGTTGTTATGATTTTAAAGTGCCACAGGGTGCCAGCGAGGAGGGGCTCTTTGTGGGGTTGGGACAGTCCTGGCTGACGCCGGCCTCTGCTCTGTAAATCATCCCTGTGGGACACCCCCTCCCCCTGCCTGCCACCTCTCTTCCGGTTGGCTTTTCCGGACCATCTGTGTACTGGGTTCAAGGCCTAAAAGGTACCTAAATGAGGTTAATTGATTTGGGCAAGCCTGCCAATGGGGGTAGTCGAGGGGTACAGGCAGCTTTTTCCTTAGGGTGGGAGGGGGCTGTTGCACGGATGTCGGCAGCTTTTGGAGCATTTTGAGAGACATCCAGGTGTTAGGTCCCGCCAGGACACCGAGGCTGGTGGTTCGACCTGTTTGCACTTGCACTTCCTCACTGGTAGCCCGGGCGTGGGATCTTGGAGCTTTTGAGGGGTCCTGAGGAGGAAGTCCCTGGAATCACCCACTAGCAGCTTTGGGGCTTGTTCCTTGAGAAGGGCAAAGTCACAATTTTGACACTTTATTGAACCCTGGACCAATGTATTGTATAATAAGCCCACTCATTTAAAACTGGAACGGGGTGTGTGGGGAAAAAAGAGTTGGGACAAAACCCAAGCAAAGCCGTTCAGTGACGTCACAGGTTCTTCATTCAGAAGAGGCCCAGGTGCCTATCGGATGGCTGTTTCTGAAATGTTCGCTTTCTGAGCTGTGAGGGAGGGTCTGGAGAGAGAGAGGGGCCCATGCCTGTGTGTCGAGGGGACACACCCACACTGGCCCTGCTCCTTGATCAGAGGATGCACCAGCGCCTGAAGGGAATCTGTGCCCCCTAGGAGGCCACACTGGGCCCTGGGGCTGCTGGGGTCCGAAGCAAGTGCCCTGACCTCCCTTCCTGTGGGTTCCCTTCCTCTTCCTCTTTCCACAGCTTTCCCCTGTCTGTCTCCCTACCTGTAATTCACCCCAACAAGCCCTTAGCAGCTGGGGTTGGGGTGGGGTCTGTGCAGCCAGGGATATGTTGAGTAGTGAGTTTCTGCCTGTAGAAAGCTCTGGGTCTGGGCTGACCCAGACCCAGGCTGACACTTTTCACAATGAGGTATGTGGCCCAGGAGTCTTAAAACCTCAGCAGTGTCTGGCCCACAGGCTGTTCTGCACACTGAGGGATGCAGGGCGCGTTGTGCCGCTCCCACTCCCAGCTGAGAGGTTGGGAGGAACCAGATGGACTGGGCTCCATCAGGAGAGAAGCCAGAAGCATTTTCACACCGGTGGTCATGGCTACAGGGTCATGGTTACAGTGGATTTTTCAACCCACTGACCAAATGTTGTGATTCTTGCAACAACTTAAAATTTTCGGCTGATGCTGAATGCTGGGGCTTTCCAGAAATAGCCATAGGCTGTTAGAACAGGCACTTTGCTCTGTAAGGAGGCCTGTTTGTTCCTGAGTGTGAGCTGATTTGCATTGGCTCACAAAGTTGACCACAGACCCTGCATGGGAGACACAACCAACACCCCCATTTGCCTGCTGGCACGCACTTGTGCCCCCCTCCCCTCCCCGGCCTCGCTCCCTGGAAGCCCTCGCACCTCTCCCCTTGCCCTCTGTCCCCTAGCCACACACACTCACTTTTTGATGAAGTCGTCCTCCGCGTTCATGGATCTCACTAGGCTGTAGGTCTTCAGTTTACAAGACAGGAGACAAGCAACAAGGGTTTTAGGATAATGGGCACCAGACAAGACAGGCGCCCAGACAACTGTTCTGGCAAAACAATGTCCCACCATTGGACTCTGTGCAATGCCAGAATGCCACCAGTCTCGGGGTGGCCTCTTTGGGCTCAGATTTTGGGCAAATGAGAATGTGGAATGTAGGCATAGCCTTCAAATAGTTCTGTATTCATTTTAACTAGTAATATTCTTTGCCTCTGTCTTTTTGGGAAGGTACTATTTAAATAGGTGATATATACAAAGTCCCCTCTGGCAAGAGACGTTATTCAAAGACCGGATTTTGTCTGGAACCAGTTTGTGGTCACAGAATTAGCACGTGGTTTTTATTTGGTGCATGTGCTTTGAAAAGTACTTTACATTTACTGCCTCACAACAGTCCTATGAGGTGGCTGTGCTGATGTCATCCCTTTTTATAAAATAGATGCGAAACTGCAGTGCAGAGAGCTTAGTAACCTGTCTTTGATCACAGAGTTAGTGGAAGGTGGAGGCAGGATTTGAATACCTCCAGAGCCTGCGCTCTTACCTGCTGAGCTATATTGTCTCCTAATAGTGCCCTGGAACACCCAGGTGATATATGCCCACCTCCCAATTGCTGGGGTGTGGTAGGGGTGGGGGGTAATACAGAAATAAAGTTATAAGGGCAGAGCATTCTTTTTGACCAAGACACGAATTTGGACAGAGGGCTCTTGAAAGTGCGTAGAGAGAATGTGCCATTGGGTCTTTGAAGGAAAAGAACGTCCTGTCCTTAATCAGTGAGCTAAATAATTAAGAGCCAAAGGATCGGAGTCAAAGCCTTGGGCTGTTTTGCTCAGCATAGTTGTCATACCATATTTAGATGTCTACACCCACCTTTATCCAGGCCATTTGTATTTCTTGGCAGGAACGTGAGAACAAGCGTCACCTGGGGTTGTGGTATCTGAGGGTTGCAAAGTGTCAGCGCTGGAGGAGCTGAGTGATCACTCATCTGACCTTCCCTCCAAAGCAGGAGTACCCCTGTCCAGCACCCTGTCCTGTCTCAGTGGTTTCAGTGATGGAGACCCTGAGACTGAGTGGACCAGAGTTTTCCATCCTTCACTCCCAGTTCTCTGAGGTTACTAATAATTGACATGAAATACATGCAGACATAAAAAACACAAGCTAGAAAGCAACACTATGGGAAGTATTTATGATAAAAAGTGAAGATCTCTTCCTCCTTTTCCCAGGCTGGTCCCCAGGGGTGAATCTTGTGAATCTTGTTTTGTATGTATCTCATTCCAGAATTTTTTTATGCATATCAAAATATGTACAAATGTAATTTTTTAAAAATGGGTCCAGCTGGGCGCGGTGGCTCACGCCTGTAATCCCAGCACTTTCGGAGGCCGAGATGGGTGGATTACGAGGTCAGGAGATCAAGACCATCCTGGCTAACATGGTGAAACCCCGTCTCTACTAAAAATACAAAAAAATTAGCCAGGCTGGTGGCAGGCGCCTGTAGTCCCAGCTACTCGGGAGGCTGAGGCAGGAGATTGGCGTGAACCTGGGAGGCGGAGCTTGCAGTGAGCCGAGATTGCGCCACTGCCCTCCAGCCTGAGTAACACAGCGAAACTCCGTCTCAAAACAAAACAAAACAAACAAACAAAAAACCACAATGGGTCCATATTATAAGTATTTTTGTACCTGTTTTCATTCTATATATACATTTTCATGTTAATATTTATGGAGCTACCTCTCTACCATTTTATTATCAGCCTCATAATATTCCATTTTACAATGTGGATGGCCCATAATTTATTAAGCCAGAGTCATACAGATATTAAGTTATTTCTGATTTTCCCTATTACAATTAATGCTACAGTTACTGTTTTTGTACACGGATCTTACTGTATTTGTACAATCAGTTCCCAGCGGTATAGTTGCTAGGGTTTGCCAATAGGTGCCCCAAAAGATGGGCATTGCCACATTGCTTACCCCATTTATGACCCTGTTAGTAGTGAGTGACGATGTCTGATTCTCCTACTTTTCATGGGCCCTGGGGTTTTAATGAAATGCTTTGATTTTGGACCATCTGAAAGGCCTCTTTCGATTCCTGTATCTTTAATTATGAATGGGGTTGAATATCTCTCTCATATATTATTGGCCAAATGTGAACTGTCTATATGTTTTGTCCATTTTTTCTTTTGAGCTGTTCCAAGGCCATTTTTTTTTTTTTTTTGAGACGGAGTCTCGCTCTGTCGCCCAGGCTGGAGTGCAGTGGCGGGATCTCGGCTCACTGCAAGCTCCGCCTCCCGGGTTCACGCCATTCTCCTGCCTCAGCCTCCCAAGTAGCTGGGACTACAGGCGCCCGCCACTACGCCCGGCTAATTTTTTGTATTTTTAGTAGAGACGGGGTTTCACCGTTTTAGCCGGGATGGTCTCGATCTCCTGACCTCGTGATCCGCCCGCCTCGGCCTCCCAAAGTGCTGGGATTACAGGCGTGAGCCACCGCGCCCGGCCTCCAAGGCCATTTTAAACTGACCTTAATCTTCTAGAGGTGGCTGGTGTTGGCAAAAATTGTGGGGTTAGGAAAGCTGTGGCAGGGGTTTTGAATTTTGGCAGTTCCAAGAAAGCAGCGTTTCTTGGCAATTTGTGAAGCCTGGAGATGGATTCTGCCAATTTTGGAATAAATGTGGAATTTTCTAATTTAATCGTGAGGCAAGAAACCATGTGACCTCTGTCACCTCATCCTGACAGTGTCCGCAGTGCTGTCCTTTCTGGAACTGTATGAAATTGCGGTCGTGAATGCTTTGGAGCGTCTGCTGTGTGCTGGAGTTCTACAGATGAGCTTAATTATGGGAACGCCCTCCTGTCCCTGGGCAAGGAGGGGGATGAGCAGGGTGGGGGTGTGCTGGAGGAGGAGACGCCTGCCACTTTGCCACCCTGGAAGCTCACTGCAAGAGCTGCAAAATTTCCCACCTGCCTAACACAGGCAGGGCTTTGGTGGCGGGACCCCAGGGCTGGCTGTTTTTGCTCTTTCATCACTTTTGTCAGGAAGTATTGAAAGACCTTTAAAAGGCCTCTGACTTGCAGGGCCTCTGACCTGCAGGCCTTTTAAAGCATCTCCAGCTTTTCTAGTGAGTTTTTGTATTTTGGACGGGAATGTCTCACGAACCCTGGCATGCCAAGAAAGTCCCCAATTTCCCAGCAGGTAGTGATGGATGCAGAGCTGTGCTCTTCTGTTTAAGAAGCTCCTCAAGGCACTCTGGCCAGGACAGTTTAACCACAGGGACGCTGGTGGACTCAGTCAATCCAGACCTGGCAGAGGGCAGCAGCTGCCTATAAGTGTGTGCCAGTTACAGCAGGGCGTGGGCTGCTGCCCAGGTGGCCTGACTTTCTGTCTGTGTTCCTTTCCCTGTATCACCCTGAGTCTGAGCCAGACTTCCTCTTTTGTCACAGGTAATTCATCACCCTTATCAACCGCCGTTAAGTATCAGTCCACAATGCTCTGAAAAGACTTCCTCTTTGCCGTAAGTGTAAATTACAGGAGGAAGCTAACACTATTTATAAATCAATTTCATTTTCATGCAAGTCTTATTAGTCATGATACCATTTTGGGCACTTCCTAGAAGCTTTTTGTGTTTTTAAATGCTTTGGATGAAAATCCTCATTTGTCTTGTAAACCTCCAAGGTGGATGTGATCTCGGCGAACACCAGTAACAGCGTGATGTTTGTGACTTTATCCAGTGCTGGGCGGACCACAGATAGAGTCCCCAGGTGCTGAGACACTGACTGTAGTGTGCTCAGAGGAGGGCGGCTAGGGCAGTGAGCAGGAAGCCCCAAAATCGTCCCTGTCAAGCCCAGCTGGGGAGCCGACAGTGCCTTCCCTAGAGGAAGGGTGCCAGGGGTGGTCATTTAGTTGTCCTGACATGATCCGTTGGCCCCACGAGCAGCAGCCAGGTCTGTATCTGAGAGCTGTAATTTCCTGCTGATAACAGGAACACAGATAAGGGGCACCCCATCCCAGAGTGATATTAGGTTGGCTTTTGAATCACCAGGCTCCTTGGATGTGCCTTAAGCCCACAGGTGCCCTTTAAGCACCTGCCGTGAGGGCAGATGTGACAGATCGTGTTTGCTCTCTGGGCAGTGAGTGGGTTTTGGGTAGCTTCTCTCCAGGAAATGATGAATCACTCGGAGCTGAGCAAGTGCCAGAGAAGTCTTCAATCACAGACTGAACCCAGGAGGGTGTTTCGGCCTTTCTAAGTCCTTAAGGGTTGTAGGGAAGGTTTTGAACAATGGCTTTTGACTTTACCTTCTGAGAGGCTCTGTCAGGGAGTGGTGATGCTGCGGGTGAGAGCAGTTTTGAAGGTGTCACATCCAGGGCCAACCCTGAGCCTTGCTTCTGTAGCCACCTCCTATGGGAGGTCATGACAATAATAAGATTTTGCATGTGTTGTCCAGGAGCAAAGACCTTTCCAAACTAGTCGTTGTGTTGACCACTGAGGATGACAGCCTGGTGGGCTCAGTCAGAGCCATTGTGTTAATACCCTGCTCCCACACACATAGCTGGTAAATGCCAGAAGTTAACACTCACAGCCAGGCCTTCCGACCCCCAATTTTGTGTCATTTCTGCTTTTCAGTCTTACCCTTAGGTGTCACAGCTGTTTATTTAAACTGTTTGCAGTGAATTTTGTTTGGGAGCATTGTCTTGTGAAATTTATGCTCTGGCAGAGAACAATTCCTGCTGTCTTCTTCATTTCTTCTAATTTTTTTTTTTTTTTTTGAGACGGAGTCACCCAGGCTGGAGTGCAGTGGCACGATCTCGGCTCACTGCAAGCTCTGCCTCCCGGGTTCACGCCATTCTCCTGCCTCAGCCTCCCAAGTAGCTGGGACTACAGGCGCCCGCCACCATGCCCGGCTAATCTTTTTTGTATTTTTAGCAGAGACGGGGTTTCACCATGTTAGCCAGGATGGTCTCGATCTCCTGACCTCGTGATCCGCCCGCCTCAGCCTCCCAAAGTGCTGGGATTACAGGCATGAGCCACCGCGCCCGGCCATTTCTTCTCATTTTTAAATTTTAGTGCTTTTCCCCCTCGTGCCCCGACTTGCCAAGCTACTTTGAGGGTGGTGGGTGCATCTTGCTGTTTTACACTCTGGAATGTCGTGATGGGACCAAAAATAAAAGTTTCTTGCTTGAGATGGGCCCTGCGATGGGGCAGGTACCGCGTCAGAAATGAGCAAGCCTCGTCCCTGTCCTCAAGGAGAGAAGACTCACTTGGTAGACAGATGTCTGTTCAGCCACTTGACAAATGACAGTAATATTGATCAAGCTACTGCCCTGGATGGCTGGGCTGGAGGGCTGAGGAGAAGGTTGAGGCTGAAAGATAGAGTTGTGTGGGCATGTTTATGAAGGGGTCATATACCTGGACAGCCGGGGGAGGAAATGGAGGAGGCAGGTGGAAATCCAGATTTGAGGGGTAATTATTGTTCAACTCCTGCAAGACACTTAGTTCTTTTTTTTTTTTTTTTGAGACAGAGTCTCGCTCTGTCGCCCAAGCTGGAGTTCAGTGGCGCCGTCTCGGCTCACTGCAAGCTGCGCCTCCTGGGTTCAAGCGACTCTCCTGCCTCAGCCTCCTGAGTAGCTGGGACTACAGGTGCGTGCCACTGTGCCTGGCTTATTTTTTGTATTTTTAGTAGAGACGTGGTTTCACCGTGTTAGCCAGGATGATCTCGGTCTCCTGACCTCATGATCTGCCCGCCTTGGCCTCCCAAAGTGCTGGGATCACAGGCATAAGCCACCACGCCTGGCCACTTAGTTCTTAAAGAAAGGAGAGTAGGAAGAAAAGTACAAGTGAGAAAGATGAACAAAAACGGGGATTGTAAGAGTACATTTATTGAGACAGTTTTGCATTTGCATTTGCTCGGCCAGTCTTATATATAATTAGATGTTGCTTACCATGACATCATTTCATTTCCAAGGAGCAAACCCACAATGTGAAAATGGACCCACTGTTATGTCCCAGATAACGTGCCTTAGGTAATGTTCTAGTTGAAGGAACTAGAAAGGGAATTAAAATCATTGTTATTTACTTGCATAATAAATGAGTGGAACAGCAGATTCCTGAATTGTCCATTAAGAGGCGTGGACTAAAATAATTCAAATCCCTTTATTTATTTATTTATTTTATATTTTTTTGAGATGGAGTCTCACTCTGTCGCCCAGGCTGGAGTACAATGACGTGATCTCAGCCCATTGCAACCTCTGCCTCCTGGGTTCAAGCAATTCTCCTGCCTCAGCCTCTCGAGTAGCTGGGATTACAGGCACTCACCATCATGCTAATTTTTGTATTTCTGTAGAGATGGGGTATTTTGTAGAGAGCCTGACCATGTTGGCCAGGCTGGTCTCGAATTCCTGACCTCAGGTGATCCGCCCTCCTTGGCCTACCAAAGTGCTGGCATTATAGGCGTGAGTGCCCGGCCCCTATATTTATTTTTAATAATCGATGCTGTTCGAGTTGAGTATGCTATTTATTATTAATGTCATAGGTAGAATTCTAAGTGGAATACGCTTGTAGATTTTTATGTTCTTTGGTGTATTATCTGTTTGGTTCTAACATAAAACAGTTTCTAACCCAGAGGTATCTGGAAAGATGGTATTCCAGTGGGATGTAATAACCTCAGAAAATTTGTATTATTTCAGAAGGTCAAGCTAGACGATGTCACATTGAAAAAACTTACATGTTTCTTAACCTTAGAGCTTTTCTGAAAATCCACAGTTAGAGAAACCCAGTCTTGCCAAAGGATATTTGTAAGATTTGGCTGAGTTTTCCATCAAAAACATTTGAACTAGGGGTTGTAGAGTCCTGTTTCAAGTGGTAAATAAAATCCCGTGAGGTGAAGCTGCTATTTCTTGCCAAATTTTGAGATTAAAGTCAGTAGGTTTGAAAGGAATTTGGTATGGGGTGAGTGAATAGCAGGCATCTGAAAGCCGTTCCACTGGAAATTGAAGCCTTCCATTTGGTCCTCTGCAGGTTTTGTTTATCGTTTGTCACCCTTGAGGTAATTAAGATACTTTCTTCTTTAAAGCAGATATTCCCCTCACTGCTTGATCACGTGTTTTAGCAGACAGCAGGAAACTGACACCAAAGACAGTCATGAGATTAATGGGCAGGTATGGGGAGGTGGGTTGATTGGCTGGGTTTGTCTGACTTCTTCAGGTAAATTAGCTTCTTCCTCCAGCCTTTTACTCGAAACATAACTGAGAGTAAAATTTGGGAATTTATGCCCAGCTGGTTTATTCTTGTATTCTTTAAACATATGTGCTAGATTTATTTCAAAGAGAGCTTGGAGGAAGGGCAGAGAAAGAAGAGCCTGGCTGCCTCTAACCTGCCTGCACCCCTCCAGGCAACAGGTGCCTGGGGTGACTGGGCCCACCCCGGTCCCTTAAAGGGCATGGTCCCTCCCGTGCCTCCTGGGGGAGGGATTGCCCCCTCCACCCCAAGCTCTCTTTCAAAGAAATTGTTTAACCAAATAGTATCCTGGCTTCCTGAAATGAGTTCTGGTTAATACAATTTTCTCTCTCCCCAATTCTTAAAAAAAAAAAGTTAATTGTGATAAAATACATATAACATAAAATTTGCCATTTTAACCATCTTTAAGTGTGTGGTTCAGTGGCAAAATGGAAACCCTGTACCCATTAAACACACACTGACTCCCTATTTTCCGCTTCTCCCTAGCCCCTGGTAATCAGTCTTTCTGTTTCTATGAGTTTGTCTGTCTAAGGTAGCTCATGTAAGTAGAGTCATACAGCATTTGTCCTTTTGTGACTGGCCTATTTCATTTAGCCTACTGTCCTCAAGGTTCATCTACACAGTAGCATGTATCAGAATTTCCTTTCTTTTTAAGGCTCAGTAATAGTCCATGATATGGATGGACCGCATTTTGCTTTTCCATTCATCTGTCACACTGGAGTTGCTGCCTCCTTTTGGCTATTATGAATAATGCTGCCACGACCATGGGTGTGCCAATATCTTTTCGAGACCTGCTTTCAGTTTTTTTTTTTGATATATACCCGGGACTGGAATGGCTGGATCATAAGCTAATTTTATTTTTATTTTTTTGAGGAATTCAGACTATTTTCTGAAGTGGCTCCACATTTTACATTCCCGCCAACAGTGGACAAGAGTTCCAGTTTCTCCATATCCTTGCCAACACTTGTTATATTCTGTCTTTTTTTTTCTTAAATAGTAGCCATCTTAATAGATGTGAGGTGGTGGTATTCACCCTTTTAAAAACTTTCAGTGCTTAGTTTAAGGCAGGCCCAGGGTGTAGATGTTGAGTTCCTAGGAACAGACAAAAGACTGCCAGGTGGAGCCCATGACCCTGTCACTTGTTGAGAATTATTGAGAAGATTTCCTGCTTTCAAATCCAGGTATTTTCAGATTTGCAAAGAAGTTATTCAATAGAGGGGACAGCTAAAGATATCAAAGCACCACTAATCTAAGCTAAAGCCACAGCTGATATCAAAGCACCTTCTGATTCTTTGCGGTAGGAAAATACTCCAGACCAATCCAGTGGGAAGGTCACAGAAGAAACTGTAGTCTTGGCTCTGTCTTTGCCATGGGGGGAGCTTCGCTAAGTCACTTCCTGTTTCTGGGCTTACTTTTAAAAAATGAGGTTGTTGGAACAACAACTAAGGATCCCTTAGTTGAGAACAAGAGAGCAGAGCAACGATTCAGTTATTAAAGATGCTTCTTCAGTTGCTAAGAACTAAGGAGTGGAGCCTTTGTCTTGGAACGGATAGAGCTGGAATTAGACCTTGCAGGTCACTCAGGCCAATGCGCCCCCTTTACAGAGGAGAGGCTAGGATGCAGAGATGTGGTAATGCTATCCAGTTATGAGCTAGCTAGCTTGCTTTCTTTCTTTTCTTTCTTTCTTTCTTTCTTTCTTTCTTTCTTTCTTTCTTTCTTTCTTTCTTTCTTTTCTTTCTTTCTTTCTCATTCTTGGGTGTTTCTTGCAGAGGGGGATTTGGCAGGGTCATAGGACAACAGTGGAGGGAAGGTCAGCAGATAAACAAGTGAACAAAGGTCTCTGGTTTTCCTAGGCAGAGGACCCTGGGGCCTTCCGCAGTGTTTGTGTCCCTGGGTACTTGAGATTAGGGAGTGGTGATGACTCTTAACGAGCCTGCTGCCTTCAAGCATCTGTTTAACAAAGCACATCTTGCACCGCCCTTAATCCATTTAACCCTGAGTGGACACAGCACATGTTTCATGGAGCACCGGGTTGGGGGTAAGGTCATAGATCAACAGCATCCCAAGGCAGAAGAATTTTTCTTAGTACAGAACAAAATGGAGTCTCCTATGTCTACTTCTTTCTACACAGACACAGCAACCATCTGATTTCTCTATCTTTTCCCCACATTTCCCCCTTTTCTATTCGACAAAACCGCCATTGTCATCATGGCCCGTTCTCAATGAGCTGTTGGGTACACCTCCCAGACGGGGTGGCGGCCGGGCAGAGGGGCTCCTCACTTCCCAGAAGGGGCGGCTGGGCAGAGGCGCCCCCCACCTCCCTCCCGGACGGGGCGGCTGGCCGGGCGGGGGCTGACCCCCCACCTCCCTCCCGGACGGGGCGGCTGGCCGGGCGGGGGCTGCCCCCCACCTCCCTCCCGGACGGGGTGGCTGCCGGGCGGAGACGCTCCTCACTTCCCAGACGGGGCGGCTGCCGGGCGGAGGGGCTCCTCACTTCTCAGACGGGGTGGCTGCCGGGCGGAGGGGCTCCTCACTTCTCAGACGGGGCGGCCGGGCAGAGACGCTCCTCACCTCCCAGACGGGGTCGCGGCCGGGCAGAGGCGCTCCTCACATCCCAGACGGGGCGGCGGGGCAGAGGCGCTCCCCACATCTCAGACGATGGGCGGCCGGGCAGAGATGCTCCTCACTTCCTAGACGGGATGGCGGCCGGGAAGAGGCACTCCTCACTTCCCAGACTGGGGGCAGCCGGGCAGAGGGGCTCCTCACATCCCAGACGATGGGCGGCCAGGCAGAGATGCTCCTCACTTCCCAGATGGGGTGGCAGCCGGGCAGAGGCTGCAATCTCGGCACTTTGGGAGGCCAAGGCAGGCGGCTGGGAGGTGGAGGTTGTAGCGAGCCGAGATCACGTCACTGCACTCCAGCCTGGGCAACATTGAGCACTGAGTGAACGAGACTCCATCTGCAATCCCGGCACCTCAGGAGGCCGAGGCTGGCAGATCACTCCCGATTAGGAGCTGGAGACCAGCCCGGCCAACACAGTGAAACCCCGTCTCCACCAAAAAATACGAAAACCAGTCAGGCGTGGCGGCGCACGCCTGCAATCGCAGGCACTCGGCAGGTTGAGGCAGGAGAATCAGGCAGGGAGGTTGCAGTGAGCCGAGATGGCGGCAGTGCAGTCCAGCTTCGGCTCGGCATCAGAGGGAGACCGTGGAAAGAGGGACAGGGAGACGGTGGGGAGAGGGAGACCATGGGGAGGGGGAGGGGGAGGTTTCTGTTAATGCTGCCCTTATGTCTCTCGCTTTCTTTTTCTTGTGAGTAAAAAAATACCAACAGTAGTTCGTAGATGTGCTGGCCTGGGGTTGGGGCCTCACTGCTGGGGAGGTGGTCTCATCATTCGGTGACAAACATAGCTCACGTGCAAGGGTGATGAAGGCAAAGAGATGGGGGGGACATGAGAAGGAGCTTCACAGAACCGAAAGAGAGGTCACTTCAAAATCCAAAGACCTGGGTTCCAGTTTGGTGAAATGGGGCGTGTCAATCCAGAGAGCCCCTCTTCACCAGCCCTGTGATCTTCATTGCACTTTGGCTGTCTTCTGGTTTTACCATCTGAAAGGCTGCATTCCTACAGGGTTTTGTGACAGTCAGCATGAGATAACGTATATGAAAGAAATTGTACAAAGATGTTATTAATACTGCTTGCACGTAGTTTTAGAGTTAGAGGGTTACCTCTCTTACCAAACACACGTTAAAATCTAAGTTCAACGTGGAAGGAATAAGAAGTATTAGGGTTACAAAGAATCATTTCTTATATTGTACATCTTTTCAGGAACCATCCCACTGCACCTTTTTTGCATGAAGTTAAACCTGCACCACTTGTAAACTTAGAAAAATGTGTGTTTTGATGTTTATATATATGTGATGTATTAGCAGGACAGATCAAGGGGGAGCTGGGCTCTGGTGTTTACTCCCAGGTGAAAAGGAAGGCAGATGTGTGTTCCTCCTTGAGTGTGTTTACTAAGGGCTGGGCTTGTTTCCTCGGTTGAGAGAGGAGGTGTATCAGTACAGAGAGCTTCATTTAAAATTGTAAAATGAACCTGGGAGGGCTTCTTGCATTCTTTGTAGGTATCATTCATGACTTCTGGTTCTCTGGCCTGTTCTAAATTAGAATTAAATCCGCAGTTCTTACCAGCCCCTGCATGCAGGGGATTTGACCACTCTTGAGCCTCATTTGCAAATGGGTGTGCTGATCTCACTTTTGCTTATTTCATAGGGGTTGAGGTAAGATTTACAAAAGGTATATTTTGTTTTTTTAACTTGAAAGACCAAGGCTTTATCCTTGGCCTTAAGAATGTAGCTTATAAAAGAACAAACAAACCATACAATTTCCTCTACTCTCATACACGCTTCTGACACCAAACGTGTGTGTGTCTCTTGCACGCCAAGCAGTTCTCCAGCTCTCGGAGCACACCAACTGGGTGCCTATAATTCAATTCAATTCTGACACCATCTACCTGGAGTTAGTATCAGATTCCACAGGTTAAGGGCTCGTTCCCACAAGCTGTCCCTCACTTCAGATGCCAGTCACAGTCTGGGCCTCCTGTGCTTCTGCTTGACTGGCTATAAATCGGGGGTTCCCATGACCCCCTCCTCGCGTTCATTCCTTTGTGGATCGGCTCACGGAACTCAGGGAAACAGTTTACTGATTGTCACTGGTTTATTATAAAGGATGCAACTCCGGAGTAGCCAGATGGAAGGGTGCACAGGGCAAGGCGGTGGAGGCGGCGGTGGTGCTTCCATGCCCTCTCTAGCACCCCAGCCTCCCAGCACTGCCACGCGTTCACCAACCTGGAAGTTCTCTGAGCCCCTTTCTTTCGGGTTCTATGGAGGCTTTATTACAAAGGCGAGATTGATTAACTCATCGGCCATTGATTACACTTAATCTCCCTCCCCTCTCCCTCCCTGGAGGTTGGGGGTGGGGTGGTGGGTGGGTGGGGAGTGGCTGAAGGCACCAACTCTCATTACAGATTTGTTCCTCTGGCAGCTGTGGTCCAGCCCCCATCCTCCGAGAGTCCTCTGATTAAACTTTGGTGTGGGTGAAGAGGGCTTATCATGAATGACAGAAGACACTCCTTTCACCTTTATTGCTCTGGAGCTAAGGAGCTATTTCAGGAGCAGGGGAGGAAAATGAAATATCATAACAAAAGACATTCCTATCACTCTGATCACTTAGAAATTATAAGGGGTTTAGGAGTTCTGGCTTGGATCTGGGGATGAAGACCAAAATATATATTTCCTATTACATCATAATATCACAGCGCCACTGAATGATAGGAAAAGCTCCCAGAACCAACCTTTCTACACAGCAGGTTTGTGAGCCACAGGTTCACACACGTGGTGTTTCCTGGAGTCTGTAGGTGACCTGAGGTGGGGGTTTTGTCAGTGTGGTCACATGTGTCCTGGGATAGTTGCCTTGAAGAATGGGAGCAGTGTGGACCAGGAGGAGGGGTGAAGTCTCGGGGTGGACTGGAAGTTACGTCATGCAAATCCTTCCTGTTTGGGCAGTATTTGCAACCACGTGGCTTCACGAGTCCGCCAAACCATCAGGTGAATAAACGGGAGAGGAGAAGAGAGTCTAGGACTCAGCCCTGGAGTATAAGTCAGAGCTGGAAAAGAAGAGGCTCCAGAGACTGGACGGCCACTGAGAGGTGCCACGTCCCTGAAGGGCCTGAGGAGGGTTGATGGCATGACCCCATGAAGCCCAGCAAGGAGTGGAGAGAGGAGGGCTGGAGGACTCCCGCCTGCCATGACCCAGTCCAGGGATAAGATGTGAGTGCCATGGGCCAGTCACGACCGCCGGTTAGCACAGCAGGGCACAGTGACGGCAGAAGGCTGGGAGCGGAGAGCCGGGCAGAGTGGACAGTGATGTGGGCAGGTGTGGACTGCACCAGGTGGTCAGGGATCCAGAGCTACGAAAAGAAGGGCATAACACGGCGGCAGCTCGCAGTCCAGCTGCTTGAACCCAGAATATCTCTTGGCCTGTCCCTTTCCCTCTTTTTCGTCTGTCCCTACCTCCTTTCCAGGCGGGGAAGGAATCGTTTCTCTCCTAGTCTTCCTGCCGTCAGGTTTTTTTCTTGCCAGTCTTTACATTGTTACGGTGATGCTTTTTCTAAATCTTGGATCAAAGTGTCATTTTGTTCCAGAATCCGATGGCTTCACACAGCAGAGCCCGCATCTCCTGGCACGGTTTCGCACTCTCCATTCTTCCCTAGTGCACATTCTGTGTTCTGGGTGCAGCTCCCTCTTCCAGTCTGGTGGTTTTAAGCTTCCATGCTTCTGCATGGACCTCTCGTTGTACCCTGTCCACCTTGTCGTCTGACATCTGAGGGTGTCCCTGTCCTCCAAGCCCGCCTCCAGCGCCAGCTCCTCTGATGCACCTTCTTTCCTTGATCATAACTCCCTTAGTGTTTACTTAAAACAAATTCGGTGACACTGACATATATTTTAGTGTGTGTGTGTGTGTGTGTGTGTATATATATATATATATATTTGGAGATAGGGTCTTTTGTCCAGCCAGAGCAAGATCCTATCTTCAAATGTGTGTGTGTGTGTGTGTGTGTGTATATATATATATATATATATATATACACACACACACACACAACGACTAAAATATATGTAAGTGTTGCTGACATGCATTTATATATGTCATATATATGGTCTTGCGCTCCGTGGCTGGAGTGCAGTGGCACGATCTCAGCTCACTGCAGCCTCCACCTCCTGGGTTCAAGTGATCTTCCCACCTCAGCCTCCCAAGTAGCTGGGACTACAGGTATGTACCACCACGCACAGCTAATTTTTGTGTTTTTAGTAGAGATGGGATTATGCCGTGTTGTTCAGGCTGATCTCGAACTCCTGGGCTCAAGCCATGCACCTGTCTCATTCTCCCAAAGTGCTGGGATTATAGGCATGAGCTACTATGCCCCGCTAGTTCCTTGTATATTACCTGTGTTTCCTTCACGAGCCTGTGAGTCTCTCCAGGGGACAGGACTTTCTTCTTTATCTCTGGTGTGGCCCCAGGCCCTGTAGAGGAGAGATGGCCTGAATGTTTGCTAAGTGGATTGCAGTTGACAGCTGGCCAGCAGCCCAGAGCGCTGGTGTTCCCTGGAGCAGTGGAGAGAAGTCAGACAGGCAGGCAAAGGCCACATGGAAATTGTCACAAACAAAAATCATTCATTTCCCTTCTCCAGTAAAAGCAGTCATTTGTTTTTCAACTAATATCAAGTAGCTACTATGATTGGCACGATGGGGGATCCTACGCTGTATGAAATAGTCTCTTTCCTCTACAGTCTTGAGATTTAGTGTGCAAAACCTGTCCATCATGACAGAAGAAGGGGCAGGTGGCAGTGGTCCTAAGGACAATATAAAAAAGCTTCATGGGACTGCAGAGGAGACAGGGCCTGGGGACAACTGAGATTAGACATCATGGGGTCAAGGCTCTCTGTGCTGGACTCTGGGAGAGTGGAGACTGGTGGGCTTGCTGTGGGAGTTGGGGTGATAGGCCGTGATGGGCCATGATGGGCTGTGATGGATCCTGATGGGCCGTGATGGGCTGTGATGGACCCTGGTGGGCTCTGATGGTCCATGATGGGCCATGGTGGACACTGATGGGCCGTAATGGGCCATGATGGACCGTGATGGGCCGTAACGGGCCGTGATGGACCCTGATGGGCTGTGATGGTCCGTGATGGGCCATGATGGACACTGATGGGCCATGATGGGCCCTGATGGACCCTGATGGACCCTGATGGGCCGTGATGGACCCTGATGGGCTGTGATGGGCCGTGATGGACCCTGATGGGCCATGATGGACACTGATGGGCCGTGATGGGCCCTGATGGGCCCTGATGGACCCTGATGGGCTATGGGGGTGGATAGAACACATTCCGGAAATGAGAGGAGCTGAAAGTTGAGTGTGTAATCCACGTTTTTGAAATGGTGAGGAGTTCATTTTGATTGGCTCTTCCTTGGATTAATTGTGTGTCTGTGTGTGTTTTTTTTTGTCTGTTTTCCAGGTGCAGACCATGAATTACGTGGGGCAGTTAGCCGGCCAGGTGTTTGTCACCGTGAAGGAGCTCTACAAGGGGCTGAATCCCGCCACACTCTCAGGGTGCATTGACATCATTGTCATCCGCCAGCCCAATGGAAACCTCCAATGCTCCCCTTTCCACGTCCGCTTTGGGAAGATGGGGGTCCTGCGCTCCCGAGAGAAAGTGGTGAGCTCTCAGGGCACGGGGACCTGGCACCGGCTCTCCTTAGAGAATGCCCTTGTACTCTGGTGATGCCACCTGTCTTGAACTCTCAGACCCAGAGTTTTAGGTCTTCGTTGGAAATGGCCAGTCACGGAACTGACAGTGACTAATTGAAATTATTCTAGTTAGTATGGCTGTGTAAATTAAAGTGCCGTGGCACACACCACTGTTTATTAAGCTCCTGTATCTGTGGGTCAGGAATTTAGGCAGAGCACAGTGGGGTGGTTTGTCTCTGCTCTCTGGGGCCTCAGCTGGAAAGCTCAAAGGCTGAGGGCTGGAATCATCTGAACACTCACGTTCTTTGTGACTGGTGGTTGATTCTGGCTCTTGGCTGGGCTCTTCGCTGAGGCTTTGGTCATACCAACTACCCATGGCCTCTCCACGTGGCCAGGGCACCCCACAACACAGTGGCAGTGGTGAGGTGAGCATCTTGAGAGGGAGGAAGACAGGCAGATGCTGGAGCTTATGGCCTAGCCTTGCAAGCCACATGGCGTCACGTCTGCTGTGCTCTACTGGTTGGGGCCATCACAAGCTGCCTGGGCTCAAGGGGAGGAGAAATAGGCTTTTCTTGGTGGTGTCAATGGAAGAAGGATAAAGTTCATAAATTTGGAGAGGAGAACTAGGTTGCTGCCTGCAGGGTGGCCAATTCTGACAGGCTGGGAAGTGTAGCCTCCTGCCAGAAGCAGAAACAGACACTTTGAGGAAGGGGCAAAGAGACCAGGGATTTGTGCTGTCTGGGGTCACAGAATCTACATATTTAATAAGCCACAGGAGAGGTCGTGAGTGTTCAGGAGAGGAAAACATGCACACGTGCAACTGAGCTTCTGCCTGTCCATGGGACCCATGTTCAAAACGTGATGGCACTAGCACCAGCCAAGGGTGGAGTTTTCTGGTGTCTAACATCAAAGGGTGGAGCAGAGGAAGGGAAAACCCTCAGGGCACATTCTCCCTAGGTGGGCCAGGACCAGTTCCTGGGCTCTTATCAGGCAAAAAACAAACACAAACAAACAAACAAACAAACAAACAAAAACGCAGAGCAGCTTCTTTTGTTGATACCAGTGCACAGTCTTTTGAAAGGGCTGGTTTCTGTTTGGCCCTTAGGGAGGAAAGCGTAATGGTGGTTACTGAGGTGGGGTATGAGGAAGCCTGTCCTATCTCCCATTCCATCATGGCCTGGAACTCAGTTCTTAAGGTTTCTCTGGCATCTCCTTGTCCCAGAGGGGGTCCGTTCAGTCAGTTGCGAGCTTAGAATTTTATTTCTAGTTTATTTTCAGGAGTGGCGAAGGTTCTGGAAGAGCAGGTAGGACCAGGATATTGATGTGGCTAGTTTTAGAAGACAATCTGCCACACAAATGGAAAGAAACAAATCCTTGCAAATAGACATTTCATGCCCCCACCTAATGTGGATTTTGGGATGATGTCTCCTGATTGGTCCTTTGAGTTAAGTTCAAGAGGAAACTCTTCCTTGAGTATGTGTGAAGGATCCCAGCCAATAGTTGATGAGTTTTCCAGGGTGTAATTTCTAATGTCTGGGGCTGGGGAAGCTTTGATTGCAGCTTGAACTCTCACCAGCCATGTGACCCTGGGCTGGTTACTCCTCTTGTCTGGCCTCAGCTCCTCAGCCAAAAAAGGAGGAGCTAGACCAGGTGGTCTCGGAGGAATCTTTCTATTAGCTTGCTGCAAAAATAATTGCAGTTTTTGCCATTATTTTTAATAATTATAATAATGGCCAAAACTGCAGTTATTTTTGCACCAACGTACTGTTTTGGGTTCCATCTTTCCTGGTCAGGGACCTGCCCTCCCGAACCCAGAACTCCTCCAGTCCTCAAGTGACAGTTCCCTTGGATGGGACGGCCTGACTGAGACTGGGAGTTGTGTGGCACTTCAGGGTGTATGCGATGATAGCGTATCTGTGGAGACTTGGCCGTCCCCATGAGGTCTCCTGTCCTGGTGAAGGCAGTTCATTCTTTTCTTAACCATGTTTTCCCTTCAGGTTGACATAGAAATCAATGGGGAATCTGTGGATTTGCATATGAAATTGGGAGATAATGGAGAAGCATTTTTTGTTCAAGAAACAGATAATGATCAGGTAAGGAAGCCTGGGTGGTCAGGGTTACTTCCTAGTTTTGAGCTTTGAGTAATGGTTATCTGGAAACACGGCAGAAGTTTGTGCAAAGTAATACCGGCCGTGGCTGTGTGGACGATGGGGCAGAGAAAAGTGGGCGTTGATCTGTGTGGGGGATTTGAGCCAGACGGCCTAGGGGTGTGCTGAGTCCACACAGACTCAGCTCTCCTGGCTGGCTTCAGTTTGCTGACTGCTTCCCAGGAGACAGAGGGATGGACTTCACACATGGGCCTGGACCACTGTCAGAGGTGTATAGATTACATCGGTGTGTCAAATCTCAAATGCCCAATGTTCTTTTATTTAGTGAGTGGCTGAATTACTTTAAAAAATATTTTAAAAGCTTTATTGAGATATACATCACATATACACAATTTACCCATTTCAAGTGTACACGTAGTGGTTTTAGTATATTTACAGATAGGTGCAACTATCACCACAGTCAAATTTAGAACCTTTTCATCAACCCCAAAAGAAACACCATACCCTTTAGGTATCGCCTCCCCTATACTCCACCTTCCAACTGCTGAGCCCTAAGTTACCACTAACCTTCCTATCTCTATAGATTTCCTTATTCTGAACTTTTGAATGGAATTACAGTATCTGGTCTTTTGTGCCTGTTTTTTTTTGACTAATGTTTCAAGGTTCATCCAGGTTTTAGTATGTATCAATATTTTATTCCTTTTTATGGCCGAATAGTATTCCATTGTATCTATAGACCATGTCCATTCATCTGTTCTATTCATCATTACAAACAACTTGGGGCTGGGCATGGTGGCTCACGCCTGTAATCCCAGCACTTTGGGAGGTCGAGGTGGGCGGATCACGAGGTCAGGAGATAGAGACCATCCTGGCTAAGACGGTGAAACCCCATCCCTACTAAAAATACAAAAAATTAGCTGGGCGTGGTGGCGGGTGCCTGTAGTCCCAGCTACTCCGGAGACTGAGGCAGGAGAATGGCGTGAACCCGGGAGGCGGAGCTTGCAGTGAGCCGAGATCGCGCCACTGCACTCCAGCCTGGGTGTCAGAGCGAGGCTCTGTCTCAAAAAACAAAAAAAAAGAAACCAAAAAAACCCAAAAAAAACCAACTTGGGTTGTTTCCACCTTGTAGCCGTTGTAAACAACATGGCTGTGAACATTTGTATACAAGTTTTTGTGTGGACACGTGTGTTTGATTTTTCTTGGTTACATACCTAGGAATGGCATTGCTGGGCCATGTGGTAACTTTACATTTAACATTTGAGGAACTGCCAGACTGTGTTACAAAGCAGCTGTTCCATTTTATATTCCTGCCAGCAGTGCACAAAGAGTTGTGATTTGTCTACATCTTTGCCAATACTTTTCTGATTTTGTGATTCTAGTCATTCTAGTGGGTGTGAAGTGGTATCTCTTTATGGTTATGATTTGCATTTTCCTAATAACCAGCGGTATCTGACATCTTTTTATGTGCTTATTGGCCATTTCTGAATCTTTGGAGAAATGTCTATTCAGATCCTTTGCTAGTTTGTGTGTGTGTGTGTATGTGTGTGTTGTTTTTCTTTTTTACTGCTGCCTTGTATGCCTTCATTATATATTCTAGATACAAGTCCCTTATCGGGTATATGATTTGTAAATATTTTCTCCCATTGGGTGGGTTCTCTTTTCACTTTCTTGATGGTGTTCTTTGCAGCACAATAGTTTTTAGTTTTAATGAAGTCTAATTTTTTTTTTTAAAGTTTGTGTTTACCTTTTTAATGTATTCTGTTTTTTCTTTTGTTGTGCATGCTTTTGGTGTCATATGCATAAAGAGTCCTTTGCCAAATCCAAGGTCATGATTTATGGTTATGTTTTCTACTAAGACAGACCACTTCCTTAACTCTTTTGTTCACAGATGAAGCACCTTAAAGGGGTCTGATGTAGGGATTCCTGAATGAAATCGACTTGAACTAGTTCCTTTCCAGGAAGACAGCTATGATTAAAAAGGAACGGTTCTTTATAGCTCCAGGTTTTAAAGCAAGTGTCCATAATTGCAGCTTCGGGACAGAACAGTCCCAGGCACAGCCTCCATCCTGCCCGCCCAGAATGGTGGTGCCTGGGGAGGACCCAGCATCTCCCCTTCCATGTTCTGGAGCAACCCTGTTGATACTGGGGATCCCTGCATACCTGCTCTTCACTTCTCTTAGATGGGAAGACTCCAAAAATACTAATTGGTTCCTAATGGCCTTTGACAGAAACTCTTTGCACTGCATGTGGACACCTGCATTTTTAATTTCTATTTGTACCTGGCTTTAGATAGATTTTTGGCCATCGGAGCTGAGGAAGCATTTTGGGCCAGCGTGCAGCGGGACCTGTATGGGGGCTGCTTGCTGGTCTTGCTGGCCTGACAGGGTGCCTGTGGGTGGGGTGGGGCCTTGGAGGCCAGAGTATGTTCAGCTCCATACAGATGCCTCTTAGGACCCCTGGGATGCTGCTGGAAGCTGGAGAGCCCGTGTCCTTCAGCACTGCTTGGTACTGCATGTGCCTGTGGGGGTCTGCCTGGCTGCCCATTCCCTTCCAGCCCACGGACAGCAAAGGGCCCTTCTCTGCTCTTGATCTGAGAATCTGTGCTGCTTCTCTAGTTGCTCCAGTCCAGCAGCCGGGTGAGATGACCTCTCACTCCCTTCCAGCCTCAGCTGTGTGTCTCAGGTGTAGACATTCTATTTCAGCATGTCTGATGCTCTCCAAACCTATTTGAATGATCAGCAGCACACGTTTATTTATCCCCTCTGTTTTATGTATATTCTTATTGTCAACGAGTTTCTCATACAAAATGAGGCATTCATTAATAAAATGATTACTAGAGTTTTATAAAAACTGCTGAATCATTACAAACAACTACTAAATGGACAGGTTGTGTTTTTTCCTTTTGTCTTTAAGGAGAGGATCAGTATCTACTTCCTCGATGTTCAGGGCCCTCCTTGGGCCCTGGTGCAGGCAGGTTCTTGGGCGGGGCTATCGGTTGTTTTACGTGTTTTTGGTTTTTAGATGGTTATTATCTTAATTCATTGCATATAAAAAATACACAATACACATTCTCTGTCTTTCTCTCACACCCACCCATGCACACCCACATCTACACAGAAGTGCAAGAGTGCATCCAATTCCCAGCATAATATGGTGAGTCAAAGCCCATTTTTTTCCTCTGTGCTCTGGGTATTACAGCCAAAGTTGAATTTTGGGGGCTTGAGATCACTGAGAATTACCTCCCATTGTTAAAATTACATAAATGCAGGATTGAGTACAAAGTGGCATTCAATACATTGTTGGCTTTCTGATCTTCTACCAGATTGGGCAGCCACATCTCCAGGTCACCATGGCTGTGGCCTCTAGCTGGGCCATCTGCTGTGGCCCTCCCCAGGAGGTGCTTGGCCTCTGAAGTGAATCCTGGAGGCCTCTGGCAAGGCCCTGCTTCTTATACCTGAATTAACGAGGCTCTTTTTAGAAAATGTGTTCTTTTCTTAGGAAGTTATCCCTATGCACCTGGCCACCTCCCCCATCCTGTCAGAAGGAGCTTCGAGAATGGAATGCCAGCTGAAAAGGGGCTCTGTGGACAGGATGAGAGGCCTGGACCCCAGCACGCCAGCCCAAGTGATCGCTCCCAGCGAGACGCCGTCAAGCAGCTCTGTAGTAAAGAAGAGAAGAAAAAGGAGGAGAAAGTCACAGCTGGACAGCCTGAAGAGAGATGACAACATGAACACATCTGAGGATGAGGACATGTTCCCCATCGAGATGAGCTCGGATGAGGCCATGGAGCTGCTGGAGAGCAGCAGGTAATAACTGTCCAGGGTGGAGGGGCTGTGCCAGAATCAGACAGTTAACTGTTCAAGATTATTTTTATGAACTTTTCCCCCATAATTCCTTATTCTTTTATGTGTTTTAGACCAGTGGTCCCCAACCTTTTTGGCACTAGGGACCAGTTTTGTGGAAGACAGTGTTTCCATGGACCAGGGGTGGATGGTTTTAGGAGGACTCAAGCATATTACATTTATTGTGCTCTTTATTTCCATTACTATTACATTGTAATATATAATGAAATACTTATACAACTCGCCATCATGTAGAATCAGTGGGAGCCCTGAGCTTGTTTTCCTGCAACTAGACGGTCCCATCTTGGGGGTGATGGGTGACAGATCATCAGGCATTAGATTCTCACAAGGAGTGCGCAGCCCAGATCCCTCACATGTGCAGTTCACAACAGGGTTCGTGCTCCTGTGAGAATCTGATGCTGCCACTCATCTGGCAGGAGGAGGAGCTTAGGTGGTAATGTGAGGGATGGGGAGCGACTGCAAACACAGATGAAGCTTTGCCAGCTTGCCCGCCGCTCACCTCCTGCCATGTGGCCCAGTTTCTAACAGGGGCATGGACCCCAGGGGTTGGGGACCCCTATTTTAGGCTGAATTTTGGAATCATGTGGACCCAATCCTAGAGTGGTATAAAGATTTGCTGTGCTGTAGCCAAGAGACAGTTGGTGATGCCAAACCTCCTTGGCTGATCGCTTTAGCAGCCTGGAATGGAGTCAAGAAACAGGAACTGAGCAAATTAATAGTTCATGACCAAACCCATTTTCTTGGAACCTATTTATTCTTATTTGAGCACCAACGATGCACAACTGGGCTGATTTATAGGCAAGGGCTGATTTCAGGCTTAAAAGTGAATGAAGAAAATGCTGTTTTCTCTATAAGCCAACTTTTTCCTTTTTAATTTTGACTTAGGTCCAAAGTTTAATGGAAATTTTGTTTCCTTTTTCTTTGCTTTTAACAGTGTGGTGAAATTCTGTTTGTATGTATTACTATTTTGGTGAAAAATGCCAGTTTTAAAAGATAAAATTCATTTTGAAGGATATTTGATGTTTCAGATTTTTACATAATTCGGTATAATTTTTGATAATTTTGTTAACATAAAGAAGGGATAAGGGGAATCAGGAGTATCTTCCTGTGTCATTATTTGGAATAAAATATATCTTTTTTCGTGGTGAAAAATAAATGTCAACTGGCAACGAATATTGCTTTTCCCAACTACAGCCTCTATCTAACCTGTGACAGGCTTAGAACCAGCGTCATTGGGCTTCTTATAATTGCCTTCTCTGCATGGCTGTTAAGTACAAAATTTAGTGGTAGGTGTTCCAGGTAACATCAACATATAGACAGATGGCCTCTGCATGATTGAAATTGTGAATTGTATTTAGTAGTGAGTGTGCTTATACCTGAAACGAGGTCATTTGCAGTTATTCTGTAATCGTAAGGCATGTTTGGTTGATGCCATTTATTTCTTCTGCTAGACAAAATGTGATCAGCGTATGGTCATTGAGTTATTCAGCAGTTCTGCCTGTACCTGGCAGGGGTTTTATACCGCCCTGGGGCCGGTTTGGGGCCACTCTACCTCCCAGGCTTTTGGAACATGACCGTGTAGGGTAGCAGGAGGTGGCACGATGGGAGGATCCAGCAGTGTGATCACTGCATGTGTGTCTGAGTCCAAATGCTGAAACAAAATCATTTTACAATTAGAATTCGGCCAAAGCATTAGCACATAGACACGTTTATGGATGCCGGTATCTCACTTTTTCCCCCTCCACTGCCTGGAACAGATCTGGGTGTTTAAAGAGATCATGTTAATTACAAAGCACTTAGAGCTAATCAAGAAAAAATTGGAACTTGATTATGAATCTATCATTAAGAATTCTTTGACTTTAATCTTTTTTTTTTTCCTCCAGAACTCTTCCTAATGATATACCTCCATTCCAAGATGATATTCCTGAGGAAAACCTCTCCCTGGCTGTGATTTACCCTCAGTCAGCCTCATACCCTAATTCGGATAGAGAGTGGTCACCCACTCCCAGGTAAGCTGTTCCCTGTTCCCCTGGCCCAGTGCAGAGGCTTAGAAGTCAGTGATAGGAAGCAATTCTAAGAAAAGAATGAAATAGAAATGAAAAGTGAAAATAATTAGGACCAGGAAAAACACGGTGTAGAGTCGGAGGTACAGATTAGGATCAAACACAGAACATGTTCAGATCATACACTTATATCTGGTGTCAGAATCCATCTGCAGATATGGCTGTTAGCTCCCTGGAGGTGAACTTGAAAGGAAAAACATGTAAATTACATCATGCTAATTGTTAATAGGAGAAAACACAGTGGCAGAGCCTTTCTTGATACTTAGCCCTAAGTAAAATTCAAAAACAGACGTTGCTTCAGGAGCTGCTGAGGTCGTTCAGGGCTATTAGAATGGTGCCTCCGCCACACTTAATCCATTCTGCCGAATTCAAGAATATTTATTTCCCTGAAATGAACTCACAAGTTGCCCTAGAGGAAAACTTGGAGAACTAGAGCTGCTCACTGTGCAGATGCCATCCTGATGACCCCAGAGATGTTTACATCAGTGAAACCTCTGGGAATAGTGAGCCCCCTGGCTAGTTTTCAAAGGACTTGGGGAAGAGGGTAGAGCTAAATCCTGTGTTCTCAACACAGGAAATAATATAACCCCCATTGGGATGAAAATTCATTCTTGGGTGGTGACAAAATCTTAGACGTTATAATGGTTTGTGGTCTCTAAGGGGCCACAGCATTAAAATCTCATGGTGGGTGGAGTTGGGCTATTAATTTCTCAGAATGCTCAGGGGCATGTTGATAATGAAAAAGAGACTGAGAAACGCTGATCTAAATGCCAGTGACATCCTTGGGTTATTCGTATACCTCATGCTTTAGATTCGCTTCTGGTTCATGGTGCCAGCCCTTAGAAACTCTGGGTTCCTACCTGAAGCCGGTCTTATCAAAACGCCACCCCTGGTTCCAGTTTGATCAGGGTAACCTTGTGAATTAGCAAGCAGCAGTCCCCAGTGTGTGCTGACATGGAGGTTGGAGAGAAAATAGATATGTCCCATGCCTGGTTTCCAGCCAATACTGATGTCGCGGGTTAGTCCAGCAGGCTGAGGCTGAGGCCTGTGACAAAGTCCCTGCATGGAGGTCTTCCTGCGTCAGAGCCTAGCCCTGTTCAATAGAAACGTAATAACTAGCTCCATATGTAATTTTAAGATTTCCAGTAGCCCTATTTTTAAAAAGTAAAAAAAAAAAAAAAAGATGAAATTAATTTTAAAGCTATATTTCATTTGACCACAGTATTTCCAAAATATCATTTCAACAAGCAATCAATTTTAAAGAATTATTAATGAGATACATCACATTTCTGTTTACATACCAAGTCTTTATAAACTCCATTATGTATTTCACATGCGCAGAACATCCCAATTTGGACAAGCCACGTTTCAAGTGCTCAGGAGCCACCTGTAGCTGGTGGTTTATTATATTGGACAGTGCAGATATAAGACCTTTCTAGATTCTCATTCTTTCTCTAGGTCTGTGGAGATAAAATAGTGGAGGGAAAAATAGTGGTTTAGGAGGAAAATAATGTAGAATATTTAGAACCCAATAATAGATGAAAAAATCTGTTCAAGCACTGTATGTTAATTTTAAGGATTTAAAAGAAACACTTTAAACACAACTCTGAGCGTGTTTAATGCTCAAAACATCTGTAATGTTTTGCCTCATGAATGCAGCATAATGACTGAGTCAGGTTATGTAGCTCTGACTATCACCAAATGGAATGACAAATTAGGATAAATAGCTACATTTCCACATTTGGAATTAGGTATTTTCTGTAAAGAGACAATTGACAGCACACACGAGCACATTTTTGGATTATGTAGTTTGATTAAGCACGAAAGTGTGACCAGAGATGATCAGTTCTACACATGGGTGAAACAGAAAGTGAAATAGGTCATTTGGCAGTTTCCTGCTTTTGTGTCTCAGAAAATTCATGCTGATTTCTTAGCAATTTCAATATCCGGTGCTCTGCCATTATCAGATGTCTGAGTTTCTTTATTTTCTTAAAAATGTCGTTGTTGAGAGTAGTCAAATACTTTACGTAATATATATAATCTTTATATAAAGTATATATACTTTGTAATTATATATAATCTTATATATAATCTTTATATAAAGTATATTATATATACTTTATATAATCTTATATATAGTCTTTAAAGTATATTATATATACTTTATATAATCTTATATATAATCTTTATATAAAGTATATTACATATACTTTATATAATCTCACTTGATGTAATTGACCTCTGATTTTGTCTTTCTTTTAATGTGTATCACGTGGTGGTATCCAGTAGCCTGGTAGATTGCAAAAGGACTGCCCCTCATCTTGCAGTTGCGGCCGAGGGAGGTCTGTCTAGTTCTTGCCCTCCACAGTCTTCCCTGTTCCATCCTTCGGAAAGGTAGAGGAGTTATTTTCCCCATTGGGATATATTCAATAATGAAAAATTTGATCTAACTCTTACTATAAGTCTATTTTACCATTAACCAAATTACTTATGAAGAAAATACCTGTAGATTATATGAAGTGAAAATTTTGATTTAACTTTTACAAATCGATTTCACTAACCAAATTACTTATGAAAAATATGTATATAGATTACTCTTTTCCTTTCGTTATAAGCATTTGTAGATGATCAGATTTTTTTTTTTTTTTAATTCCTAAATTTGACTCTCTGGAAATTATGGTTAAGCATATAATTTTACCTAATTCTGTGAAGTGCTTTGAAAATGAGAATAATGAAATATAGCTTGGGAATATGATCTTCTGTTTTCTGTCTCGGGTTGTTTGACAAATAAGTTTACAAGATATTTTTGGAATACCACTTTAATTTATTATAAACATTTAAGTAGTTTATTGGGCTGTCTGAATAATGGAGTCAGACACTTTCCACAGCATTTCTAGAACAGAATCTTGGAGAATGGCCTGGGCTGGGTCTCAGGCTGAGGATCAAAGGTTGGTGTGTTCACTCGATGTAGTCATCTCAGATTTCTGCCTTCATTCCCTCAGTTTTGACCTACCTACTTTGTGGACT
Source organism: Homo sapiens (assembly GCF_000001405.40). Lineage (NCBI taxonomy): Eukaryota > Metazoa > Chordata > Mammalia > Primates > Hominidae > Homo > Homo sapiens. The sequence goes on from NC_000002.12 coordinate 11,776,827, forward strand.
TACATGGTTTACTTTGTAAGCCTTAGCAAATGAAGCTACGATTAATTTGTACGTGGAAAACCTTTTGTCTTTTTGATTAAAGATCCAGACCTCAGGATGTACTTCATTCAGAGGCTACATTTGCAGAAGAAAAGTCCGTTTAAAATGAGGAAAACAAAGTTGTTAATAGTTAAAACTAACTAGCCTTATTGGGACTGGCAAAAATACTGAAAACTTTGATAAGGCTAATAAATACCTTGTTTATGAACATCAGTCATTGACCTTGTAAGCTTACTTTTTTGAACAACCCTTGATCTTAAAATAATAATATTTCATGACGGAGCACTTTGGAGTCATCTTTCTGGTAAATCCCACTTGGCAGTGGGCCCCATTCCTGCGTCCTTTTTGGTCTGTCTGAATTCCCTCAGTGACGGTCGGCAGAAAGCGCATCTGTGTTTGTGCACGAGACCTTTGGAGAAGGGTTGCTGTGGCCTGAACGGGCAGCATTTATGGTGGTGGCCTGTTTGCTGTTGGGGAGGGACTTGCAGCAGACTTTCTCGTAGGGCTGGGCTCCTTATGCGTGAGTTGCACGCCTGAGTGCCTCTATGGGTTTTGTGGCTCGTGGCTTTTATGAAGGGACCAGAATGTTAGGAACTCTGGAGTTGGGAATTGCTGCAGGAGAACCGTGTTCCGCATTTCGTTCTTCTAGAGCAGAGGTTGGTAAAGCACGGCCCATGGGTCAAATCTGGTCCACCATCTGCCTCTGTCAGACTTTCCCGGGCATAGGCAGTTGGTTTACATACTGGCTGTGGCTGCTTTCACACCACCACAGCAGCGAGTGGTTGCGACAGACGTCGTAAAACCCGTAAAGCCCGAGATATCTGCCACTGGGCTCTTTACAGAAAATGTTTGCCGACCCCTGTTCGGAGCAAGCTTTGTCTAAAGGACTTTATTTCATTTAGTGACAGTGAGATAATTTATTGCTGCAAAGAACTTATAGCCAAATATGTTCTATTTTGTCTGGTGAAACAGAATGGCAAGAGCTTTTTAGATACTTTGAGGTTTGGGAACAGCACCGTTGAGGGTGAGAAGTTGGTTTTGATGGACTTATTCCATGATGATGCTGGAGAAAGAGTGGATTGCGGTCACACTTGTAGGTACTGAGGCCCCTCGCTGGAGGCCACAGCCTGCGCTTTTCCCATTGCAGTGATACCGAACACGTGACTGTAGACGCTTCAGTGCCACCAAAGCGTTGTCTCTTTGGAGAAGTCCAGTTGTGGAACTGGAAGAGCAAGGAGGTTGAAAGGCCAGGAGCCTTTCCCACATGGACGTGGGGGGGCCCACGTGCCTTCTTATAGGACTGCTCCCTAAAGGGCAGAAATGTGTGTCTGTTGGGAGCAGGGTGTCCCATTGCAGAAGCTCTCCTAATGTGATGTCAGGAGCCTCCTCTCCCCAGGCAGGCGAAAGAGAGCGTGCAGGCTGCCCCGTGGCAGCACGTCATTAGAAGGGCTGGGAGTCATGGGCACCAAGGGAGCAGGGACCACCCTCTGCCCCTTGGTGTGAGATGAGAGAGATGGCACTTGGTCTGGCTGCTCTATGCAGCTTGATCAAAGAGATTCAGGATCAGTTTAGCCCACAAGGTCCCTGTTTGTTGGATACAAGTTATGTATCATCATGAACTCACCTTGTATTGACAGGAAAGTTATATTCAATTGGAGTTGAACTCTAGGTAAATGAGACCAGAAGCATCAGTTTCCGAAGAATAGATAAGGTCTGGGAAAGAAGACGGCAAGGGAAACTGAAAGCTTTATTTCCTGCTTTGTCTGAAAAACCCTGCCGCCTTCCTCTAGAGGAAATGATGTGGGAAAATAAGCAATAATTAACCATGTTATTATGCGGCAATAAATAATTACAAGAATTGCTGCTGTAAATAATATTTCTCTAAGTTGTTTAGAATATGGTGAGGATCTTGTGGATAAGTTAATGACTTTTGGATGGTTACTTTGGCTGGGCAGAAGTAAGACCTTGTTTGGGTCTTCAGAGTAAAAATTCAGGAAACATGGAGGTGGTTACTGAGCGAGCCTTAACCAGTTGGTGAGTCCCTTGTGAAGTATTCCTGGAAGACATAAGATCTTAGAAAATTTCAACTTGTAGGCTCCTGCCCAACGTTATCGAGTTTATTTGTGGCATCCAGCATCTTTGGTAAAATTGGCACATCATATAATTTCCCTGTTTCCCAGGCCAGTGCAGATGATAAATATTTAAAATATGGACTCTAATGAGTGCCTGCCCGAGCCAACCAAGACCCTTTTGCAGCCCTCTGACAGCAGAGGAACTTGATTTGGAAACAGATTGCAGGAGATGCGAGTGCAGAGTGGGGTGGGGAAGGGTGGTCTTTTTGAGGTAAGAACAGACTATTTTTCCCTTTCTCTTTCCATCTCTTTCTTTTGTATTCTGGGCCACTTCTTTTTCTCCTCTCCCCCGCGGTGCACCAGGCGGCAGGGTGGGGCGGGCGACCCACGTGGAGCGCCTTCCATGGGAGGCGCTTCCCTGCCCCCTGGTGGCCGGAGGAGGGATTTGTCATGAGGCTCCGCTCAGAGCGAACGACAGCTGGGGGTGCATTTTCTGGGCTATTTGAGCCATGGAGCTGGGCCCAAAACATTTACAAAAGTTTCTTTTCCCACCTTAATTTTCGCTTTGTGTTTTCCTTAAGTCCTTCCGGTTCCCGACCTTCAACACCTAAAAGTGATTCAGAATTGGTCAGCAAGTCCACGGAAAGGACAGGGCAGAAGAACCCAGAAATGCTTTGGCTGTGGGGAGAGCTGCCGCAGGCTGCTAAGGTGAGAGTCTCTTCAATTCTGCCACGGACCGAAGATTTCTAACTCAGCTTAAATTACATGGAATTAGTATCATAGCATAGCCAAGAAACACAGCTACCAGGAGCCAGAGGTAAACCAAAATATATTAAGGGTTAGCCTTGAATGTTGGAATTACTTTCTTCCACGTTACCAACATTATAGAGAGGTCTCATTGCTTTTGTAGATTTTAAACCTATGGGATTCCTCTTAGGATTTACTTTTTTTTTTTTTTCTTGAGACAGAGTCTCACTCTGTCACCCGGGCTGGAGGGCAATGGCTCTATCTTGGCTCACTGCAACCTCTGCCTCCCAGGTTCAAGCGATTCTCCTGCTTCAGCCTCCCGAGTAGCTGGGATTACAGGCGCATGCCACCACGCCCCACTAATTTTTGTATTTTTAGTAGAGACGGGGTTTCACCGTGTTGGCCAGGCTGGTCTTGAACTGCTGACCTCAAGTGACCCGCCTGCCTCTGCCTCCCAAAGTGCTGGGATTATAAGCGTGAGCTGCCGTGCCCAGCCAGGATCTACATTTTCTATCACAGCTAAATGCAAATTAAATTAAAGAAATACAACTTACACACAATCTTGCTGTCTTGAAACTGTAAACAAAAATAGCTTCCAGCTCTTGAGTCTGCTAGGTCATTGATGAGTGGAGCAAAGCCACAGGGAGAGAGTTGTGGACTCTTGGCCCATTGAAAAAGAAGCTGAGTTGTAAGAGCTGGAATCCACATGTTCTTGTGTCCCTCACACAGAGAGACATCTGGGAGAGCCCTGGGAGAGGGAAAGGCTAATAGAACAGAAATGAAAGATTTCAGCCTAATAGATAAACAAAGTCAGAAAACCTTAAGGTTTTGATTCATCAAGTAGTAAGTATTTCTGGGCCCTCATTGTTGGTGGGACCCTGAATTTGACCCTATGGAGATCTCCAAAATAAATAGAGAAGCAGCTGAGGGTAGCGGAGAGAATGAGGGCCTGGGAGGCAGCAGGTTATTCTGGGTTTGAGTCCTCACTGCACCGCTTGCTAAAAAGGTGACCTTGGGCAAATGAGTAGACTTCCCTGAACCTCAGTGTCTTCATCTGTAAAACTGTGAGAAAATGACAGAATTGTTGTGAGGTTAGAAGGGCTAATGTAGGTATGTGAAGTATCTGGCACCTGTAGGCCCTCTGAATATTTGCATTCTTTCTCCTTGGCTGTGGTACATGCACGCTGAGCCCCAGTTTCCCTATCTTGGATATGCAGTGGGTTTACATGTAGGTACATAACTGGTTCAGCAAATATGTTTCTAAAAACATGAAATGAACACAATCTTTTCTTTCAAGAAATTTTATTTGGTATGCTAATGTATTATAAGCATCTTGAATTATGTTATTATATCACAAGCTTTAAAAAATATTGTAAGGTCCTTAGAAGATGCTATAGCCTCTTGCATCCCCAATAAATGTTTGTAATATGAATGAATGAGTGAGTGAGTGAGTGAATGACTATTGAAAACATCCCTTATAAAGAGTCAAGATGGGCAGCTTTTTGGAGAGTAGTCTGTTGAGGCCAAAGTTGTGGATCCATTTCCTCTCTAGGTTATATTTAGATTTCATAGAAAATGCTGATTTACCTGTCCACAGCTATGGTGCTGACCCAGCCAACTCTCTTTGCAAGTTTATGTCGTTAGTTGCTGGAGAAACAGCATGGAAGTGCAAATCCATCACTTCTTCTGGCAAAATAGTTGTAACCACAGATTTTCTGTAGCATTGTTTTTATTTGCAATTGAAGCTGTTTGATCAGATAGAGAAGTGAATACTTTCTCCCCTCTTTTTAGCCCATGAATTGCATTTTGGTTTTTGTTTGAATAAATCTTTTCTGTAACTGGAAATCCCTCTGGCGGTAGAATCAGAAATGCTAATTTCTCACTCATGTGAACCAACTGTCACCAAATCTTTACTTATTCACTCATGTTTTGGGAATAAACTTTATTGAAATATACATACAGAGAAATACACACATTGTAAATGTATAGCTCAATACATTTTCACAGCAGGAACAGATCTGTGCAGCGTGCACCCAGACCGAGAAGCAGAGCATGACCAGCAGCATGGAAACCCCCACTCTTTGCGGTCACTGCTCAGACTGACCCCTCTGCTCCCTGCAAGGGGAAACTTGATCTTAGCAACAGAGATTAGTTTTGCAAGATTCATTCATGTTGTTGGTGTAGCTGTAATTCATTTATTCTCATGGCCACTGAGAATCCCAGTGTGTGTGAAAAGACTTGTAATCTAACAGCATTTAGGGTGCTCCTGCCTGTTGGCATTGCTAATCTCACTTCTCTTTGGCAGTTGATGTTTCACAGGAAAGTTCATTTGCTTTGGACCTAATATTCTTGGTTTCTGGACTTTTTGGCAGGTATAGAAATCACCAGGTGATTGTTGAGGCTTAAAAGTCCCTGCCTACTTTTGATTACTTGTTCTCCTTGGGTCACTCAGTTTTTCTGGTTGCCTTTGTGCTGACCTTGTCTCTCTCTCTGTCCCTCTCTCCTCTTTGCTCTAGTCTTCTTCTCCACACAAGATGAAAGAGTCCAGCCCATTGAGCAGTAGAAAAATTTGTGATAAAAGTCACTTTCAGGCCATTCACAGCGAATCTTCAGACACTTTTAGTGACCAATCGCCAACTCTGGTCGGTGGGGCACTTTTGGACCAGAACAAGCCTCAGACAGAAATGCAGTTTGTGAATGAAGAAGACCTGGAGACCTTAGGAGCAGCAGCGCCACTCTTGCCCATGATCGAGGAGCTCAAACCCCCCTCTGCCAGTGTAGTCCAGACAGCAAACAAGACGGATTCTCCTTCCAGGAAAAGAGGTACCAAGGCTGGGGCTTCCCGGCTCTTTTTCTGTTCATAGTTTGTGCTCACTCTACACATGACAGGTCCTTTCCAAAGTTCCAAGGAAACTGAGGTAGAAACTGAACCGTGACAATGATCATGTTCAGTCTGAGCTCTTCAGCAGAATATATTAATTATCGGAATTTAGTCATAGGAAATCAGACATGAAGAAGGCCTTGAGGATCATGTAGCAAACTTCATTTTACACACTGAGGCTGCTCGCTGAGACCTGGGAGAGTTAAGTCCTTTCCAGCACACCATGGGACCCATAAGTGTGACTTTTATAAAGCTGATTATTAGGTTAATCCTGGCCACCTCTCTCCTTGCCCTGCGTTGCTTTCCAGCCCCTTACCCACTGTAATTTCTGCATATCATTTATCATGATTTCAAATGATCATTATTTTATTGATTTATTTTTGCCTGACTCCCCCATAGAATATGTGCTGTCTGAGATCAAGAGTCTTTTCTATCTAACTTGCCTTTCTCTCCTCGGCGCTTGGCATAGTGGTTGGCACACAGTGGGCGCTCTGTGTTGGTTTAATGCACTCCTGGCTGTGTGTTAGTATCAACGATGCCAGGCCTGATCTCCATCCACCCAGCAGCTTCGTGTGGTTTTCTAGAATTATATGGACCAATTACATCATTTTCTGCTAGAAGTAAAGAGGACATTTGAAGTCATCATGGCCAGTGTCTGACAATGCACAGTGTGGGATGCTTTGCCTCGGGGTATTGATGGGGAAGTGCCTAATAAAAGCTTTTATCATTTCATAATAAGTGTAATAATAATGGTAATAGCCTCAATGCGTTTAGTGCTCAGTACACTTCAGGCACTTTACAGAGGAGGAATGAGGCTCAGCAAGTTAACTAACTTGATCCAGGCCACACGATGGTGGATGACGGCCCTGGTTTGTGGACCTTGGTGGTCTACGGTCACGTTGTACTGCCCACCATTTTCCAATGGGAAAAGCGCAGGCTGTGGCCTCCAGCGAGGGGCCTCGGTACCTACAAGTGTGACCTCAATCCACTCTTTCTCCAGCAACATCATGGAATAAGTCCATCAAAACCACCTCACCCTCAACGGTACTGTGCCCAAACCTCAAAGTATTTGTCTAAAAAGCTCTTGCCATTCTGTTTTACCAGACAAAATAGAACACACTTGGAACTGTTGTGGTTCTTGGGCAGTTTGAGTACCTGGGAGCAAATCTGCACATAGTGTTTAAATGCTGTTTCTATAGATACAAGGCCATGAGCTCATTTCTAGAAGAGTGGTTTTCTGACTTGAGCCATTTGCCGTTTTAGATAAACGAAGCCGACATCTTGGTGCTGACGGCGTCTACTTGGATGACCTCACAGACATGGATCCTGAAGTGGCGGCCCTGTATTTTCCCAAAAAGTAAAATTCCTGTTAATTCCTCACATCATTTCCTATAATCTGAATATCATTCTGTGTGAGACCAGTTTCCCCTTATGTTTGATTAGAAAGTGTGCAAGACAGCTGGGCGCGGTGGCTCACGCCTGTAATCCCAGCACTTTGGGAGGCTGAGGTGGGCGGATCACTTGAGGTCAGGAGTTCAAGACCACCCTGGCCAACATGGTGAATCCTCGTTCTACTGAAAATACCAAAATTGGCTGCACGTGCTGGCATGCACCTGTAATCCCAGCTACTCGGGAGGCTGAGGCAGGAGAATTGCTTGAATCCAGGAGGCGGAGGTTGCATTGAGCTGAGATCATGCCACTGCACACCAGCCTGGGCCACAGAGTGAGACTCCATCTCAAAAAAAAAAAAAAAAAAAAAGTGTGAGAGAGAGGCAGTGGGAGGCTCCCATTGCCTTGTGAAATGCGCCTGCTCTATGGACATAAGGGTGCGGGTACTGGGCGGCGCCCCACCTCTGGACAGGGGCGCAGCACCGGGCTGCCCTCCCTGCAAAGCCTGAGGTCATGTTGTCCACAGTGGTCGTGGTCCACAGCCCAGTAAGTGGCAGCTGTGCAGCCCTTTTTTCCCCCAGGAGGGTCTCCCGTGATCCTGGGGACCCACCCTCAGTCCCCCTGCGATCTAGGGCAGGGCTGGCGCCTGGAGGGGAAGGGCAGGGAACAGGGAGGACAGCTTGCTTCTTCTTCAGTATATTTTAGGGGGATACAGGGAGATGCAGCCAGCTGAGAAGTAATGGTTTTCTCTCCTAAGCTAAGGCGTTTAATGTCTCTTTCCTTGTCGTGGTGCTTTAATAAACATCTGTGCTGAGATGCAGCCGTCTGCGGCTCTGAGGGTGGCCGCGTGCCAGAGCATCACTGGATGGTGATGTAGGACCCTGAACTGGGACAGTCCTCAGCCGGTCTCTGCCGCTTTTCCTCCTTCCAGCGGAGATCCTTCCGGACTCGCAAAACATGCAAGCGACAACGGAGCCCGGTCAGCCAACCAGTCCCCGCAGTCGGTGGGCAGCTCGGGCGTGGACAGTGGCGTGGAGAGCACCTCGGACGGGCTGAGGGACCTCCCTTCCATCGCCATCTCCCTCTGCGGGGGCCTCAGCGACCACCGGGAGATCACGAAAGGTACCGCGGGCCTCGCGCGGGCGCCCTCTGGTGGCCGCCGGTCAGAAGGCGCAGAGGCTTAGGCTTCTCCAAGGAGTGCGTGTCAAGGCAGCTTTTCCCTTGGTTGCGGTTAATGATAGCACAGATGATAGCACCGAACTCATAATCCCGATGTTTCTGGCTTGCAGTTAGTCGGCCTCAGAGTTCTGTGGGTCACCCATGGCTCGGGCCATCGTTGTGTGTCTCCTGTGCCCCAGGCTAGCACTGCAGAGATGGCCTCCAGAGGCCTGCAGGCTAGAGGGGGTGTCAGTCTAATTAAATTAGAGGGTGTCGGCAGCGAGAGAGAAGTGCGCCGGCGCCTTGGAACAGGGAGGTCTGAGTTTGTCGGAGGAGGGCTGGGAACTTTTCCCAGCTGGATTCAAAGGGCGTTAATCGGGTGGGCTTAGGTGATTCATTCACAGCACCTGCCACATTCGTAGCAATGCACTCCCAGGGCCTCCTGACAGTTCCATGGCAGGGTGTGCCCACGCCCCCCAGTGGGTGCAGTCAGCAGTTATCAGCTGGGGACTAGACACAGTGGCCCTGCACCCCTCCCGCCCCCTCTCTCACCACTGCCTCTTTTCCATCCCCTCGTGGTATTTCTAGCAGGGAAGGGGCCGAGGCTGTGTACTTCTTCCCTCTACCTCTCAGGAGCCACCCCCATCTCCCCTTCCAACCAGGGCTGCCATGTGAGACTCCTGCCTCCACCCTGGTCCCTTCAAGGCTTTGGGAATTTTTTCTTCCGCAAAGATTGAGACCTTTTTGTTCTCACGCCCGTGCCAGCCAGTCCCTTGAGAGCGGAAACAAGATTGTGTGCTGGGTCCCGCCGGCTCCATTCATTCACTCAGTTTTCCTAGGGCCACACATTAATACCCAGCCTCACTGTGTTTCTGAAGTCATGGGGGCTCTCTGGACACTGGCGTGAGGAGTCCCCTGGGCGTTCCCTCCCTGATATACATGAGCTGGTGGGGGTGGGGTGGCAGCACTGACAAGGCTGGGCACCGTTATCTGAGTGTTATCTCATGGGGCCAGGATCTGCAGCTGTCCAGTCCTTACAGGTGAGGCCAGATCGTCACAGTCAGGAGACCCCAGGAGAGTCCCCGGAGGTCCTGATTAGGGCTCTGAGGGTGCATGTTGAAGCCAGTCAGGCTGGCATCAAGACCCAGGGACTCTTTTCCTGGACGGAGGAGATTCTCAGTGTCTGATGTCTGCTGGGTTTCGGTTCGGTTCAGGGTAAATAGGAGCTCCCAGGGAAGGAGTGGGCGTGGCTCTGGGCCAGGGAGATGGTCAGAACCGCGGTCAAGGCTTAAGGTACAGCCCAGCTGCCAGAGCCCGTCAAAGAACTGAGGGTCCGGGGCTGAGGTCTGGGCCTCCTGACCCTGCCACCTTCTCCTTTGCTCTGATCCTGGTGGGGCTGCCCCACCATGATGAGAACAGTGCCCTGCCTGCTTCTGATTGTGGTGGAGGCAGCCCCATTTTTGAAAGGGCCCTGTGCTTTCTATTTACGACATTATCAGTCCCCATGACCACCCTAGGAAGCAGATGTGGTTATTATCCCCATGCTAGAGGAGGGAACTGGGGCCTGGGAGGTGAACCGCTTGCCCAGGGTTACCCCCGTAATCGTGACTTCAGCCGAGGGAGCCTGGCTTCTGCGCCATGCGTAGCCATGACTCTGCCTGTGCAGATGCACGTGTGTGCTGTTTTCACCCCTACTCCCTGTGTGAACGTATGTGCCTCAACTAAGGTACACGTCCCCCAACATCCTCAGCCTTGCCCTGGCCTCCCTGCATTGCTGCACAGACGCCGCCTTCCAGGTAAAATGGTGCGGCCTTTACAAATACATTTTATAGGATTGTCTGCACAGTTGGAATGCACAAACTCTCAGAAAACACTTGTGAGTGAGCAAATGAAAGGTAGGCCTAATTTTGAACTGAATTTTCTTTTTGTTTTTCCCTGATCCTCTGCAATTGCTGTCACAGATGCATTCCTGGAGCAAGCTGTGTCATATCAACAGTTTGTGGACAACCCCGCTATTATCGATGACCCCAATCTCGTGGTAAAGATTGGGAGTAAGTAAGTACCTCTTGAAAGTCACTTTGGCAGTAGCATGATACTGTTTCTGTTTCATGTTTTCAAATAGACCTAGACATTAAGCCTTAGAAATATATAAAATAAAGACTTTGCTACATTGCATTATTGCATTATCTTCACTGTGGTCAGGGTTCCATGCCAATAGAATTGGCAATATAGCTGATAGGTTCAGATAGCTCTCAGTCTTGTGAGTTTTCTTTTCTTTTCTTTTTCTTTTTTTTTTTTTTTTTTTTGCGACAAGGTGTAGCTCTGTCTCCCAGGCTGGAGTGCAGTGGTGCAGTTGTAGCTCACTGTAGCCTTGAACTTGTGGGCTTAAGAGATCTTCCCACCTCCGCCTCGCAAAGTGCTGGGATTTCAGGTGTGAGCCACTACACCCAGCTCGATGTTCTTATTGAATGTGAATAGTCACACTCTGCAGTACATGGGTATGTCAGAGTAGCCTACATCTCTACCCTTTTGAAAAACTTCATTATCGGCTGGGCGCAGTGGCTGGCGCCTGTAAACTCAGCACTTTGGGAGGCCAAGGCAGGCGGATCATGAGGTCAGGAGATCGAGACCATCCTGGCTAACACGGTGAAACCCCGTCTCTACTAAAGATACAAAAAATTAGCTGGGCGCGGTGGCGGGCGCCTGTAGTTCCAGCTACTCGGGAGGATGAGGCAGGAGAATGGCGTGAACCTGGGAGTCGGAAGTTGCAGTGAGCCAAGATAGCGCCACTGCAGTCTGGCCTGGGTGAAAGAGCAAGACTCTGTCTCAAAAAAAAAAAAAAAGAAAAGAAAAACTTCATTATCTGAGGGCAAGGGATGTACAGGTATTTTTGCAGACTGTTAGCAAGCTTTTCTCCCTTAAGCCATGGATGTTTTACACCTAGTTGCCTTTACCTTGACACGTGGCAAGAAATACCCCAAGCACGTCGTGGTTTGGTGCAGCAGCTGTACGGTGGGATTTGGGCTGCTGGCATGTCCAACTGTCTGCCCTGCTGGCACGGCTGCTGCTGGGCCCTCAACTGGCCGCTGGGGTGAGGTGGGGGGAGCCTCTGCCTAGGGGTGATATGGAGGAGGGCTGGGGGCTAGCAAGAGTATTGAGCTCTTTAAGGGCCTCGCTGGAGTCCCGAGCTTTCCTTGACTACTTTATATGACATTGGAAAGGTTTTCAGTCTGAGCCTCGGTTTTTTGACATATATTTCATTGTTTTGTGTTAGATATTATAACTGGACAACAGCAGCACCCCTCCTCCTGGCAATGCAGGCCTTCCAGAAACCTTTGCCAAAGGTGAGCTTTAACATGAGAAAGAAAAGGGGATGCTAGAAATGATGGGTAGCTTAATCTGGGGTGGTTGGAATTTCACTTTTATTTTGGAAACTACAGAGTTAATTCCACTGTGCTCTTTTGAAGTTCATGAGCATACAGGCCAGGAGTTTCTGATCTCTCTCTTGCACCTTGCACGTGGTTGCCCCTCTTCCTTATCAAGGCAAAACCTCCCAATCATGGTCGAGCGGACCGAAGATTCCTTTCTCAATATCTGCCATGCAAGGGGTACAGGTGGAGGCTGAGCAGACAGGTGCCAGGACCTCAGAGCCCAGTGAGGACAAAGGGAGATGATTGTCACCCTGGAAAGGTGGAGCAGGCATCAGGGTCAGGTGCAGGTGCCCTGTGTCAAGTGTCAAGTGTCAGTGTCAAGTGCTGCTCAGCCAGGAAGCCAGCCCCATGCCTGAGTCTCTGAGGCCAGAGCCAGTACAGGGCCTGGACAGCTCCCAGTCTGCAGGGGAGAGTAGGTAAGTGGCCGTAGGGAGGAGTTAGGAGGGCAGCCACGCCACCTGCCAGTCTGCAGTGTTCTCATCCTACCCCAAACAATTCACTAGACAGTCAGCCTGGAGTTGTTAATTTTTTCAATGATAGATCTTCCTGCTAGATTATACGTTCTTTGCTGCAGAGACTGCCTTAGGCTTGTTTGTATCCTTTGTGCGCTTAGCAAGCTTTTGTATGGCTTAGGATGTTGCCGTCGGTCAGCCAGTTCAAACACTTGAGATTCTTGAAGGTCTAATTGGACTTTGTTGAGTCTAGGCTTGCTGCTTCCTGGGTTTGTGTGTGTGTGTGTGTGTGCCTGTGCCTGTGTGTCAGTGTGTGCTCATGTGCATGTGTGCATACGTGCATGTGTATGCATTTGCATGCGTGTGTGTGCGCATGTATGTGTGTGCATGCGGGTATGTGTGCATGCTTGTGCAGGTGTGTGCCTTATGTGTGTGCGTGTGTGTATGTGCATGTGTATATGTGTGGATGTGCACGTGTGTGCATGTGTGGATGTGCACGTGTGTGCGCGTGTGCATGTATGTGTGGATGTGCACATGTGTGCGTGCATGTGTGGATGTGGATGTGCACGTGTGTGTGTGCGTGTGTGTGTGTGCATGTGTTGTGTTTTGAGGACCGCAGTCTCATCCTGGGTGGTGCTTTATCTGATTATCTTTGTGGACTGGGCTGAGGGCATGTTCTCCAGAGTGGTTTTTATTTTGTCCCTGCCATGGTATCCATGGCCTGGGACACATTTTTATGTCACCGTTCTCAACACTTACAAATCCGTAAGAAAAAAGGCCATTGCAATAGCAATATAGCTAAAGGATTTATTTATTCACTGAAGAAGAAATCCACATGGGCTCTGAAACTTAAAAGACATTAGTCCTTGTGATATGCATGCTAAATCTTTCTACAAGTCAGTAACTTTTGACTATATATGGCATTTCTCTAATATAGAAATTATTTTTAAATGTAGAATTTGCCCATCTTATCTTTTATGGCTGTTGGGTTTTGTATCACACATAAAATGGCCCTGCTTCCCCATTTCCAAAACTTGTGAAGATAGGCCCTATATTTTCTTTTTGTGCTTTCTTGTATATGGGGCATATTTTTACAAGTTTTGGAAATTTCGAAAGATCTTAAAATCTTTCATCCATCTAGATTTTGTTTCAAGTGTAATGAGAGGTATTAGGAAGCAAACCAGTTTTTTTCTCAGGAAGTTATTGAATTGGTGAAGATGATTTTTGTTTTAGGAAACAGAATGACTAAAAGTGGCTTAAGTAATGATCTCATATGATGAGGATCTTAGAGGTTGGCAGTTTCAGGCTTGATGAATTTGGGTTAGCTTCTTTGTGATTTTCTCAGCTTTTCCTTGATGGTCACAAGGTGACTGCCGTACACATCGTCTGCTCAGACTGCCGCATCTGAAACGGGAGGGTAGGGGCAGCTCTCTCATAGTTCAAGACTTGGTCACATGATCACCACTAAAGCACTTCTTGGCAAAGCAATGAAATGACTGTGAACGGCTTCGACCATTGAGGTGCATCCTCTGGAGTTGAGCCAGTCTTCTCCGCATGCATTGCAGCCTGATTCTTGAACAGAGTTTCAGATCTGTCAGCAAGAAAGGGGAGGCAGATGAGCTGCTCACAGGGTCTGACATGGCTACTGAATTATCCCAGGACCGTGTATTAACTAACCCTATCCTCCACTCAGAGGCAGTTACAACTTCACCCTCTGTTACGTGTCTCTGTGAATTTAGATTTATTTCTGGACTTCGTTTTCTGTTCCTGTGATATGTGTCCTTGTATACCAACACTGCATTCTTTTAGTTACCATATATTTTGGTATATTTTAATACCCAGTAGTGCTTGTTCTACTTACTACTCTTCTGCCTGAGAATTTTCTGGGCTATTTTTGTTTGTTTTTCAAATGAACATTAGAATCAGTTTGTGAAGGACTGAAAATACTCCTGTTTGTTTTTTTCCTTTCTTTGGCCTGCTTTCTTTTTTTAAAAAAAATGTGGTTTTGTTACATTTATGAGTGGATTTAGGGGAAATAGGGTCATTCACAGCTTTGTCAATTGTCCTATTTATGAGCTGGATGTGAGTGGTTTGCATTTTAGTGCAGTTGGGTTTTCTTTTGTGTCAGATAGGGATCTTTTAAGCTACATAGTAAATTACTTATCTGTCTGCTTCCCTTAGACTGAATCTTTCAGCTTAAATCTTTCTTTTGTTACTAGCTGAGGTGTCAGCTTCTTGAAAGTTCTGTAAACTGAGGAAGGGACATTACCTAACTTTTACCTTGGTCCTGGAATTAACCTCAAGATAGATAGGTATTTTGTTCTTTGGAAAAACGTAGAAAATTATCAATTCATATTTAATCTCCCCATTAAACCCATTTACCTAAAAGTATGAATTTTCTTTTTAATACTCGAGATTTTAAATCAAATGTACCTATTAATGCAAATGTTTAGAAATTTACCCTTAGTAAAAATCTTATGCATTTTACCTTTTGTTGAAAACTGTTTTATCCTCTATCCCATATTAATCATTTCATATTTTATTTGATAATCATCATATTGAGAGTAATGATATCTTAACCAGTTAGCCACTTTAATTTGAAAACTTCCAGTCTTACTAATCACTAATGATTTCTAATGCTTTCTTTTTTTGTTGTTGTTGTTGTGTTGTATTTTATTTGTTGTTTGTTTATTCCTTTAACATCTTCTTAAGTCTTCATGCTTAAGTTACCTTCATGTAATTTTGGACGCCATTAGGTTTTGCTTCTCTAAAATTTTTAACGCACAAATAGTATGTTGTGTTTTCTCTGATTTTTTTTTAAATCTTACTTTAATTTGCATGTATGTTTCTTTTGGTTTGAATGTGCTAAGTTGATCTTTTTTTGTTCCATTATTTATGTTACCATCCATTTAAAACAGGCCACTGTGGAATCTATCATGAGGGATAAAATGCCCAAAAAGGGAGGAAGATGGTGGTTTTCATGGAGGGGAAGAAACACCACAATCAAGGAGGTAAGCCCAGAAGACAAAGCAGTGCTCACACTTAGCAAGTGTTGGTTTTGTGTAGTGAGATTGGTTTTCATGTACTTACATCAGAGAAATGAAGATAGGCCCTAGTGCTGAGTTTCCATGAGCCAGCTCTGCCATGAAGTAGGGCGAGTGCTCGTGGAACGTGGGGAAGGTGGGGAGGAAGGTCAGGAGCCAGCAGCATAGGTGTCACCTCCTGGCTCTGTAACTGTTGGGAGACTGTGGTCCAGTCACTCCCTCATGGTAAGATTTCGTCATCTATAAAAGAAGGGATTCAGCCTGGGAATTCAGTTTCTTAAGAAATTAAATATCTTCCTTCTGCTTGTGGAGACAATTTTTCTTTTTCTTTTTCTCCCCTCCCCTCCCCTCCTTTCTTTTTTGGAGACGGGCTTGCTCAGTCACCCAGGCTGGAGTGCAGTGGTGCAATCTCAGCTCCCTGCAACCTCTGCCTCCCGGGCTCAAGCAATCCTCCCATCTCAGCCTCTAGAATAGCTGGGATTACAGCCATGCACCACCACGCACAGCTAAGTTTTGTATTTTTAGTGGAGACGGGGTTTTGCCATGTTGCCCAGGCTGGTCTCAAACTCCTGGGCTCAAGCGATCTGCCTGCCTAGGCCTCCGAAAGTGTTGGCATTACAGGCGTGAGCCACCATGCCCAGGCTGTGAGGACAATTTTAATGAGGCATACTCACAGCAGTTGACTAATTCTCTGAGTCCTTTCACTGAAATGGCATGTCTAAAGGTCCATGGCTTTGGCGTTCATGTCTATGAGTGCCTGTGATTTCTTTCAGATCTTCGTTGCCCTCTCCTCTATTTCTTGAAGCGCTTGCTTTGCTTGGCTCCCAGGCCCCTGTGTCCACCTGGGTCTCCTCCTCCCAGCAGGCTGCTCCTGCTCTGGCTTAGTCACCTCTAGGAGGGTCCTCAAAGCTCATGTTAGGCCACCTTTTCTCCTTTTACTTCTTACTTTTCCCTTCTGCCCATGCGATGACTCCATTTTTGTCTCCAAACCAGACATTCTTTTCTACTCCACATCCACTTATCAAGTAGTCGACTAAGCAGACATCGTCCTGTGGATGCCTCAACGTATTTCAAACTTAACGCTTCCAGAATTGAACTCATGGGATTCTTGTGAGTTCTTCCATCATTGGGGCCATAGTCAGAAAATGGCACCACTGTCCATCTGTGGGTGAGATTCATGCTTTTAGCCTCACTCCCACACCAGGTCCTATCAGTTTTCCATCTGAAATACTTCTCTGACGTGTCCATGTCTCTCCAGCTCTGCTCCCACAAATCTGCATTACCATCATCTCTCCCAGAGGTGCTTCCAGATGGTCTCTTTGCACCCATCCTCACCCTTGCTTCTTCATTCTCTGTACTGCAGATGCATTGGTCTCTTCAGGGGACTGCTCCTATTTTTGTTGCTCCTTAAAGCCTTACTGTGGTTCCCCAGGGCTCTTATAATGAAGGCTTGTGTCCTTACCACGGCCTACAGTGCTTGTGTGTTCTAGCTCCTGCCTGCCTCTTTAATCTCATCTTTGCTGTTCTCTGCTCTTTGTGCATTAGCTTCAATGGCTGAAGGTACCTTCTACCCTGGGGGCTTTGCACATGCTATTTTCATTACTTAGTATTCTGTGGACCCCTCTCCCCTGCTTCGCTTAGCTAACTAGCAGATCCAGTAGCCCTTTCCCTGCAGATGAGTCTGGTCTGCTGTCCTCTGCCTGTGAACTTTTCCTTCATAAATTTTGTCATAGTTGATAATTATGTAATTACTAGCGTGACTATTTGATGAACCTCTCCTTTCTGTCTAGACCCGAAACTTCATGAGGCAGAGACCATATATGGCTTTGATTGCTTTGGTGTTCTTGGTCTCCATATTGGACCCAGAGTAGGGGTTCAGCAAATATTTGTTGAGGGCACGCTGATTACTCTGGGAAAGTAGTATGAAGAAGCCACAGGGACAACAGTCAAGTTGGTTATTTTAATCATAAACTGCCATGAACTCTATTTATGCCATTAGTTGAAAGGGAAAATGTTTGCTGGAAGAGTTTTATCAAGATATAATTGTTCTTTGACATTTTCTGTTAGCATATCTGAGGTCTACTCATCAGTTTTACTAATCTCCAAAGGTTACCGATAAATGAGTTCAAATATATATGCTTTACACTAGAGGCCTTAAAGCATGAAGGGCCTCTCTGGTTTTCTTACTAGAGAGCAGAATGTTCTAGAATTTAAGATGGAAGTATATTTCAGTGACTTCTTTGTAGAATATCCAAATTCTCACCAGTTTGCATTAAGTGGAGTGCCGCTATAAAGTAAGGAACAGTTATGAAATTAAATGTTTCTTTAAAAATCTGAAATATACTTATTTCAGTTAGATACATATTTGGGAAATAGTCTAAGAAGAAATTGCTAATAGTGATGGCTAAGTTACATGATAAATAGATAAAACATAACTGGACATATTATATCAATTATTTGTGTGGTAATAAAAAAACCTAAAGGATATTTGAACTTAGTTCATGCTAGTCATATGTTAAGACAGTCAGCCTATTATATAGTTTGTATTGTTCATTTTCTTTATTAAAGGACCGTAGATTTCCTCTCCTGACGAAACGAGCACAGAGAAAGAGATTTAGTCGTTCACCCTCGGTCCCTTGGCATTTCTCTCTGGTCTCTTCTGTCCTTGGGGCCAGTGCCCATCTCCGTCCTCCTTTGCCTGCTATGTGCCTGGCTTTGTGGTTCAGACACAGTCTCCTTTAATCCCCATGGCAGCGTTAGGAGATGGAGAATTTCACCCGTTTCACAGATGAGGAAGCGAAGTTCTGAATAGTTAAATGACTTGCCCAAAGTTTGTAAGCAAGAGAAACAAGACTGGGCCCAGGCATTCTCTTAGAAATCCAAGGTTCTTTCCAGTACACCAACAGAGGATTTTCTATTAAGAGTATGTCATCTTGGAAAAGAAGAAAATGCTTTCACATCTTCCCCAAGCAAAATATGGTACAAAAATATTTTCAAGCGTTTCTATCAGCAATTACAAGAAAATATTTTGAAAGGCCCCCAGAATCCAAGCAGCCCTTGATCAAGCATTTGCATAAGCTACAGTGATGATGGAGTTTGGTTTGGTGCCACAAACACTTATGGATAACAGATTCGTTTCTGTCAAAAATATTTCTTGGTTTAATCGTACACTTCTTAGCAAAGTTGAGATCAGGACCCACCGAAACAAACACAGCCAGAGCCTCCTGGGCGATCGCTAGGGTGGGCGTCATTGGGGAATGGTCTATCTTTAGGGGTCCTGCCTTAAGGAAGCCCATGGGAAAACACCGGCTGTCTGCAAGCCCCTTCTCTGTGGTACTTCTGTGACTCTTTCTTTTCTTCTTTTCTAGGAAAGTAAGCCAGAGCAGTGCTTGGCTGGCAAGGCCCATAGCACCGGAGAGCAACCGCCGCAGCTCAGCTTGGCCACCAGGTGCGGTAGGAGGCTTCTTGGGATGTTTGCAGCCCCTTTCCGCATCCAAGTTCATGGCGTGTGCTGCCTGGATGCAGATAGGGTTCACCACACAGTTCCAACTCTGGCTCTGTGATTCACTTGGTGACCTGGAGCAATTTATTTAACTTGGTTCTCCCATGAGCAAAATGCATGCAGTTGCTCCCTTAGATAGCTAATTTGCAAAATAAATGTGAGCCTTTAGTGAGATAATATAACTAGAGCATTTCTCATGGTCCTGGCATGCAATAGTCCTTTATACACAGATGATGATGATGACAATAATAACAGTGAGAATAATGACAGTGATGACAGGAATAAATAGTAGCCCTAACAATAACATGGAAATAAGTTTCACTTCTGAAGGAACTTGCCTTTCTCTGTAATTTAAATACTGACCAGGACTTACGTTGATACTTTTAACATGGATTCATATTCACTTGGCATAGGAGAGGTTAGATTTTGATGATACTGATCCGTATTTGTGGTGTTTTGTCTTCAGGTTAATCACTTTGTATGGGATTGGAGGTGACTCTGAGGACAGTCCCGTTATACACTAATTATGATGGTGGTATCATATACTGACACTGAATGATTTGCGCTGTACCATCTTTTACTTCTTACTTCATGTTTACAGTATTCCTGTGCTTAAGAAATCCAGGATTCCATTTCTTATTTAGCAGACAGAAAGTGCTAACAGATTAATTGGGGCCAGATCCACATCTTACTCATTTTTGTATCTTGGAGGCCACTGCCCCACAGAGTAGTCGTTTCCAAAGTGTTGCTCAACCGTCACTGAACCACTGAGGTTTTCTCCATGTGTTGTTGATTTATGGGAGAGGCAGGCGTGGATTTCCATTCCTCTGAATCCCGGCCATGGCTCTGTGTCTTAAACAATTTTACATCTAGGATTCTTTGCTACAAACAGAAACCCACGTGGGAGGCAGGTGGGAAATGACCTGATTTCTTTATTGTTCTCTGTGGAGAAGAACAGGGTGGAGACGAGTGTGCGGGACCTGGTAGGGGTGAGTTTGAATGTGACTGTGAATGGCCTGGCTCGCTCTCGCCTGGGATGCTCTTGAAACCTTTCTGTTTCCCCTGGTGGTGTCCCAGGTGCCTCCCCCTGACCCACCGCTGGTCTGTGCTTCACAGGCACAAGAAAGAATAGGAAGGCACCAGGGTATCGATATTTCCCAGCTGGGAATTCTGAGTTTGGCTGTGAGTGTGCTTGGAAGGGAGAAGGCAGGTGTGTTGAGGATGGAGCCCAGGCCAAGGACATGCCACCCTCTGAGCAGCCAGCATGGAAAGCAGACATTTCAAAATAAGTGGTTGTTTACTGCACAAGCTGTAGCGGAAGCAGTCGACATTGGAGTCAGGCAAGTGTGGTTTGGAATCCCAGCTTTGCTCCTCGGTAACCATTGGACCTTGGGGAAGCTCCCTGACACATCTGAGCAAAGGTGCCAGTGCCACCGTCAGTGCCCAGACAGGCTGGGATGGAGCTGGCCTGGAGGCTGCATGGGAGGCATGCTACCCCAAAAGAGGCACACACAACAAAGATGCGAAACTGCGTGCTCTCAGCAACTTAAACCAACTTAAATAGCTACACTAGAAATGCCCCGCTTTCCTGGAATTCATTTTAACAACCTTCTCTGTCTTGGCAATAATTTCTAAACACAAGAGGTAGCACAGAGCAGGATGTACAGCAGGGACCTTGTCCAACAGCCTTCAGTGTGATCTTTGGCAAATTAATCCACCTCTCAGCGTCTCCATCTGTGAAATGGGGTTAAGAATAACACCGATGCGGTAGACCCCGTCTCACTGGGTCTTCGAGGCAACTTCATGAGAAAATGATCCAGAGTGCAGAAACCAATTGGGGAGGATGGCTCTGTGGTCACCTGGAGGACATGCGTTCAATCCCAAACCATACAGTTTCTGTTGGCTGAATGCAGGATGTCTGCCAAATCCATCCTGCCCTCTGGCAGTGCCCAAGGCTGTGGGAGCCCACCTCTTACATTAGTGTGACCTGGATGTGAGACATGGAGTCAAAGGAGATCATTTTGGAACTTTTAAATTTAATGACTGCCCTATTGGATTTCACACTTGCATGGGGCTTGTAGCCCCTTCGTTTTGGCCAATTTGTCCCAATGGAAACAGGTGTATTTACCCAATGCCTGTACCCCAATTGTATCTAGGAAGCAACTCACTTGCTTTTGATTTTACTGGCTCATAGGCAGAGGGGACCTGTCTCAGATGAGACTTTGGACTGTGGATTTTGAGTTAATGCTGAAATGAGTTAAGACTTTGGGGGACTGTTGGGAAGGCATGTTTGATTTTGAAATGTGAAAAGACATGAGATTTGGGAGGGTCCAGGGGCAGAATGATATGCTTTGGCTCTGTGTCCCCATCCAAATGTCACTTTGAACTGTAATCCCCATAATCCCCAGGTGTCAAGGGTGGGACCAGTTGGAGGGAATTGCATCATGGGGCCGTTTCCCCCATGCCGCTGTTCTCGTGATAGGGAGTTCTCACGAGATCTGATGGTTTTACAAACATCTGGCATTTCTCCGGCTTGCACTCACTCCGTCCTGCTGCCCTGTGAAGAAGGCACCTGCTTTTCCTTTGCCTTCAGCCATGATTGTAAGTTTCCTGAGGCCTCCCCAGCCATGTGGAACTGTGAGTCAATTAATACCTCTTTCCTTTATAAATTACCCAGTCTTGGGTATTTCTTCATAGCAGTGTGAGAACGGACTAATACAGCCAGTCTTAGACCTAGGGGAAGATGGGCCTGAGGGTCAGAGAGTTAGGTTTACAAGGGAGGGAAGAGGACAGCAACTGGGAGGGGCCCGTACACAGTGGGCACAGTGGCATTGCTGGTGCCAGCACTGCTCTTACTCTTACTCCTTCTAGACATAGCAGGCAGGACCCCAGGAGAGTGTGGAGAGCAGCGAGATACTTCTGCAGCTCTTCCCACGTTGGAACCTCAGCTCTTGCAGTTTACTTGGGGTGTCACGGATTTTCTCACTGTCCGATACAATCATATTCAAATGGGGCAAAAAATGCTTTTTCCCATCAAATAGAAACAGCTGGACCATTCGCCATTCTGAGTTAGTCACAGTATGGTTCCTTATCAAACCTGAAAAATTAAGAATTGACTCTTGTGAAAACTCAGATTTTGAAAAGAATATAAAGTTCTCTTGAAAAATGTAAACCTTTTAATTTATACTGGCATCTCAGACTTTGAGTCTCCTTATTAGAGTCATGCAGTTGACTAAAAAAAAAAAAAAGGTGTCAGAATGTTTTCCTAATTGACAGACGTGATTGACAGAATAGTCCCCGAAGTCCCATAATTGAGCAAACAGCTTGTCACCATACAAATAATTAAAATAGCGTTTGAAAAACGTACACTGACAAGTGCTAACTTAGATGTTGTTCACAGCTACTCTTCTGTGCACACATTTTCAAATGACATGAGCCCTTTTGTTTTGTTTTGTTGCTTCTTGCAGATACTGTAAAGCAAGCAACATTTAATGAGCCATTGTAAGGGGTGGGGTGGGGGCCTCCGAAAAGGAGGCATTTTATTCTGTGCAGGGTGGCGCAATCTGAGACGTGGCAGCCGCAAATGACCGTGTACTTGCCCTAAGCCGAAACCACCAACAGCCAACTGCGCATCTCGCATTTTAGTCTTTGTATCTGTGTTTTCCTTTCTGTGTTCCTTCAAACATGGCATGCTGCACAAATTTAGTGGATTTTTTTTTTAAAGCAGCAGATGGAAATCACAGCTATTCCGCCTTGCCTCCTCATCCCGCCGGCAGAGGTACACATCAATCTGTTGTCACCAAGAGCTTTGCTTCACATTTGGATCTCATTTCACTCCAAACTGTTTGGTTGGAACATAAACATTTTCCCATTCAATGAGGGGCCTGTAGCCTCGTTCTTCTTCTGCTTGACAAGGAAATCTGCACCACCCTCCCCTCCCCGTTCCCAGCAGCATTTGCCAGGCTGTACCAGCTCCAGGACCACATTTACCCCATCTGAAAACCTCCAGATTGTTGGTTCAGAGGAACCAGCATGGTTCATAGGATCCGTAGGTGTTAGAACTGGAAGGGACTTTGGTTGGATCAGGTCATTTTACAGATGAGCCCACTGAGGCCCAGGGAGGAATTTCCTAGGATGAGGCCTTTGCTGGGGCTTATGTCTGGGTCTCCCAGTCCAGGTCTCTCTAGCCTGTTACCTGCCTCCATCCTGAAGTTTTGGGTGGATGTGATTCAGTTGTTCCTCTGCATTTTAAGATAAAGAAATCAAGGCTGAAAGATAAAGAAATGATTTCTCCAAGGTAATGTAGCCCGAAGTTACCATGGGCTGGAAACCTGTGTTTTTCAGAGTCTAACTGCTGTACCATCTCCACTCTACCTAGAATCAGGATCAGCCCCCAATGTCATGGCGTTGTTCCATCCACGTGTAGCTTAGCTCTGCCACAGACCAACCACAGTTCTAGCCGATGCTCTGTTTTCCTTCAACTCAGCCTCCTGTTCCCATGGCGTATTCCCCCAGGGCTCTGTCCCAGTGATCTCTAAATCTTTGTCTTCAGCCCAGGTCTCTGTGTTGTGATTTAGACACAAGCCCTGCGTGAGTGGGAATAGGTTGTTTGCTGTGCCATCGATGCCTGGCATGGTATGCTTGAGTGTCGGTTGAATGAACTCTGGGCCACCATCCCAAAGCCCACCGACCTCCCTTTCCTGGGGCCCAGGGAGCAGGTGCTTAGGGAGGGGCTGCTCATTCTAGGACTGGAAGGAGCTGGGTCTCCACATAAGTGTGGTAGAAACAACACAGAAGTGGAGGTGCTGTGGGACACTATCCTCCTTCATGTCTCCCCAGTATTGGGCAGTATTGGGTTGTAGGGATCTCTTTTTTTTCTTTTTTGAGACAGGGTCTTACTCTGTCACCCAGGCTGGAGTGCAATGGCGCATTCTTGGCTCACTGCTACCTTCGCCTCCCGGGTCCAAGTGATTCTTTTGCCTCAGCCTCCCAAGTAGCTGGACTATAGGCAAGAACCACCACGCCTGGCTAATTTTTAAATTTTTTGTAGAGACAGGTTTTGCCATGTTGGTGAGGCTGGGGATCACTTCTTAAATGAACACTTATGGGGTCAGAAAGCTGTAGGTTGCATAGGAGATCTTAAGGGAGGCAGGGGCGGGGGAAACAGGAGGCAGTAAGGCGAGAGGAAGTTAGCACTGAGAGGAGAGAGTTTATTGAGATAAAAAGATAAAGACAATCCTGGTACTTCTTCTCTTATGAAATTCAGATCCTTTCCCCACTTTTAAATGGGATGATTGGTTTCTCTGCTGTTGAGTTGTTTGAGCTCCTTGTATATATACTGGGTATCAGCCCCTTTTTGAATGAGGAGTTTGCACATATCTTCTTCCATTTAACGGGTTGTCTCTTCGCTCTGTTGATTGTTTCCTTTGCTGGGCAGTAGCTGTTGAGTGTGATATAGTCCCATTTGCTCAACATCACTAATCAGGAAAGTGCAAATCAAAACCACAGTGAGATAGCATCTCACCCCAGTTAGCATGGCTATTATCAAAAAGACAAAAAATAACGAATGCTCACAAGGATGTGGATAGAAGGGAACTCTTAAACACTGTTGGTGGGAATGTGAATTAGTACAGCTATTATGGAAAACAGTATGGAGATTTCTTAGAAAACTAAAAATAGAACTAGCATACAATCCAGCAATCCCACTACTGCTTATTTATCCAAAGGAAGGGAAATCAGGATGTCAAAGGGATACCTGCATCTCCATGTTTATCACAGCACTATTCACAGGAGTTGAAATATGGAACCAACCTAAGTGTCCATCAATGGATAAATGAATGAAGAAAATGTGATATATACACAATGGAGTACTATTCAGACATAAAAAAGAATGAATCCTGTCATTTGTGGCAACGTGGGTGGAATAGGAGGTCATTATGTTAAGTGAAATAAGCCAGGCACAGAAAGACAAATATCACGTGTTCTTACTCATATGTGGGAGCTAAAAATATTGATTTCATGGAGGTAGAGAGTAGAATGGTGGTTACCAGAGCTGGGAAGGGTAGAGGGGAGAGGAGGATGAAGAGAGGTTGGTTAATGGGTACAAACATACAGTTAGATGAAAGGAATAAGTTCTAGCGTTTGATAGCACAGTAGAATGATTATAGTTAACGGCAATTTATTATAAATTTCAAAATAGTTAGAAGAGAAGATTTGAAATGTTCCCAACACAAAGAAATGATAACTGTTTGGGGTGATGGATATGCTAATTACCCTGATTTGATCATGGTATGCATGATATTTTGATAAATGCAAATATATACGTTTATCAGAATATTACATGCACCCCATAAATATGTATAATTAATATGTCAATAGAAAAATAAAAAATACGAAAGACAGTAAAAAAAAAATAAGCTGGAGCTCTGTGTATACTCTAACCTTGCCTAGAGGAAGGTGCTGAGCCAGAGGCTTTGTAGGAAGGCAAAGTACCGGAGGGCTTGGGATGTGCTGCTTTGGGGGCCACTCAGCCTTTTCCATTTAGTCTAAGGCATTTACTAAGTGATTCATATAGCATTGAGGCATTTTCAAAGATAGTGGTCCTGGGAGGCAGAGCTGATACTACTGGGTTGGGGATTATGTCATAGCAGGATTTTCATTGAGTGAATAGCTAATTACAGATATGCATTATGTGAGCTATTTAAAGAAAACGAGCCTAATTCCCACCCTGCACCTCCCAGCTCCCCACTAAACAAAAAAGTCTAGAAGAGTTAGGGGCACTGACCTGTATATTCTGAGCAGGGAAGTAAGGCGTATTCCTTGCTCATGGGATGACCCTCTGGGGGATCCTGAGAGAAGAATTGGTGAGTCTTTCTTGCTTTCACTGGCACCTGTCCGTAAGTCCTAGAAAGGCCCTAATTGCTTGGAGTTGTATATTTGGCGAGCTTTATATAGGGAACTGATGGATGAGTGTGGACTTGTAGAAACTTGGACTCCTAGCGCTTGGCATGCAGTCTCAGATAGGAAGAGAAGAGAGACAGAGAAGACAGCATCTTCCTAGGCCAAGAGGGAGTTTAACCCTGCTTGTCATGAGTAGGAACCTGTTGGCTTAAAATAGTGGTGGTAGCTCATCAATAGGCAAGTGAATGAGGAGAGGCAGCCCCCACACGTGTAATGCAAGAGATGCATGAATGGGGATGTAGTGAGAGTTCATTGATAAATTTAACGTCTTATGGTAAATGACCACCCGAGAGACGGGACTCAGGAGAGACTGGATTGACTTAGTCATTGATTAAAGGCTAATGCATTTTTCATGGCTACCCAGATGCATTTTCTAATTGGTGATGACATCACTGTGTGTTCCAGGGTAAAGCATGAATCATCCTCCAGTGATGAGGAGCGCGCAGCTGCCAAGCCATCAAACGCAGGCCACCTCCCTCTTCTGCCTAATGTCAGCTACAAGAAGACTCTCCGGCTGACTTCCGAGCAGCTTGTGAGTCTCCCATGCTTGGCGCGGCTGTGTTGTGAGCACATGAGGTTTCTGCAGACTCCTAAGGCTGTGTGATGGTTGGGATGTGCCCGTTACTTGTCACCTTTCATCCCAGGGGGCCTGCAATCCCTCAACTGGGTACCCGCTGTTTCCACCCCAACTCCAGCACTATCCAGGCTGGGTCCCCAATATGACCTTGCCTTTTGTCTTCTCCTTTTGCTGGCCTGGCCCTGGAGGATCTAGTTTACTAGAGTTAGGAGGAAGGCAGCCTGGCGGAGCTAATTCGTCCTAAGGTGTCAATCACAGATAGACTTGAAAATCACTCAAGGGTGTTTTTGCTTCAAGAGAGAGATGTTTGTTAACTCAAATGCATCTCTTAAGTTGGTGGAAATCAAGCAGTTGTGATAGAATTTAGAGAATTTCAGGTAACCAGGGGCATCACCTGGTCATGGTGTCCTTTTATTTTTCTGTGTGTGAGACCAGTTTTAATTAAAAGCCCTTTCTTGGATCCCGTTGGTCATGGCCAGTGAGCACCTGTCCTTGCTTTTTTGTGAATCAAGTCTTGTGCATTTCTCCTAAGAGTTAGTGGGGAGCCTGGCTCAAGTGTGAGGGTGTTTACTAGGAAAAGATAAGGAAGAGGCCCAGACACCCACTCAGGCCATGTGTGGGACCCTGCAGCCTGGGGGTCTCTGTGTGACTCACTGCTCCCACTGGCGACACTGGGGACACCTGCAGTCAGGCAGCCTGGGGGTCTGAATGGCCAGCTGGTGTGCACCAGGAGTCCTGGCACAGAGACTCAAAACTGCTCAAAAGTCACTTTGTATTTTGAATTTGGTGTGATTTCTTTGGGTCTAGACTATATTCTTCTGGATATGAGGCATGACTGATAACCAAGACTTCTCTTTTTCCAATTCGTGTCAGTATAATAATAATTTAAAAACATGGTTATTTAGGGAAATGTATTTTCACACTTGGCTTAAATTTGTCTCCCTGAATGATGATCTTCCTATTTAGTCCTAGAGTGGTAAGTGTATCCTATTCCAAACTTGTGATTTATTACGCCGTGTAGCCCCGTCATTGAATCCTGGCTAATGACTGTAATCTGAAAATACTTGATCAAATTAGCACTATCCTGGGAAGTAGAACAACTCTGTAGCAAGTAGGCAAGTTGCATTACAAGGGGGCCTGAGAGAGCTGAGGTTTCATTTTGCCTGTCCAGCCCCGGAAAGAACCAGAACAAGGAAGGGTGGGGAAAGAAAGAATTATACAAGGGCCCAGGGCAGTCACTTGTTTTTAAAGCCGAATCCTGCTTCTCATAGAACAGAAGCCAAATGCCCATCAATCAGGGCCTTTCCCTCAAGCAGACAAATACTAATGGTTCATGTTTTTCAGAAAAGCTTGAAGTTGAAGAATGGCCCCAACGACGTGGTTTTCAGTGTCACCACGCAGTACCAAGGCACGTGCCGCTGTGAGGGCACCATCTATCTGTGGAACTGGGATGATAAAGTCATCATTTCTGATATTGATGGGACAATTACCAGGTAGGTCCTGCTGACTTGGGGCCCATGGTAGATTTCTTTGCTTCACCGTGGGGGTCTCTGGGCCTGGTGTTGGCACCTCTGCTCTCCTCATGGGACTTGCACGGTTCGAATTCTGGTGCAGTTGGAGCTCCTTACGTAGTTTCAGCTCCTTGGTGGCAATCATTGTGTTTAGGGCTTAGTTGTTTCCTTCTGGGGTATTATTATCTCTTCGACTTGGTTGCTTCTGTGGGGGCTTCTCAAGAACGTCTTTTTGAATGGCCTTTACCTTTGATTGAACAAGCCGGTCACCTCGATGCATGATCAGACTGGAGGCGTCCTTCTGTGGATTACCTGTCCCTCCGTCAGCATCAACTTTGATGACTTGAGCCTTGGGCTTTCTATCCAGAAAGAAAGTTGTGGGTCTTGTTTGTGTTTTTTTTTTTTTTTTATGAGGCATGAATGGTGCAATGAATCTGAAAGGGATTTTTACTTTATTTTTCTCTTTTCCTCTTCATTTAGATCAGATACTCTTGGCCACATTTTGCCCACCCTTGGGAAGGATTGGACCCATCAGGGCATCGCTAAGCTGTACCATAAAGTGAGCCAGTGAGTACAGAGTTCCTGTTTCCCGCCTCCTGTGAACGCTGGTGTGTGCACCGCACTCTGCATATGGAATCTTTCCTGTCCCAGCACGGGGTGACTTGCAGAGAGGGCTGCACCTCAACCAGGGAGGGGCAGTGGGGGTCAGGGGTAGCAGTGGAGTCCAGAGTGAAAGTGAATCCCAGCAACTCCAAATTTGAATTCAATACCAAGAAACAAGGGGCGAAGTATAGGGGAATTGATTACTAGGAGAACACAGATGGTGGCAGCATTAGGGGTGAGACTGAGGTTTAGTTCATCCCGAGGGATGGCAGAGGTAGCCAGTTGAAGAAATAGGAGCTTATATGTTATATATGCCAAGTGATTTTCTGTAGACTAAAAAGTTGCAGATTCCAGGCAAGTTTTGGCGGCGTTGCAGACCCTGCGAGCCAACCAGCAGGGCACATCATGTCTACCTGGTCTGTGGAGTGCTCCAGCAAGTGGCCCAAAACAGAACAGTGCCCACCGTGGGACCCTCAGCCCCAGACATCAGATGGGAGAGGGGTTCTCCGACTGCTCTCCTGTGCTGGGTACATGGGTTACTTCACTTATATCTTACAGAGATTCTGAAAAGCACATAATATCATTTCTGTATTTAGATGAGTGAAATTAACTAGGAGAACTAAAGTGATTTATCCAAATTCTCATTGCTCTCGTCTGCCTCCAGGGTTCAGAGCCCTGCAGGGATTCTCCATGCCCCGCCCCTTCCGAAACACCCCCATTCTAGCTTGCCAGGCCCAAGCCTCTCTCCCGCTCAGTCATGCCTCCTCCAGCCTTTTGTGGCCTAGAGTCTCCCATGCGAGTGAAATCTCCCCCTCCACAGCATTCTGTTCTCCAGCCAGTTAGAGCTGGAAGGTGCCTCTGCCTGAATCAGGACAGTGCGGTCTCTCCGTGGGTGAGGTGGGTGAGCAAGTTACATTCACACTTAGTGAGTGTCAAGATAGTGTCAAGACGGAAGTGTCAGGCCCATGGTTCCCAACCTTGTTTGCTCATCTCTAGCCCACAGTGGTGATGGTAGGGAATGGGCCACCATCCAGAGCTGTTTCTAGAACTCTGTGAACACAGATGAATGAACTGTATTTCCCTGCCCTGCATCCGTTCATCCATCCAGCATTCCTTGAGTGCCTGTTAGTGCCTCATCCTAGGGCAGGTGCCTGGGATTGCTATGAACTAGGTAAGTCTCTGACCTGGGACTTTATGATCCAGTAGAAAAATGGCGGCTTGGAGAGAGAACCTTAATCCTGGTGGGATTAAAAGCTTCAGATTTTGTTGGGCACATGTCGATAGTCCCAGCTATTTGGGAGGCTGAGGCGGGAGGATTGCTTGAACCCAGGAGTTCGAATCCAGCCTGGGCAACATAGTGAGATTCCCCCCCATCTCTCTAAAAAAATAAGTATGTACATTAAAAAAGCTTCAGATGTCATCTTAGATGCCCAAGCTCATTGGTTTGACTTTACTTTTCTAGATTTCATCTTTAAAAAATTATTAATACAAAAGTTATGCATACTTCTTAAGACATAAAAATACTAATAAAAGAGGCTGAGATTATGGAAACAGTAAAGCGCAGAGGTTGTATCACCCTCCTGCCTGCCCTTGCTGCAAGCTATTCCCTTCCTTAAAAGTAGAACTACTATGAACAGTTTGGTTCTATCTTGCTGAATTTCAAAAACTTATTTACATCCCCACACACATACACTCACATTATTTAATTATTCATCATATCTTTTTTGTTTCATTTTATGTAATATTTACCTTACTCTTTTTGCTACTGGGCAGAATCCTGTCGTCTAGATACACCATACTTTCTTTAACTCGCCCTCTATTGATGAACGTGTAGGTAGTTGCCACTTTTTCCCCTATTGCCAACAGTGATGCAGTAAGCGTTCATAGACAATGCTTATGATATATAATGCATGTATAAATAAATAAAGAAGGCACACACACTTAGGGAAGTCCCGCTGTAAAGTAGATTCCCAGGAGTAGAATTGCTGGGTCAAAGGATGAGCACATTTAAAGCTTTGATCAATATTGCCGAATTGCCCTCTCAAAAGGTTATCCCAGTCTGTGCTGCTGTAGGTGGCGTATGTGCAGCGTCGCCTCCCCACAGCCTCACCACGGGCTGACCTTTCATTTAGAAGGATTAATCTACTCATGAGGTGCCTTGACTTGTGTGACACTGAAAATTGCATCTATTTTTAGTTGAAGGAAAGAAACCCTCATGGGTCAGGATGTTGAGTAGTGCACAGCTGATTCATTTGGTTTTTGGAACATAAATCTATTTCTGTCCTTACTGTAACATTAAACAAGCCCTGTTGCTTTTTAATTTTTTTTTTTTTTTTGGTCTTGATTTGTCTCTTGGTTTTCTCAGAAGAGAGATCTTCTTGAAAAATAAAGCTGTGTGGCTTACTGAAGAACCCCTGACCATTCTTTTCTTTGATTGGTTGGTTTAGAATGAGTGAAACCTGTTTGTCTGGACCCGCAGATACTGCCCGGAGCATGATGTGACGTGGAGACCCAAACCTTTGCCTGCTCATTGAGTTGGATATGTGTGTTGTCCGCGCACCCAGTCAGGCCTGTGTGATTTGCAGGATGGCCAGGGCTTCTGAAAACCCATCTTCAGGGCAGCTTTCTACAACCTTCAGGGCTCCCTGCTCAGCACTGTAGGAGGAGGTGCCAGCTCCTTGATGTGGCATTTGAAACCTGGCACTTTCAGGTCCCAGTCTTCTGCCAAGCCCTTATTTTCAGCTGCTGTTTCTCAGCCCTTCCTGCTCTAATCCAGCGACTCTGTTCCTCCTCTGCACTCCATTCCCTTCTTCCTGCCTTTGCTCATGTGGCGGCCTCAGCTTGACATGGCTTCCCCTCTGATTTTCGCTTCTCCATATTTTTATAGCCTTTAATGCCTGGCTCAAATGCCACAGTCCTCAGGCCACAATCTGTGACCCTAGTCAGCTCTGGTCTCTTCCCCGTCCCCGGACTTGCTGGACTCTATGTGGATATCGGAGGGCTTGGGCCTGGCTTGTTGGCCTCGGTCCCCATCATGGAGGACAGTCTGGACACGATGGCAGCCTCCAGAGCCAACCACTGATGAAAGTAATTCCCATCCTAGCAGGCTCTCTCAAGCCTCCTCACACGAGGGCCTTAGCAGCCACCACTGGGAGACCTGTCAGGCTAAGAATTGACCAAGGCTTGTGACCCACTGTTCTAGTGACTCCCATCATACTTTTGAATCTGTATTGTGATTTCTAGAGAAACAGAGAAATGATTCTCATGCTAGGGTACCAGGGAAAAGATGCCGTTTACATGAGGGTTTGTGGACTTTTTCCTGATTTTGCTTCCCTTAAATTTGGGTACGACTTACATTTTATGCACTGTAGTATTTGTCTAATGAAAAAGCCAATCTTCAGCTGGGCACAGTGACTAACACGAATAGTCCGAGCACTTTGGGAGTCCGAGGCAGGTGGATCACTTGAGGTCAGGAGTTTGAGACCAGCCTGGCCAACATGCTGAAACCCCATCTCTACTAAAAATACAAAAATTAGCCAGGGATGGTGGTGGGTGCCTGTAATCCCAGCTGCTCGGGAGGCTGAGGCAGAATTGCTTGAACCCTAGAGGCAGAGGTTGCAGTGAGCCGAGATCGCACCATTGCACTCCAGCCTGGGTGACAGAGTGAGACACCATCTCAAAAAAAAAAAAAAAAGAGAGAGCGAGAGAGAGAGAAAAAGCCAATCTTGCAGTTAGCCACTTGCCTGAAACAACAGTGAATAAGGACAATTTTGTTTTCTGCTGAATTTAATGACTTGTTTGGATCTAGTCAGCCCATGAGGAATGATCCATAAGGCTAATTGTCACCTTGTTCATAGAGAGGGTATAAAGCTGGCTTGAGTATTGATGAAACAGAACAAATGCAAATGGAAGATACAGGAACCCCTTTCAGATTCAGGTGCATTCAAAACTAGAAGGAAAGTCAAGAAGGACTGTTGCCTAAAAGATCTAGATCATTCAGCTAATGGGTCCTTTGAGGCCTAAATTTGGGCAATAATTGTTTGAATTTTTGACCTTATTTCATACATGCTTTTATATTCATGTAACCAGAAGCCAGTGTCTTTGTGACTTAGAAAAAAGAACACTTACCGTGTTTCCCGAGGTTCGTTAGCTCCGCTGGGGTCTAGGTATGCGGTGTCCCAAGCCAGTGGACTGAAAATGAGAGGCATCTGTAGCAGACTTGTTAGGGTCTTTTTTTTTTGGAGATGGAGTTTTGCTCTTGTTGTCCAGGCTGGAGTGCAATGGCATGATCTTGGCTCACTGCAACCTCCGCCTCCCAGGTTCAAGCGATTCTCCTGCCTCAGCCTCCCAAGTAGCTGGGATTACAGGCATGTGCCACCACGCCCGGGTAATTTTGTATTTTTAGTAGAGATGGGGTTTCACCCTGTTGGCCAGGCTGGTTTCGAACTCCTGACCTCAGGTGATCCATCCACCTCAGCCTCCCAAAGTGTGGGGATTACAGGCGTGAGCCACTGCGCCCGGCCTAGATCTTTTTTCCTTTCCTGCCCGCAGCAGTTATTTCTTTCATGTCAGCACTTCTTTGTTTATTGCAGTCATTGCCCTCTGCCAGTAAGAGATAGGATGATGCGAGATGATAAGAGATAGGATGGAAGGTCTGATCAGGAGTCGGGCCAGGATCCCAGAAGCGGCAGCCATTAGCTCACCCTGGGCCCTGGGACCGAGTACCTTCCCCACTCTGAGCTTTGTTTTCCTCTTCTGTAAAATGAGATTAGGCTAGATGACCCCTGAGGTCACTGCTAACCCAGGAATGCTCTGCTCCTGGCTGTGTGGATTGCACAAGGGTGTGTTTTGTTTTTCCAAGCCAAACCTCAGTCCAAACTCAGAGGGAGCCCCTAGACTCTGGTTGCACCAGGAGCTGTCCTAGGTGCCGTCGGGGGTGCTGAGCAGTCTCTCCCTTCAAGAAGCTTGTGGTCTTGTGGGAGGAGACACTTAGGGCTCCCTGTAATAAGGCAGTGAGGGGCAGATCGAGTGTGAAAGATGTTGGTTTTTGTTGGACATACATCAGGAAGTTAATTTTGATTGACCAGAGGTGTCAGAGGAGGCCCCTGTGAGAAGGTGGCACTCAGCTGAGTCTCCATGGAGGAGCAGGGTTTCAAAGGAGAGGAAAGCTCACCACAGGTGGAAGTAGGAGCGAGAGGGGAGGCTGGGAGACGAGCAGGTACTGGGTGGGCTCACTGAAAGGGAGACTCCGGTGCAGACGGTGGGGTGGGTAAAAGATGAAGCAGGAAAGTAGGCAGGAGCCAGGTTGCAGAGCGCCTGGGAGGCAACTCACCAAGCCTGAGTGGTGCTGAGCCTTCCTTTCTCAAGGTGGCTTGTGACCCTCTCTCCCCTTAGGATGGCAGATGGGGCCACAGAGTCCTTTTTCTCTACAGCAGTGGCTCTCAACTGACGGACATATGGCAGTGTCCAGAGATGCTTTTGATGGACATAAAGGGGCATGCTGTTGACTCTTAGTGGGTGGACCCGGGATGGTGCCGCATATCTGATGAGGTGGCATCGTGGGGGCCTCGGTCCCCAACAGACACTCCTCCAATCTCAGATGTCAGTGTTGAGAAACTGCAGTCTAGAAGCTTGCAAAATGCTCCCGAAGGTAATCTTTCCAAACTATTTAAATCTCCCCGAGTCAGTGTCTTAAGAGGGATGCAGAGATTAGGCAGAGGAGAAAACTTGTACCAAGCCTGGGCATGGATCCCTCTTTTTTTTTTCCTTCTTCCCATTCTGGTGTTTCTCCAGAGCCCTGTTCCAGTTGCTGAGAATGCTAGAGGAACAGGGGTGATGTGTGTATCGCACCTTTATCCACTGACACCTCCTATTCCTGGGTCCCACCTGTCCTTCTGGGTATTGTTGGTTTTCCCCAAGCACCCTCTGCTTCTGTGGGGCAGGGCTGTGCCATGCCCTGTGCGTACCCCAAGCCCCGTGTGCAGCCTGGCATAGGAGTGCTCAGTGAGTGAGTGTGCACTGAAGGGACCGTGGAAGGAGCCTGTGGGTTGAGCAGGGACTTGGGCTGGGCTGGCCTGTGTGGCATGTCCTGCCACCGGTTGTCCTTCTGAGTGAGGGGTCTTCCCTGTGAGGGGCACCATGGAGACTTAGTGCTGCCTGAGCATTTGGTGGGGCACTTGTTGGCATTGCAGACAGCTTTTGTTGAAGGCAGGAGGGAAGGCTCTTCCACCAGCAGCAAACATTTTCCCCATTAGGTCACTCTCGAGCTGGCTTTCCAGCTAAGTTTAGTCAGGCAAGAAGGCTGGCATGCTGACAGTAACTCAGTGGCATGGCCCAACTGTGAAATATATTTGACAATCCAGTTCTGAGTGAGATTAGCATCTTAGATCTCTGCAGGTGGCAGCTTTTAGGACTTTGATGTGAAGAGCTATACATGGAAATAGTGATTTCTTTTTAAAGATTGTATGAATTAGATGGCTAAAATACAAAGATATTTAGAAATTAAAAAGATTGGCTGGGCGCAGAGGCTCAGGCCTGTAATCCCAGCACTTTGGGAGGCCAAGGCAGGTGGATCATGAGGTCAAGAGATCGAGACCATCCTGGCCGACATGATGAAACCCTGTCTCTACTAAAAATACAAAAATTAGCTGGGCGTGGTAGTGCATGCCTGTAGTCCCAGCTACTCAGGAGGCTGAGGCAGGAGAATCGCTTGAACCCGGGAGGCGGAGGTAGCAGTGAGCTGAGATCGTGCCACTGCACTCCAGCCTGGTGACACAGCGAGACTCCGTCTCAAAAAAAAAGAAAAAAAAAGAAATTTTTAATTTTGTTTGATTTTCAGATGCATCCCTGTATTCCAGACAAGCTGATATTTCTAGATTCTTTTTGTCTTAAAACTTTCTCATTTCTTAGTTTTAAAGAACATGTTATTGAGCAATTTTCGAAACAAATCCATTGGCCATTATAAAATATTCATGGTAGAACAATATGTTGGATAGGAAGTGGGTAGTTTATTCACTCATTCAGCAAATATTCACTAAATGTCTGCTACATGCCAAGCACTGTTTTTGGCACGGGGGTTGTAGCAAAGAATGGGACAAAGTCCCTGTCCTCATGGAGTTTATGGATGAATGAGAGATACAGTCGAATGAAGGACTATAACGTCATATTAGTGATCAGTGCTAGGAGGAGAGGGAAGGCAGAGCAAGGGCCAGTGCCTGGGTGAGGAGTGAGGGGGTGTGTGTTTCATCGCATGGGGGAGGTCAAGGGAAGGGCCTTCTGGAGAGGTGAGATCCAGCAGAGACCTAGATGAGGTGAGGGTACAAGCAGTCCCTGCAGACTGGGGGAAAGGTGCTCTAGGCAGGAGGAACGGCATGGGCAAGTGCCAGCGCAGATGAGCGTGGCGAGTTGGAGGAAGGATGGGAACACCTGTGTGGTTTGCCAGGAGTGAGGAGTTGGACAGTCATTGCAGATGGGGTTGGGGTTGGAGAGAAAGGTGGGGGCCAGGTCTTGTTGGTCTTATAGGCCACAGTGAAGGGTTTGGACGACGTCTGTGAGAGGTTGCAGCCTCAGGAGGGCTCTGAGTGTGAGTGGGCTACGCTTTACATTTTCTTAGAGCACCACGTGGAGTCGGGATAGCAGCAGGGAGGTCATTCAAGATTGTCGCAGCAACGGAGGCCAGGAGGCCATGCGGTGTGGACGTGGTGGGAGCACTGGGTGGTGCCGAGGGTGGAGCAGAGGGGACCTGCTGATTGTGTGGCGTGGGGGCTGGGGGTAGGTAGACACCAACGGGGCCCCTGAGGGTTTGACGTCACACCTGGGTTAGGAGAGTGCCACTTGCTACTTGCAGTGCCACTTGCAACAGGGGCCCCCGAGGAGTCTCGGGGTGAGTTGGGGAGGAGCCGCTGTGGTGTGTGTGGTTTTGGAGGTACCCATTTTGGAGTGCGATGAGTACTGTGGGGTCCACGGTGAGCACGTACTGCGCAGTGGGTGTAATGTGGAGTTCATAGTAGCCTGCAGCTTGGGAGAGGGGTCTGGACGGGGTCCATGCATTTGGGAGATATCAGTGTATAGATAGTGTTTAAAATTTTTGAATAATATGTTTTACTTAATCCAACATATTCAAAATGATATCACTTAGACATGTAATCAATATGAAAACGATTAATGAAATATATCATACCTTCTTTTTTTTTAATTAAAAAGTAAACTTTAATGTCGAAAATGCAAACTTGGGGAAGACAGAAAAGGTCACACACAGGGCTGTCACTTCACACTTGGAAGGTTGCACAGCGGCCGGGCAGAGGTGCTCCTCACTTTCCAGACAGGGCGGCGCATACTTTCTTTTTTTTATAATAGACTTTGAAACTTGGTATATATTTTATACTTAGAGCACATTTCATTCTAGACACTAAATTTTTGATAGTTAAAAAAAGTGAAATGGGGCCGGGCGTGGTGGCTCATGCCTGTAATCCCAGCATTTTGGGAGGCCGAGACGGGTGGATCACCTGAGGTCAGGAGTTCAGGACCAGCCTGGCCAACATGGTGAAACTCTGTCTCTATAAAAAATACAAAAATTAGCCGGCGTGGTGGTGCATGTCTGTAATCCCAGCAACTTGGGAGGCTGAGGCAGGAGAATTGCTTGAACCTGGGAGGCAGAGGTTGCAGTGCGCCAAGATCACGCCACTGCGCTCCATCCTGGGGGACAGAGCAAGACTCTGTCTCGAAAACAAATAAACAAAAAAAAAAAGTGAAATGGACCTGCTAACGCAATAAAGTTGTGTTCATAGACTAGTTGTTTCTTCAGTCTAGATATGGCATTTGGAGCTGTGGAAGTGGGTGAGGTTCCCAGGTCCTCTAGGGAGTGTGGGGGGTGTGGAGAAATGAGGCCTGAGAACCCTGGGCGCTTGTGCGTTTTGAGGCTGGCAGAGCTGATGGGAGCAGGCGAGCTGCTGTGTCTGGGAAGCGGTGGCTGCTGAGGAGGAGAACACCCGGACACTCTGGAGTCCTGGGAGCTGAGTGACTCAGGTGCTCTGGGAGAAGGAATGAGCCCCCGAGGCAGATGCTACTGGGGAGTCCATTCCTACAAGAATTGAGAGTTGATACCTGGGTTTGGCAAGATGGGCATCAGGGTGACCTGTGCAGGGACAGCAAGGAAGGGAACAAGAGAACAAGAGTCTGCTAGGAGTGTGAGGAGAGGAAGGAAAGTGAAGAAGTGGACTCAATGCTTGTAGTCAGCTTTTTGGAAGAATTTTGCTACAAAAGGGAACAGAGAAATGGTATCTTAGCCAGAGAGAGACTAAGGATGTTTTGGTGTGTGTGCATGTGTGTGTGTGTGTGTGTGTGTGTGTGTGTGTGTGTGGTTGTTTTGGCTTGGCTTGTTTTAAGG
The DNA here is from genome assembly GCF_000001405.40 of Homo sapiens. Lineage (NCBI taxonomy): Eukaryota > Metazoa > Chordata > Mammalia > Primates > Hominidae > Homo > Homo sapiens. The sequence continues at coordinate 11,814,578 of NC_000002.12, forward strand.
ATGAAATGAGAGATTGCAGAATATTTATGTGCTGATGTGAATTACCCAAAAGAGAGGAGGAATTTGATGGGGTGTGTGTAGGGGCGAATGAAGCAAATGCTGGAGCAAAGTGTGTGAATTGGCAGGTGGCTGTGGTCTTGTCGCAGGGGCTCTAGCCAAGAGCTGGGACCAGGGGGAGTACAAGGGGCTCAAGCGCAGGCAGGTGAGCCAGTTTCATCCATCTGAACCTCAGTTTCCATAGCAGTAAAACCAGGGGAAAATACTCATCCAGCCATGTTCTCCTGAGGATTAAACAAAGTGGGGAATGCAAAAGCACTTAGTGAATTACAGTGAAATGTATTTAAGCCTATTTCTCAATTGCAAGCAAGATTTTGTAGAATGTGGACTTTTGTATGTGGGGGAACTTGAAACAGTGCCATTCTCCACAGAACAGATATGGATCAGGATTTATGAATGCAGAAAGGTTCCATTTTCTGATGCCATGAAATGTGAATGTTTTATGTCTTTCAGGAATGGATATAAATTTCTCTACTGTTCTGCCCGTGCCATCGGGATGGCGGACATGACGCGGGGCTACCTGCACTGGGTCAACGAGAGGGGCACGGTGCTGCCCCAGGGGCCCCTGCTGCTGAGTCCCAGCAGCCTCTTCTCTGCCCTGCACAGGTACCAGGCCTGCTCCCTGCACCTCCATCTGTGAGCCTGTTCAGACCCGCTCTCTTCCTAACTGCAAGTTTTGTAAGAATAGCCTCCTCACTGGTCTTCTGCCCCAATATCCATGCTCCATAGCAGGCACCAGAAAAATCATTCCAAACACAGGTCTACACCTGCATTGGCTCCTCATGGCTTTCAGGCCGAGTCCAGACTCAGGAGCTTGGCGCTTGGTGGCTCCTCATGGCCTGCGCCTCCCCTCCTCTCCAGGCGTGTTTCTCTCGTCTCTACATCTCAGTCTGTGTCTCCCAGACAATTGTCTCTGCTTGGAGCCTTTGCACATGCTGTTCCGTCTTTTTGGGTCACTCTCCTGCTCCATCTCTTCTTGAGTGGCCTGGCTGAATCTTAATGTCCGTTGGACAATGAGCCTCTATCTCATCTCCTTAGGGATCCTTAAGTGGCCTGTCTGCGAACCACCATCATTCACCTGGCCTTTGACACCCATCATACTTGTCATTTTCTGTCTTAGATTTCTGGGAACACTGTTCATTTTACGGGTCCTCTAACAGACCACTGGCCAGTTTCTGATTACCTTCCTCCCTTCACCTATGGGGCCATATCAAGGTAGCTAAGCCAGACTAACTCTGGCCCCTTGGAGTTGGAGGAAGAAAACACTGGACGTCCCTGTAGTTGGAGGCCCAGGGCAATTTACTAGACACCTCTCAAAGCAAAAGCTATTGTGGTCAACCATAGGACATTGGTCCCTGCTGAAGGCTGATTGTAAATATCATAAACTTGGTCTTTATGAATGTCATTGACGTGATTCTGCCTGAATTTGAAGACCAGATGAACTGTTTGCTGCTGCTAATCATGCAAACAGTGGAAGAATCTAGATGGGCCCCAAATGCTGTGTTGATTCTTGTGTATTTTCCTTTAGCTCTGTAGGTACCTTTTCCATCACGGCGTTGTTTTGTGTAAGCAGTAGCTTTTTTCCTGTAGTAAAAGATGTCAAATTGAGACATGCACATTCTAGGGGAGAAAAGTCAGGCACAACCTAGTGTATTTCAAGTCCTCAGAGCTATCATAACAGCACTGATCTCAATAGAAATCCTGATATTTTAGTGAAATTGTGTCCCTAAGCTATGCTGACAATTTGCAACAAGCCATTCATCAGCCTGTGTTAAGTAGTAAGGCTTTGCTAGGCCAAGCAAAAAGTCCACATCGTTACTCCGACATCCTAACACTAACTATGCATTTAAAGTGATCCTTTTCATTTCCTTATTTAAATATCATTGTCCAAGGTGTATTGCTTTTTCCCTGGGAGGAATTATTTTAAAAACCCTAAATCTCATAGTTGATATGTCCTCTTGGAAGGCCAAGGTGCTCCAGTGGCAGATGGCCACCGGCCTGGTCCTTCCTAGGGCTGCCATCAAGCCAGAGCCGTTCCATGTGCTAGCTGTCCTGTGGAGTTCTCTAGAATTGCTAGCGAAGGCTGCCCTAACACAAATGACCTTCCTTTTTTTTTTTTTTTTTTAATTTTACTTTAAGTTCTGGGATCCATGTGCAGAACATGCAGGTTTTTTACATAGGTATACATGTGCCATAGTGGTTTGCTGCACCCATCAGCCCGTCATCCAGGTTTTAAGCCCAGCATGCATTAGTTATTTGTCCTAATGCTCTCCCTCCCCTTCCCCCCCAACCCCCTGACTGGCCCTGGTGTGTGATGTTCCCCTCCCTGTGTCCATGTGTTCTCATTGTTCAACTCCCACTTATGAGTGAGAACATGCAGTGTTTGGTTTTCTGTTCCTCTGTTAGTTTTCTGAGAATGATGGCTTCCAGCTTCATCCATGTCCCTGCAAAGGACATGAGCTCATTCTTTTTTATGGCTGCATAGTATTCCGTGGTGTATATGTGCCACATTTTCCTTATGCAGTCTTATCATTGACGGGCACACAAATGACCTTCCTTAGCACAACTCTTTAACTGGGTGCAGTTCTGATTTTACTGCTAGGTTTTGAATTAGGATGAAGGAGGGGAAGGTAGTGGGTGGATATGCGTGTGGTGCAGTTGGCAAAAACAAGCCCTCAGCACAGGATGGTGATCACTTAGCCTTTGTCAGGAGTGCTGCGAATGTCTTTTCCCAGTTCATAGCTTTTAATGAAAATAAACTTAGTTTTATGTCATTGAATGTATTGTTTCCTCTGTAGTTGTGCTTTTTGTGTATTACCAAAGTCTTCTCTGACCTGTGGGCATGAAGACAGTCCTCCTGGATTTTATCTGAAGGTGTTGCTTTCACATTTAGGTCTATAGTCCACTAAGAATGGATTTATTTAGGTAGAATGAAGTAGGGGTGCAGTTTAATTTTTTTTTTCCTATATGGATATTCATTTGTCCCCACACCATGTGCTAAAAAGACTGCCCTGGCTGGGCGCAGTGGCTCACGCCTGTAATCCCAGCACTTTGGGAGGCCAAGGCAGGTGGATCACGAGGTCAGGAGATGGAGACCATCTGGCTAACACGGTGAAACCCTGTCTGTACTAAAAATACAAAAAATTAGCCGGGCATGGTGGCAGGCACCTGTAGTGTAGTCCCAGCTACGCGGGAGGCTGAGGCAGGAGAATTACATGAACCCAGGAGGCGGAGCTTGCAGTGAGCCGAGATAGCGCCACTGCACTCCAGCCTTGGCAACCAGCAAGACTCTGTCTCAAAAAAAAAAAAAAAAAAAAAAAAAAAAAGACTGCCCTGCCCTTGCTGCTCCGAGATGCCATTGTGGTCATAAAGCAAGTATCTGTGAACGTGTGGTTCTGTTTTGGGGCTTTCTGTTTTGTTCCACTGGCAAAGGCCTGGACGAATTGGCCAAGGCCATAGTGTCCCAGCTCCCACAGCTGCAGAAGCTCCTCACCTTCCCAGCATCGGAAGTGCTAGGCCTGGCTTTCTGCTCGTTTTCGTAGCTTCTAGACTCAAATTTCATCAAAACACCCAAGACTCTGTTATGAGTTTGATTGAAATTGCAGTGAATCTGTAGAGCAATTTAGGAAGAATTAATATCTCAAAATTATATTGGATCTTCCAATTCAAGAGTATAGTCTATTCTTCATTTGTTTAGGTCTTTCCTAATATATTTCAGTAAAGTTTTATAATTTTAGCTGTAAAGGTCTGGCACATCTTCTGTTAGATTTATTTCTAGACATTTTATATTTTAAAATTTGATTTAAAATACCATTTACACAATTACCTTTTCTGCTTGTTTCTAATGCATGAAAATGATGCGATTAATTTTTGTACTTTTTTTTTTTGGTACATTGACTTGTTAACCTTATTAGAGTCTTTTTAATTCTGGTAATTCATGTGTAGGTTCATCTTCTTAATGTGCATATTTGTTTTTTGTGATGACAATTTTTTCCCCTAATTCTTTCTAGTATGTATAACTTTTATTTATTTTTCTTACATTATTGCATTTGATAGGACAGGCAATACAGCAGTGAATTGCCATGATGATACAGACCACCCTTATTTCACTGTTAATAAGATGTTCACTGTAGGTTTTTTTAGTATTCCCTTCTATTCCTGGTTGGAGTTCTCATCTGGATTAGATGTTAAATTGTATCAAATCCTCTTTTTAAATTTAAGTATTTTAAAAAATGAATTTTAATTTGGGAGGTAACTGGTATCAAATACCCTTTTTGTATCTATTGAGATGATCATGTTTTTCTCTTTTAACCTGATAATGTGTTATATTGATTTTAAATATTAAATTACTATTTCATTCCTGGAATAAACCCAGCTTTTATACATTGCTACAATTTGTATACACACATACACACACACACACACACACACACACGTGTATATATATATTTTAGAATTTTTGCACGTATATTCACAAATGAGATTGGTCCACACTTTGCCCATACTTTCTTTTTTTAGGTTTTGTTTTTAAGGTTATGCTAGCCTCATCGAATTAATTTGGAGATGTTCTTTTTTGTTTTTATGCTCTGTCATTCTTTGTTCCCTGGATGACCAGGATAACCCTTGGTGAAATGGCTCATCCTTGGTGTTTTCTTTTGTAGAAAGACTTGAAAGTACGGGTTTACTTTCCATCTCGTGCTTTTCTGGGATGTCTCAGCTGCCTGACACACACTAAACTTTTGAAGATTTGAGTTTTCTCAGTGTTGCGGCAGCTTTGTCAGCTAAAAACAGTTTGATGCTAAAGGAAGCTTAGCCTCTCATGTTAATCTGTTATTTATTTGTTTAACAGAGAAGTGATTGAAAAGAAGCCAGAAAAGTTTAAAGTCCAGTGTTTGACAGACATCAAAAACCTGTTTTTCCCCAACACAGAACCCTTTTATGCTGCTTTTGGAAACCGACCAGCTGTAAGTAGTAGATTGGGTATAGAAGAACCCTTGAAATGACTGCCTTTTCTGGTTGCTGTCATCTGAAAGCCCTATCCGAGAACCATATGTAGAGTCAGATTCTCATCCCAGAAGCAGTAGCCTGGTGAAGAGCCACTTGCCCACATCTAAAGGCAAGGGGATTACAAATTATCTTATGGCTTCCAGGGTTCTTTGAAGGTTGGCGGGTGGGTCAAAGCTTGAGATATGGGACTTAAAACTCCAAATTTCAAATTACTCATTAAAGCAGTAAAGCAAGAACATTTAATCGGATTAGTTTCTTTCTACCAGAAGGGAACCGCAAAATCAGTCCTAACCATAATGGCGAATTCAGCATCTCACGTTTTAAGTGTCTAGTGTTGTCTCGTATCATGAAAGAAGCGCTTTGAGATTTTGCATGTATTGCCCGCATTTACTGGAAAGCTAAGTATTCTAGAGAATGTAGTTGGGTACTAACTGCTCCATCAGAAAGTCCTACTTTTGAAAGTTACGAGAGATTTTCATGAAGTAGGAATATGGGTCAAAGAATAACCTGAAGGAATGTTAGAATTGCGGGGACGTGGTAGGTTGTCTTTTCTTCAACTCAGTCCTTGAACAGATGAGGGAATTGAGGCCCAGAGAGCAAAACTAATTGAATAGTTTCCCATCAAAGGATATTCTTTCACTGCACCACTTTGAGGTAGAGCTCTGGTTAATGAAAATTTGATATCTCATCAAATCAGAAATACCATGGACTTGTTTTTACAATGAACTCTTTTCTAATGAACACTTTAAATCACCTTTACCAAATATAGGATGTGTATTCATACAAGCAAGTAGGAGTGTCTTTGAATAGAATATTTACCGTCAACCCTAAAGGAGAGCTGGTACAGGAACATGCAAAGACCAACATCTCTTCGTGAGTATTGTACACATTTTATGTGATTATGATATCAGTACTATTATCTTAAAACGGTGCTTCCCAGTTTGCGGTGTACCTTTTCCCCTTTGCTGCCTATATGTTAATCTGTAATTCTTATAATGAAAAAATGTATTTTAACTCCTTGTATTTTGTCCAAAACATAATTTTTAGACAACTGGAATTAAATCAGATCCCTTCTGGGTCTAAAATTTAAACTCGTGGTTAGAGTCTGCTACAGAATGGAATTGAATGAATTTGAAAACTAGTAGTTTAGATTTGCCAAGTTAGGTTTGAAAGCCTAGAATGTGAATGAGAAATATAACCAAACTGAAATATGTGAAGTTATATTTAAAGATGAGGAACTGTATATCTCTTCACATACCAAATGTTTCTTACCAGAGACATTGCTGTGTAATTGTTAAGAATTCCCTTCATATTTTTGGTCAAAGCCCAGTTTTTCTGAGTCGGTGGGCTAAATGGGATTACTCTTTCTAATGAGGCATCCTTGTGTGCTTAGAATCACTCTTGACTTTATCCTGTCCCCCTCGGGTTCCTAACTTATTAGGATGGAGAGCATTTCCTCATTCCATGTTGTTGGGAGGTTGGCCCACTGGGTGACATCAGCCCAGGCCGACCCTTGTCTTCCTGCCTTGTCCATTTCAGAGACTACACCTCTTCTGGTCTGGTCTGTGCAGACCTGGAAAAGAGCCTCTGGCAGGCCAGGCACGGTGGCTCATGCCTGTAATCCCAGCACTTTGGGAGGCTGAGGTGGGTGGATCACCTGAGGTCAGGAGTTCGAGACCAGCCTGACCAACATGGAGAAACCCCGTCTCTCCTAAAAATAGAAAAATTAGCCAGGTGTGGTGGTGCATGCCTGTAATCCCAGCTACTCAGGAGGCTGAGACAGGAGAATCACTTGAACTCGGGAGGCAGAGGTTGCTGTGAGCCCAGATCGTGCCATTGCACTCCAGCCTGGGCGACAGAGCTAGACTCTGTCTCAAAAAACAAAAGAGCCTCTGGCCTTAGTGGCCCCAGATAGCCCGAGGGGTTCCTCTTTATCTGGAGGAGTTAGACTGGGGGAGTTTGGTTCTAGGAGATTCCTAAGGATTGGTTTTCTCCATGTAGCTTCTGTGGTTTTAGATAGAGAGATAAGTTCTCTCTAGGGCAGATTTTTACTTTCAAGATGGTCCTTAAACTAGTTGGATTCTAACTGAGTGTCAATAGGGCAGTTCTAGGCTAACAGGAGTCCTGGGGCTGCCCCACAAGACTCCTCTCACCCTGCAGTCATGCCAGTACCCAAGCAGTCCTCAAGGTTTGTGCAGAGAGAGGGGAGGCTGGAGCCAAGGCCCTGTTCCCTCCTGCAGAAGGCGAGGCAGTGCCAGGCTGCTTCCTGATTGGCAGAAAAACAGCAGGAACTTGATTCCTTTCTTAACCCTTCCTTGCGGTTTCTGCCACCTCCACTGTTCTAAGTGGCTGACTGTGACAATGTCTCGTTCCCACTCCCCTCTCATTCCCCAGGCTGGAGAGGACCTACTGGGTTTCTATTTAGGATCTGTGTTATAGTCTGTTTTCATGCTGTTAATAAAGACATGGACCCAAGGCTGGGTAATTTATACAGGAGAAAGGATTTAGGCTGGGCACGATGGCTCATGCCTATAATCCCAGCACTTTGGGAGGCCGAGGTGGGTGGATCACCTGAGGTCAGGAGTTCAAGACCAGCCTGACCAACATGGTGAAACCCTGTCTCTACTAGAAATGCCAAAAAAAAAAAAAAAAAAAAAAAATTAGCCAGGCATGGCAGCTTGCACCTGTAATCCAACTACTTGGAAGGCTAAGGCAGAAGAATCACTTGAACCCAGGAGACGGAGGTTGCAGTGAGCCAAGATCATGCCACTGCCCTCCAGCCTGGGTGACAGAGTGAGACTCCATCTAAAAAAAAAAAAATTAAAAAAAAAAGGGGAGACCTCACAATCATGGTCAAAGGAGGCAAGGAGGATCAAGTCATGTCTTACATGGATGGCAGCAGGCAGAAAGAGAGCTCGTGCAGGGAAACTCCCCCTTATAAAACCATCAGATCTCATGCGACTTTATCACAGGGACAGCATGGGAAAGACCTGCCTCCATGATTCAGTTAACTTCCACTGAGTCCCTCCCACAACACGTGGGAATTCAAGATGAGATTTGGGTGGGGACACAGCCAAACCATATCAGGATCAAAAAGAACTTTGAACCAATGAGACGCTGTCCAGGAATGGGAAAGTGGCAGGTCTTGCCATGCACGCATGGAAAGAGGGACTCCAGCATCTGAGAGGGTTTGGCTAGGTGGCCTCTGCGGTCATTGCATTGACTGAGGCTCTAGGGTTAAAATGCACACCTCGCCCATGGCTTGGCCTAGGGTGGAGCTCTGCAGACTTTACTCATTGCCAGGGGATGTTGACATTTTACACCTGGACTGGAGGCGGGGTTGTTCCTGTGAGAGAGTAAATCTCCTCCCCCAGGAAGCTCACATTTCTCTGGCGCTGAACTTGGTATAGCTATTTCTGAGCCAAGTAGATGCTTGTCATTCAGAACTGGGACAGTCATCTGAAATGTCTTCAGAGGCTGGGGCCACACAGCGGGAGCAGCTCAGTTCTTTTTCCCTTTCGTTTGCGAGTGTCTGTGCGTAAGCTCTGCCTGCTTGGGAGGAGCACTGTGTGTGGAGGTCGGTCTGGGGGAGGCGCGCAGATGGAACTCGGCCTGGCCGCTCAGGGAGTGTGAGAGTGGGTTTGGTTCCAGTGCACCGCGGCCTTGTAGTCAAGCCTGCAGGGAGGGGCCCTGCTGCCGCAGCCACAAACCTCAGACAAATAAGCCTTAAAGCCGGGAGGTATTTTAAAAATCTGTCTGTTTGTTTGAATCCCAAGGAAAGACATAACTCTTGGTTTTGTATTAGGAGACGTCACTTTCCCATTTTGTGCAAGCACACTGTTTCTCATAAGTCCTTTGGAGGTCCTTTATTAAATATACACACTCGGCTTCATTTAGTACATTATTTTATACCTCAGAACATGCACACTTCTGGAGTCTGGATTTTGGAAGTTCCTTTAGGTTCTTAGCAATTTGGAACTAGACAGTGATCAGTGACTGTCAAGGAGGAATCTGGGGATGGCTGGCAGTGGGCTGGGTGTGCCAGAATCTCAGTTTGGAGGTGCCTGGAGGTCTGAACATGCATATTCAATATAGCAATAGCAACTTTCTTTTCATAGTATAAGCCACAGAAACTAACATGCAACATATTTTTGGGCATGCAAATAAAAGAGAGCAAGAGAACGTTGTAGGAAGCATTGGGAAGCCCTGCTCTAATTCAGCTCCACAGACTATAAAGACGAAGGGCTCCAAGAGGGCAAGACAATTGTCCAAGGTTACAGCAAGCAGGAGAGCCCGGGTCTCTTGACCGTCATGCCAACCAGGGCTTTTTTCTCTAAGACGTGTTGATAATTTGTCATTTAGATACATTTGAGCACCCAGTATACATTATTTTAATGTTGCATATGTTATTTTATTTAAATTATCCTTAAAACTGTGGCATAGTTTTTATTTTCCTCCCTTTACAGTGGAGGAAATTGGCTTAGAGAGGTTACGCCATTTGCCCACGATCACGCAGCTAGTAAATGGCAGAGCTGAACATCAAATTAATGTCTCTTTAACCCCAGGACCCAGCTCCTTTTCACTATGCAATGAAGCAATCTCTGTCAGGTGCTCCAAAGATGTGCCTTGTCTGTGATTCTTCCCCCGATGTCCCATATGTGACCCCTGCAGCAGGCGCTATCCCATGGCCATGGTGACTTCCTCCTGCCGTCTTTTGCTTGGCTGTATCTCCTTTACCTGTCCTTCAAGTGAAGTCAGGTCCCACCCACCTCTTCCCCAGAGCCTTCTCTGATGCCTTGTTTGCATACTCTTCATTTTCATCTCTCATTTTCAATTAATCGATAACAAATTATTCTAGAATGACTTGAGTCGTGTCGATAAGTAGGCGGTCTGCTCCTTGAGGTTGTAGATCTCTCTTGACTTCTACGTGCAGCCCTGGGTGCATAGCTGGTATCGCTCAGTGCCAGTGACAATGTCCCTTTCCTTCCAGGTATGTGAGACTCTGTGAAGTAGTCGACCACGTTTTCCCGTTGCTGAAAAGAAGCCATTCTTCAGACTTTCCCTGTTCGGATACCTTCAGTAACTTCACCTTTTGGAGAGAGCCACTGCCACCTTTTGAAAACCAGGACATTCATTCTGCCTCAGCGTAAAATGTCCCAAGCAGCCTCTTGCCAGCAGTGCAGAGCCTGGTTGTCACCCATTAAAGGATAGGTCTCCCCGGAGTGCACAGCTCCACCTGGGAGCCTGGCGCGTCATCATTGGCCTGACAGCAGAGAGAATTGAGAAGCATTTCTCCCCTGCCCCACCCCGGGGCTGACATTTCTAAGCAAGATAGGAAGGGAGCACTTTCTAGGCTAGGAGTTGGGTGCATTTGTACCGTGAAAAGCATTCCTCAGTTGTGGCTTAATGCCAGTTACGACGCTGCCTTTCCGGCCTGCTCCAGCAAGTAGCTACTGGTTCACGTGCAGTTTGGGGCTGTGAAACCTAGGCAGAAGGCGGCTGTCTGAGGGCTGTCCCCGCCTAGGACAGGGTCAATCGAGGAATGCCAGATGTGCACGGTTTTTGGCAAAGTAGGGGGCACATTTCCATTATAGCAATGTTAGTGCCACCACCTTCTGAACACAGTGGGGAGGGCTGTGAAGGCTCATGTGACCTGGATCTGAGGTCTCTGATAGAAATCTGGACGCCACCGGGTCCAGGCCTGGCCTCAGACTTGGCCTTGTGGATGGGCCCCTTACAGTATTTGCTGACTAGTCTCATTTTTAGGTGATAAATTTTTCTTTAATTCCTTTGGTTAAAGATAGTCTATTTCATTGGCATATCTCCCCCCAGTTTTTGTGGCTCAAGGCTGGAATATTTATGCCTTAATATATCTATGGCAGACATTTAAGAATGCGCTTTATCTAGCTCATGGTAACTTTGCAACGCCTTAGATTAAAATGACAGTAAATATTACTAAGGCAGTATTTTGAATGAGTTTGACACTGCCGGCTTCCTTCCATCCAGCGAGGTGGTGCTGACAGTGTGGACTTGAGCACACTTATGCCAAATGATAATGATACTGACTTCTGTTGGGAGCTCTCCAAAGAAACTGGTTGGTTTTAAGAAAATAGTTTCAAGAAGTTCAACTATATTCTTTTAGATATTATGTATTGTTTTACTCTGATTAGGTTACTGTGATAGGCATTTATTCATATTCTTTCTATACCACTGTCATTAATATATTAAAAAGATGTATGTGTTAGACTATCGAAAGGGCCTTATTCTCTCTTTCTCATAGACTGACCTTCTTTTGGAATTTCTGAGTCATTTATTTTCCTTAGCTTTTTCCACTCAAATTAAGGGCAAGCGAAAAAGTAATAATTTGGCATTCTTTAAGCCTACAGAATGTGATTCTTTCACTTGTTTATTACACTGGCTCGTGGACAGAACAATTTGAAAAGTGAAAGAATTATTTTGGTAAAAGATTTTGCTTTACTTTTCGAAGCATTATTTTTTTAAAGAGTGTTTTACTCCAACGATTGAAACATTTTCCTATTTAAATTTCATTGTTAGAATCACAGGAGGCAAAAAATGGAACGGTTGAATGAAATTTTACTCTTTCTGTGAAAGAAAATCCACAGAGTTGTTGCCTCCGTTGTAGTTGGTGGGCCCCGTTAGCATTGGATGCCTTTGCCAAATGGTTCATGTGGACACACAAAGGCAAACAGATCTGCCATCGATCGCAGATTTCTGTAGAAACACGGATGTGCATGTGCAGATTCCCTTTTGCAGGTATTAAAAATAATTAAAAATAGTCCTGCCTGAGGTTGCAGTGAGCCGAGCTTGCACTACTGCACTCCAGCCTGGGTGACAGAGTAAGACTCCATGTCAAAAAAAAAAAAAAAAAAAAAAAAGTCCTGCCTTAACTAACTCCTCTGCGCTTGTTCACTAGTAACCTAAAGAGGCTATATTCATTCTTTATGCAATGAGGGTATTTTTGAGTGAATTTTAACTGCTCTGAACTAAGTATAAGCTCATGGGCCTGCAAAGGTTCAGACGGTTTCTCCTTTGCACCCAGGAGGAACTTTGGCTGCGAGAATGGGGGGATGTATCCCTCATGCAGTTGGCATCCAGGCAGCCCTCTGCAGCAGCACACCCTGCAGGCGGAGTTTTCAGAGGATGCAATTTTGGATCCCGAATTTTGATGTACCTTAAACTTCCACATCACTGCACCCTGAAACAGAGCATGCTTTCCAGAAAGTCACACTCTCAGATCTGTGTCAAGTTCAATGTGAGCCCTGGCAAGGCTGGCATATTAACACCTGCCTTCTGGCTTCTGAAAGTGAGATTTGTATATGGGCTGCACTCACGCATATACGAGTTGGTTTATCTTTGTGTACATGACTATAACCCAGTGATGCTGAGGTCATGTGCTGGAATGCTGTATTTGGACCACACATTTCAAAGTTGCCCTATGGAAATGAATCCTACTTAGTGACAAGTCATCAAATGTTTGTCACATGTGATGAAGACAAATATGTATACCTGGCATAGAGAAAAATATATACCTGGTACATTGGAGAAAAATAATTACACTTTCAAAGAGAATTCCCTTTGCAATTTTATGTTTGGATCACCACTGTAAGCACACTTTATTTGCATTTGATCTGTATTTGTATATGCTGATGCAATGATAAAAATCACTGTAATACTTCATTGTGTTGTACTGGATGCAAAGCTAGAAAATATTGCAATAAATGAGACCGATGAAAGACTTCTCTGAAAATCAGGTGTGTGAATTTTAAATAGTTTTTGGTAAGTTACTAAGTTGTTGACTTTTCTGGGGTGTGTTATCAAGCATATTCTAAAAAAAATCTTCAGGCTATGAATTGTTCACTATTTGGAATAAATGTTTTTCCTGATGTTTTAGATTTAAATGGGTAAAAGACCAGCCTTCTCTATGCACTTGCTGGGGACGGGAGGGATGAAGAAAGAGAGGAGAAGGCTGCACCCGGGATCCCTCCCTGCCCTGGTGGGATGATTCAGGAGTAGGGAGGTTTCAATCAAGTGAATTTCATGAAGTGCCTCCCAGGGCCTGGCCTAGAATTGGTGTTTAGCACATGGGGGTTCCCCAGCCTCACAGCTGCTGTCCTCATTTTTTCGACTCTTCTCTGTGGTAAACCCCAGATTCATTTTTCATTTTGAATGAATCAAAATCCTTGACTAGTGCAATCATATAAGCTGAAAACTGTCATAATTCCTATTGATTTTACATGTCAACGTGGCTGGAAGCTTCCTATTGATTTACCTGCATCAGCCTAAGCGTTTTTGGAATAAATGGAAAAGTATTGGCCCCCTAAATGCAACATAGCCGGCCAGGATACTAGGCCCAATTCCTAATGAAGCCCAAATCCAAACGGTTCATCTCTAGGTGCCTGTAGAATTAATGCTTTTGCATCTTAAAAAACAAAACCTTCTAATTTTGTTGAACACCATCACGGATTTGTTCCAACTCGGACTTCAGTGTGCGGGCTCTTTTATCTATAAAATAAAAATTTGTCTAGACTATTGTCTTTGGCCTGTGGATTCCCACGTGCTGGCGGAGCTCTGCAGGCAGCTCTCACGTGTGCGGGGTAAACGAGCTCGGGGGCTTGGATTTCCCCAGCGTCTCAGCTGTGATCACCTGAATGTTTAAAAGGCTTTACAGCTTGGTTCTCAAACACTGACACATCAGCTCTCTTGCATCGGAAGCCGAGGAAGGTTGACGATGGGGCCATTGACCATCAGCATTGGACCCCAGAGTGCTCTTTCCAGGAAGAGGGAATGCACGTGGCCCTACTACAGCCCTAGAACAGCGGAACTGTCCTGGAGGAAAGTTAAGTCGGCCCCTTCTTAAAAAATTAAAAAGCTGGCTCCTAAAGGCTGGGTGCGTTGGCTCACGCCTGTAATCTCAGCACTTTGGGAGGCCAAGGCAGGTGGATCATCTGAGGCCCAGGAGTTTGAGACCGGCCTGGCCAACATGGTGAAACCCCATCTCTACTAAAAAAAATACAAAAATTAGCTGGGCGTGGTGGCATGTCCCTGTGATCCCAGCTACTCAGGAGGCTGAGGCAGGAGAATCACTTGAACCCGGGAGGTGGAGGTTGCAGTGAGCTGAGATCACACCACTGTACTCCAGCCTGGGCAACAAGAGTGAAACTCCGTCTCAAAAACAAAACAACAAAACTGGCTCTTAGAATAGAAACTTGGTGTGGCCTAATCTACTGCTCCAGGAGAGGTTTGTCCATCTCCACTGACATTCGTCTGCCTCTGCTCTTTATTACTTAAAGACTATTTTATTATTATTTTTGGGGGGAGACAGGGTCTTGCTCTGTTGCCCAGACTGGAGTGCAGTGGTGTGATCATAGCTCACTGTAACGTTGAACTCCTGGGCTCAGGTGATCCCCCGGCTCAGCCTTCAAGTAGCTGGGACCACAGGCACATGCCACCACACCTGGCTAATTTCTGACCACTCCCCTTTGTATTTTATATTTTGTCTTCAGACCTAGTTAGGGGCAGCGCTGTGCCCCATCTCTGCCTTAAACTAAGAGAAAGTGGTGAAAATGCCAGTAGGTTTTCTGCCTTTCTGCTTCCAACTCCCTTTTGAAACTCCTGCTGCATCAAAGGTGGTGATCAGTGTCACTTCTGTTGCAAGCCAGGCAGGGAGCTTGGTACCTGAGGGAAACCAAAACATGAGCAGACAGAAGCTGACCTGACCCTGGAAGTCAACGGGCCCAAATGGCCACCGGGGGGCACAGTCGCTTTTGGTTTGGCAGCACAGCCTTTAAAAAAAAAAAAAAAAGTCCCCACTTTGACAAAGGCCCCTTCCCGGGTAGTGCTGGCCTTGGAGACCAGCCAGGCTGTGGATCCAACTTGTGGGCAGAGGGGGGAGTTCCTCAAGGGGACTGTTTTGGTACCAACGTGCCTGCAAGTTGGCACAGCCCAAGGTCAACAACACTAACTGGCTGGAAAGGGCGCTGTCTGGCTGTTTGTTCAGGTCTAAAAACCATTTAGATCTGCGATTCTCAAAGTGTAGTCTGCAGTTCCAGCACTAGGGAACTTGTTAGAAATGCAAATGCTCAGGCCCTTACCCTAGACCTGCTGAATCTCACCGTGGGCGTGGGGCCGGGTTATCTGTTTTAAGAAGTCCTTCAGGGGATTCTGCCTCACGTACAAGTTGGAGAAGCAGGGTTTAGATGATGCAGTGGAGGCCCTGCATGCTGCTCCCAGGTAGCCTCTTCTGTATTGCTCAGCTCACATCTGACTTTAATTTGGCCTGGCCAGAGCAACGCTCACCGCCCAGAGCTCACAAAGATCTGCCACAGGAGAGAAGCCGCTGGAAAGATTGTCTTCCCCCGGCCACTCCTGAAAAGGAGCTTGGAAACCCAGTACAGGCGCTCGCTTGAGTCACAAGGTGTCGTTGTGATCCTTTGCTACACGGCTTCCAGCCTGAGACACCTTCCCAGGGATGTGGGCCGGCCCAGGCTGGGAGGGGATTCCAGGCCGTGCAGTGTGAGTGAGTGAGTGTGTGTGAGTGTATGTGTGTGTATGGCGGAGTTTGGAGGGGGTGTCCATGTGAAGGAGCAGGCCTGGGCTGTGCCCAGATTGCTAATGGCTCCCTTCCTCCCCCAAATTGTTGGAGCCTGGAGGTGCCTGTCCTGATGCCAGCGATCTTTTCACTGGTGCAGGAAGTCCATTCAGCCCTGCATTGCTTTTAATGAGTTTTGCAAGCAAGTGGCCTCTTCCTGTGACTCATTCTGCCTTTTGTGCACCGGAGATTGTGGTTTTAAGTTTCACTTTGGAAAGTAACCACCACTTCTGCTGCTTTCTCCCTGTTGGAATCTGAACAAGTTACATTCATTTTGCAACAAAGAAATGTAAATGTAGGAGCCGCCAGTCATATTTCTGCTCTGATTGTAAAAACATCCTTTTCCGAGATGGTTGACAGAGCCAAGCTAAGAAGAAATGGTTTATATTTTCAAGTAACACATTCATTTGGGAACTCCGTATTTCCCGCTCCCCCCACCCACCAAGTTTGCTTTTGTTCTTTGTCTTATTGATTCGTATTTCAGGGAGATCCTAAAAAATAAACAGTGCTTGTTGGTTGAGTGAGGCGGTTAACCTCTAATTTATTGAAAGAGACTTCATTCTGGACAAAAGTTTGTGTTCTTCCTTCATGCAGTACACAGAGGATGACCATAAGGATAATTTCTTGTACAGTAAAATGTTTTTCCTTCGGACCTTCCACACAAATCCGCTTATGGTATCCGAATAGATGAATTTCTTAGGATTAGCGAGTATATGTTAAGTGGACAAATATTATACAATATTTTTCCTCAAATTTAAATAATGTAGGCATATTTAAAATGTTAGTGTTGAACTAAATTTTTTATATAACTTTATTTAAATATGTACAAACATTGAACAGTAGCTCTTACAGCATTATAAAACCAAAATTCATTTAAGTACAGATAAAACTATAGTGCTAATCAGCTGGACACAGTGGTTCATGCCCAGCATGAACTCTCAGCACTTTGGGAGGCCGAGGTGGGTGGATCCCTTGAGATCAGGAGTTTGAGACCAGCCTGGCCAACATGGTGAAACCTTGTCTCTACCAAAAATACAAAAATTAGCCAGGCATGGTGCCACGTGCCTGTAATCCCAGCTACTTGGGAGGCTGAGGCAGGAGAATTGCTTGAACCCGGGAGGCAGAGGTTGCAGTGAGCCAAGATTGCGCCACTGCACAGTGAGACTGTGTCTCAAAAACAAAAACCAAAACAAAACTACAGCGCTAATAGAGTTCAAGTTAATATTAATGGTACGTAGTGGAAAGTGCTGATGTATTGAAGCTAGTGAAATGATGTTGGATTTGGGCTTATAATAGATGTATCTGTGCTTTTAGTTTCATTTGTCAACTTGATTCTTCTGACTTGAGCATAATGGACCACCATTAAAATCATCATTATAACGCTGACTTCTGCAAAACGCGGTAGTGAAAAAGTTCTTATTCCATATTGACATCTACATTGACTGCCAGTGAACTGTTGCAAACTTTTACACCAAGGATGGGATCTCCTTGATCCATTGCCTCACAGGACAAATGTGGCACTGACTTGGATTTGGGGACTTTAAAGTTCAGCCAGAATTCATTGTCCTGATTTTCTCTTTTTGAAGTGCTGTAAAGCCTTGGTTTGGAGGTTACATGATCATTTCGCTTACTCAAATCCTTGGCACACTTACGGATGTACAGGGAGCGGTCCTGCACTCCGATCCATCCTTGGGCAAAGGCTCAGCGGTCTCATGGGAGAGTAGAGCTGCTCCTTCCATGGGGAGGAGAGAGGAGCAGGTGAAGAGACCTGCAGGAAGCCACTTCCAGACCTGCATGTGCTCTGCCGCCCTCTAAATCACATGGAGAGGCTGGGTGTCTAAAGTAATGGGTGGGTAATCCTATTTTTAGAGAGCCAAAGCAATTTTACAACTTTTCATAATGGTTTTGCTTGCTTTGGGAGCAAGCTGGTGGATGGGCAGGTGATAACGTTTGCATGGATTTTTGGGGGTCCTGGGATGGGAGGCAGCTTTCTTTGGGGATCAGGGACACTGGTCTGGGTACCTCTCATTCCCACAGGCACCTCCTGTTGCAGGAACGGGGTCAGGGTGCAAGGTAGCTAAGCAGTCTCAAAAGCCTGAGGTCTGACCAGATTTGTGAAGTGCCTGGAGAAAAGATGGGGGAAGGGATATTAGCATGACACCTCCAGATGAGTGGGATGGGGGCAAGGGTGGCCTTATGCACCCACCTCTCCACCCCTGAGACACCAGGCTGATCAGAAAGCACCACCCCTTGGGGATTCCGGAGATGCCCTTGACATCCACGGGAGGAGGAAGACTTTGACCTTGACTTGACTTTGGCTCAGAGGAGGCCTGGCTTTTTCTTTCCACAGCAGCAGCAGCGCCTGGCAGTCTGCATCATTTCGCCACAGTGTGAAACCATTGGCTGATGTATAAAGGTGAATTTCAGACCCAGGGGGTAGTCTAGGGTGTCCATGTACAACGTATGAAAATGTGAGCTTTAAAAAGGGCAAACATTAAAATTGAGGATGTCCTGTGTGTGCCTGGTAGTAGGTAGTATCTCACTATGCTTGTGGATAACACATGGTTTTTTGAGGGCACTCATAACTGGTTGATGTGCTTGTTCTTATGTTCCTTGAAGCAAATCCTCTAGGGACTTCTCTCAACTGGCACAACAGTAGATGGCCTTTACAGTAACGCACCTTCGAACATCTCATCTGGCTGACAGCTTGCACATTCTTTTTTTTTTTTTTTTTTTTTTTGGGAGATGGAGTGTTGCTCTGTGCTCTGTCACCCAGGCTGTAATGCAATGGCATGATATTGGCTCACTGCAACCTCCGCCTCCCGGGTTCAAGTGATTCTCCTGTCTCAGCCTCCCGAATAGCTGGGACTACACACGTGTGCTGCCGTGCCCAGCTAATTTTTGTATTTTTAGTAGAGATGGGGTTTCACCATATTAGCCAGGCTGGTCTCAAACTCCTGACCTCATGATCCACCCGTCTCAGCCTCCCAAAGTGCTGGGATTACTGGGGTGAGCTACCACGCCCAGCCCAGCTTGCACATACTTTAGCTCATTGGTCACCCTCCTCTCCCCAGTGGAAGCCCCAGGAACCTCTCAAGGCCCAGCTTCAGCCTCACCTTCCCTGTGGTCTTCTTCAAGCAGACCCATACCAAGCTCTCTGTGCTTTGGAAACTGCCAGGTAAGACATAACTGTTTATTATCATTTCTATTTCCAAATCACTGTTTACAGTCATTAACTTCATTTTATTGAGGGGAAAATTGAAATTCAGAGACTTTTGTCTAAGGTCCTCCAACTAGTAAAAGGCAGGACTAGGATTAAAGTCTCCAAATCCAGAATGATCAGAGAGTCATCAGGCTCTGTTTCACTGTTTCCAGTGAGGTGAAGTGGGGAGGCATCGGAGCGACAGCCACGTTGTATGCCTGCTGCACGAGCCAGACCGCAGGACAATACTCAATGAGAGGCACCAACATCCATCCTGGCTGAGCTGATGATGGTGAGAGGCCACAGAGCCATGAAAATGACTTGGAGCAGCCTCCATGTATTCCTCAGGGTTGAATCATTGTGTGCACCACAGAGCATTTGCTTTGTAAAAAAGCTAACACTGTGAAAAATGGGGTAGGCACTTCCTGTTTTGACCAGGAACAAATGCAAACCAGACCCTGCTCCTCTCACCAGGCAGAGCTTGCTCTTTCAATTCAGAGATATCTTCAAGGACCCAATTATGCTGTGGTGCGGAATGGAGCATGTATGTAACTGAGGTTCCTGCCAAAGACATCATCTCCTGGCTGAATGGCAAGACTGGCCAGGACACCAGGAAACTGAGACTGATTGGACACACAAGAATGTGAGCTGGTGAGACAGTGGGACACAGGACTAAGCAAATTATGTTTCTCTTCTGCCTTCTGTTCTTTGTCACTAATGTAACAATAGAGTAATAATACAAAGGAGTGACACGTTCAGTTGCTGAATTCCTGATGTATTATATCCTGGTGGAAATGTTCACTGGGGTGGGGCTTCCTGTATATGTGGGGGGCAGAGACAGGGAGTTTGGAGACCCTGAACTTCAGGAGATCTGGGAGAGATGGCTGCTTGTCCTCTGAAGAGTTCTGCTTTCCTTGCATATTGTAGAGTAGTGGCTGAAAAGCAGCTGCCTAGCAGGGGCTGTATTTTCCAGCCCCCGCCCCCATATTAGGTGGGGTCATGTCACTCCATCTTGCCAATGGGAACACGAGCAGCAGCGACCTGAATCACTTCTGGGCCAAGGTAGTTAAAAAGCAGGTGTTCCTTTGTCACCTTCTCTGTCTCTGTCCATCAACTAGAAGCAAAGATCTCTAAGGAAGGAAACTGGGTCCCTGAGTCACTCTGTGGAAGGTAGCCTGCCAAGTACTAAAATGGACTTTGTGTGAGTGAGAAGTAAACTTCCAGCATGGTGAAGACTCCAGAATGTCTTTCAGATACTTTTTGCATGCTAAGACAGTTTGGGTACTTAAGATTAGTGACTAAAGCAGTGAACAAAACAATGAAATCCCTGTCCTCACGGTGCTTGCACTCTGCATGACGGACATAGAAACCAATAACATGTCGAGTGGTAATAAGGTCTGCAAATAAAAAAGGAGCAGGGGAGAGAGGAAAGTGGAGTGATGGAAAGGCACCATTTCCCAGAGAACGAAGCAAGGAGTCCACCCCTCTACTGCAGTGACATTAGAGCTGGGGGCACGGGGTGAGGAGATGAGGGGCTGGCATGGCTAGAGCTTAGGTGGTGGAGGTAGCAGGAGCCCAGTTGTGAAGGGCCTTGCAGACCACTGTAAGGGGAAAACTGAGAGGAGCTGAACTTGGGGAGAAAACCAAGTTTTCTTTGGACGTGTAGGTTTGAAAGAATGATTAGACATCCAAGAAGACAAGTCAAGTGGGCAATGGATATGCCACTCTAATTTTCACGGGAGAACTCAGGACTGACAGTGGGCATTTGGGCATGATTAGTACACAGATGGTGATGAAAGCCACAGGGCAGGATGAGCCCAGGGAGAGACTGAAGGGAGTAGAGAAAATCCAAGGTCCAAGGACTGTCCAGGTGTCCCTCCTGAGAGGAGACCTTCCCTACCCTGAAAACACCCATCACTTTTACCCCCAGGTAGACTAGACCCTCCCTGTGTGGCACCCTCACAGGACACTGACATTCTATCACTGCACCTGCCCCGCTTCTGTGCATGATTTCTTCAATGTCTGTCTCCAACCAGACATAAGCTCCTAGATCCCCTAATGCTTGGCATTGCGTCATCCACATAGTAGGCACTGCAATGACATTTTCTTTCTTCCAATGCTTTATTGTCGAGTATAATTCTGAAGTACAAAACACCACTCAGACAGACATAATAGCGACTGTTGTATCAATGCCCATTCCAGGCACTCTTCAAATTGGCCACCAGATGGAATAAAAGGGATTGTCCTTGAAGAATCTGACTAGTGAGAAAACATTATAGAGTGGAGAAGAGAGCAGGCAAGAGCTGTGTCTGTTGTCCCTGCTGGTCAATTTCTCTTTCCCCTTTTCCACCTCTTTCCCCCCGCCTCTCTTTTTGCCCTTCCTTTCTTTCTTTCTCCCTTTATTTTGTTGGCTTTTTATAGTTTTCAGTCTACTGTTTTTTTTGAAACCAAAATAACATATTCACATAGTTTTAAAAGTTGAAGATTTTTACCAGAAGACACACAAAATCCACATGGCTGGTCCTACTTGCCCCCCTCCCCCACACCCCTCCTGATTCTCATTTTCAACCCTTGCCCCTGTTTATTCTGGAATTTACTTTGATATTTTTAAGTAAAATGAACATACTACAATATTTCGATTAATGAAATTTAGGCATTCCTTATTGACTTACGATGCCAGATGAAGTTTTTGTCTTTCATATGTGCTTTTTCCCATCCCTAAGCCTTATAGTATAAAAATATCATGTTTTTTTTTATTTCTATAACTTTTGGCCTTCCCTGGAGTTAATATGCTCCATTTTTTATGGCTCATTATTTTTTCAAATTATTACTAACTCCTTCCTCAGCCCCCAAAAAATGTTATGGGAAAAAAATCTCTGTAATATTTTCCACATTGTTAAATACATGTCTCCTTTTTTCCTCCTGGAAACCCTCCCACTAAAGTGCTCTCCCCGCACATTCCAGTCTAACAGGGCTGCTCTGACCCCCAACAAGCCATCAATCTGGAGTCTTCTCTGCTTTTCTCCTTAATTGGAGGCCCTGTCTCCAAGATCCCAAATGGATTGTTCTTAATTTTTTTTTGTGGTATCCATCTCTAATTTTGTGAGTCTACCCTTCAGTCTACCCTTCTGAAGACATTAGTTATAGTGTCTGTGAAATTTTCTTCTGTTTCCTGAATTATCTCAATAGTAACTCCTCAAATTTTGCTCGTTTGCTTTGGTTTCTATGGGCGACTTCCCTCAAGTGTCTGGTAATACTTTATATCTGTTTATATGTAAGAGAGATGCACTAAAACGTTGTGGGGTTGGGAGGTGCCTGTGCAGGATGGCAGGTGTCTGCGTCTATCTGTGGGTAGGTGTGGGTATATGAGTGTGGGTCTGTGTCTGTGGGGTGTATATGGGTGTGTGTGTGGGTGTCTGTGTTGTGAACATGGGGGGTGTGGGTGTCTCTTTGTGGGGTGTGCAGGTCCTGTCAGCCATGGGCTCTGCTGCAGGTAGTCTGAATGTCCCCCCAACATCAGCACCTGCAGCTTTCCTCTCTGGGGTGGTTTGGTATCTGCAGAGAGGCTGCCTGGCCTCATGGCGGGAGGTGGAGCTTGTGGTGAACGGCCTGTCACATGCCACAGTTGGACCAGGGAAGCAGCCGAGGAGCCCTACTGCTCACTGTGCAAGTGCCTCCAATGCCCACTTTTAGTCTAGCACCTTGTCCTGCCTCTTTTCCCCAACTCCAGGACAATGCACCTGTCATTAGCCACTCCAATGCCTATATCTCAAATTCCCACTGTCTACAGAATCATTCCCATCATCATACAGATCTGCTGTGATGTGTCCCATCAGCGTAAAACCAGCCCCAACTCATATTCCTCTCCATGACCACTCATTTCTCTGCTTCCCTTTATGGCCAAATTCTTGGAAGAGATGACTATATAGTCTGCCCTTCCAATCCATGGGTTTGATATCTGTGGATTCAACCAAGCATGGGTCAAAGATATTTGGGAAAAAATCTGTCTTTACTGAACACATCCAGACTTTTTTTCTTATCATGATTTCCTAACCCATAGAGTATAGCAACTATTAACATGGCATTTACATTGTATTAGGCATTATAAGCAATCTAGGGATTATTTAAAGTACACAGAAGATGTGCATAGGTTGCATAAAGATACTATGCCATTTTATATCAGGGGCTTGACATCCATGAATTTTGAGATCCACAAGGGTCCCGAAACCAATCCACCATGGACACCAGAAGCTGACTGTCCTTGCTTTTCCCCTTCCTCCCTTTCCTTCCCTCTTGCACCCACTCCAAGCTGACCTTTGGCTCCCACTCCACGGTACCCACTCAATGTCTTCAATGAACTCCAAGGGACAGAGCCAAGCAGTTTAGTCTCCATCTTACTTGGCCCAACAGTCAGGGAGGAATTTGGTTATGATTTGTCTCTTGCTCCTTCCTCAAAGTCTGGAAGACGTTTCCACCCAGGGAACAGGGAAAACAGGGCAATGGACGGGCAGCAGTGTGGCTGGAGGACTGGCTCTGAAGTGCAGCAGGGATGCTGTTAAGGGGTGAGCAGGGCCACATCATGAGCCAGGTGGCCTGGCCTCATTTCCCATGCACTTGGTGGCCACTAAAGGGAGGAGGAGTGGGGAATGGCAGAGTTGGGTGATGCTTTAGAGGGATCACCCAGGTGGTGGTGGTGACAGATGGGAGGGGCTGGGCAGGAGCAAGGAACCTTACCTGAAGACTCCAGGTGGCTCAGAATGGAGAAACTGAAGGTCCAAACTGAGGCAGTGACACAGGCATGAAGGAGGGGAGCCGAGGAGAGCCGGGGAGGAAGCTGGGATCACTTCCAAGTCTCTAGCACAGACACATGAGTGCATGGAGGGCCCATTACAGAGTCCAGCAGCCCAGAAACACAGAGCCGGCTGAGGCCTGCATGGAAGTCCAGAGGTCCACCTGAGGCAGGTTGAGTGGTTGACCCTGAGGAACAGCCAGCGAGTGGCCAGTGAGGCAACGTGTTCAGTCTGGACATGCCTCATTGTTCCAAACAAGGTGACAGGGGAGAGGCAGCTCCTGCTGGAGAAGCCGCTGGTGAAGGTCCACTCTGCAGAGTTTCAGAATGGTGCCAGCCCTTCCAGGCTGCTCCTTGTCCATTCCCTGCCCCGTCAGCCAGCCTTGGCTGCCCTTTCAAGGACACATGAAGCCACAGGAACAGGGAGGGCCAGTCTGCGTGGTGAGGTGACCCCTGACACATGCTGAGGTCTCCCCTGTGCTGGGAGGCTGGAGGGCATGCCTCGGCCTCTCTGGGGTCCCCAAAGCACAGCTCTAAGTGCCCATGTGCACCCAGCAGGCTTCTGATCTCTCCCCTCCCCACACCTGGCTGAGTGGGTACCTGGCTGTCTTCATACCTATAGACAGGTAGGTGCAGTGCCTCATTTGGCCTCAGACCCAGGTGTGATCTCCATACCAGCTCTTCTTGTATTTTTCCAGAGTGAATGGGGGTTGTTGACAACTTGTCCAGATGAGTGAAACTGACATTTGCTTCCTATGTGCCTGTGTATTCTTTAAACAATTTTTAAATATTTTTAATAAAGGAAAAATGAATATATTTATGGTGTAAAACGTGATGCTTTGATATTTATATACTTTGAGGACCGTGATAATGTATTATATTCTTTAAAACTGCTAAGGGAGTAGATTTTATTTATTTATTTATTTATCGAGATGCAGTCTTACTCTGTCACCCAGGCTGGAGCGCAGTGGCGTCATCTCAGTTCACGGCAACCTCTGCCTACCAGGTTCAAGCAATTCTCATGCCTCAGCCCACTGAGTAGCTGGGATTACAGATGTGTGCCACCACGTGTGGCTAATTTTTGTATTTGTTTTTGTAGAGACAGGGTTTCACTATGTTCACCAGGCTGGTCTGGAACTCCCAACTTCAGGTGATCCGCCTGCCTTGGCCTCCTAGAGTGCTGGGATTACAGGCGTGAGCCACCATGCCCAGCTGAGAGTAGATTTTAAATGTTCTCATCACAAAAAAAGGGTAAGTATATGAGGTGAAGGATATACCAATTAACTGAATCATGCTGCAGTGGATACGTTCATCAATGGCTGTTAATTCTGTTATGTTTATATGCATTGCAATTGAGGAATGGAGGAGGAGTAATTGATATTTATGGCACATTTTGGCTGGAAATCTTTGAGAATACCCCTTGTGAGTTTTGCATGAAAAGGAGATTTTCAGGGTGGGGAGCTGAGCCTTGATTTGCAGGATCTCCAGCCTCACTTGTTCTGCACGGGATGCAGCGGCTTGTGTGTCCCATCAGAATGACGGCTGCAGCTGATGCTGGTGAGAGAGATTAAGAACAGAGCACCTTCTGCACCTCATCAGCAGGGATTCTTAATCTGGGTTGTAGGCTAAAATTAACTGGGGGAGGGGGCCAATTTAAACAATTACTAATGCCCAAGTCCCAACCCAAACCAATTGAATCTGAGTCTCTATCTACACCCTCCAAGTGGGGTCAACTTGGAGTGTTTACATCATAAACTCTGATTGTCATTGTGGATTTGAAAGACTCAGACTGTGGCTTCAACCACAGCAGCGTGATGGTGGATTTTATCTACAAAAGGATAAAGACCTTTGTGGGCTGGAGGGAAGAGGTTGTTTTACAAGGGATATTCCATCTTCTTGAGTAATGCACGGGAAAACCCACAGTGGAATTATCAGGAAACAAGACGCTAAAAATAAATGTGACATGCTTCTCTGATAGGAGAGTAGGGACAGATCTTGATATTTGCTTCAGCATGGGGGTGCCAGGACCACCCGGGGAGCCAGAAATGAAGAGATTGTAAGAGGCAGAAGAGAGCCTCTAATGAGATGCAGAGACTTCCCATTTCTTGTTTGCTGGAGGACTGAAGCCAGTGTCTGGAGGGCAGGCAATTTGCAACTATCATCATGAGCCTCCTCAAAGATGAAGTCTGTCTGTTGAATTTGTATTTATAGATAAAATATACCAAACAATTGGCAGAACTTGCTGGTATGCTGGCGAAGCTGAAATCATACATACCTAACTTTTCCATATATTTTCCTTCTTTCAAAAATTCCCTAGTTATGGTGTTTGGCTGGGGTCTGAACTGTATTACGAATTGGTCCTGCCATCATGATTTTACTTGTAGTAGCTTTTCTAAGGGCTTGAAATTTGCTTGAGTTTTCTAAATTTTATGGGTGAGGGGATGGTAGTGAGAGAATCTTATGGTTGTTACTGGCTTCTTGGAAAAGTGGGGCCCAGGAAGACTTGGGATTAGATTTCCAGTCCTTTGCAGATGCCAAAAGAATCCTGTCCATTGAAAAGTGGTTTGGGAAGCAGTGTCTTCAGGAGAAATCCATCTGAAATCTACTTCCACCAGAAACCCCTCTCTCTAACACTGAGAAGAAAGGGAAATTTGAAAAGAGAATTATTTTTACCTCAATTTATTTGGACTTTAATTCCTATGTGGAAATCTAAAAATGAGAAAGAATTGAGTGTCCATATTTGAGATCCTTCTTCAATATATATTTGGGTGCACCGTATGATCTCTCCAGGACCATAATAGACCACACTGCTGAACTTACGTACTGTGTGAAATAGAATAGGGTAAATTTCAGAATAGGGTATAATGTAGCCTTGAAGCTAATTTAATTAATATCCCATTCTTGCTCACTTCAGAGCCTTTGGGGAATCCCATGAAATAGTAGAAGTTGAGGGAGTGGTTTTACAGCTGCTGTCCTACCCTCAGGAGACAGTTAATTCATAGACACACTTGCACGATTAAATCAAGTTCAGTGAGTGTACCCCAGAATCTGATGACAGCAGCCACCCTATTGGTTTCTGTCTGCATTTGATCAAATAGAATGGCCTGGGGGTGTATGGGTGATGGTAAACATCCAAATGCCATTCCAACAATCTACTTAATAACTGACCTTTACGGGGTGGTAAAGTAATCCTCAAAAGGTGTGAAATTTTAGTAAATAATCTTTATTTTTTTTAGTTGTGCAGCATTCCAGGCGAATTATGGATTTATACCCCATCATTCCAGACAAAAAAACACTCTAAGGTTTAAGTTTCCTATTTATTTAGCCAAAGATGCAGATACTTATTGGAAGTGAGGTGGCTACACAGAGTAGAAGACAGGTAAAGATACTTCATGTCTCATTGTAGCTTCTTTTGACCCTTCATTTATCTACAGAGTACTAGTCAGTCAAGGTGGATTCTTGCTGGGTCTAAGAAAATACATTTCTTATTACTCCACAACATTCCAGAAAACCCAGTTATGCACAATCCAGCACCCCTGGACTCTGATTTAATACTCTTTCATTTGGAGAAAGAGAGATGTTAAGGAATTGGTGCATGCAGTTGTGGGCGTGCAAGCCTGAAATCTGCAGGGCAGGTTGGCAGCCTGGAGGCCTGGGGAAGAGCTGACATTGTAGCTCAAGTCCAGAGGCAGTCAGGAGCAGAATTTCTTCTTCCTCAGGGGACCTCAGTCTTTTTTTCCTAAGGTCTTCAACTGATTGGATGAGGCCCACTCACATTACAGAAGGTCATTTTGTGTGCTCAAAATCTACCAATTTAAATGTTGGTGACATCTAGAAACATCTTCACAGCAACATCTAGACTGTGTTTCTGTGTTTGATCAAACACCTGGCACCTTAATCTAGCTAAGCTGGCACGTGAAATTAACCATTAGAGATGATAAAGCTGAAACTCAAAAAAGTATTGAGTGATGTAGCTAGGACTTGAGCTGAGAGCTGTCCGACTCCGGAACCTGTCCCATAAGACCATGATCTCATTGTGTGTGTGTGTGTGTGTGTGTGTGTGTGTGTGTGTGTGTGTGTGTGGTAGGGGCAGTGGTGTGGTGGGGACTGGGTCTGTTCACCCAGGGCCTGCTGACTGCAACAGCCATTCTTCCTGCTTTGGAAAACTTCTGGTCACCTTATGGGGAAAAATCCTGAGATTTCTCAGTATAGTATCCCTGGAAGACCATTCACTAGGACCTGGCATTGTTGGAAGGCAAGCATTCCTGGACAGATGCCAGAGGCTGAGCACGGGTTTAGTTCAATCCAACTCAGTTCAATGCAACCTGCATTATTTAGCCCTGACCATGTGCCAGTTTGCTCTTGGCCACAGTGTAGTTTAGGAGAAACAGATGAAAATACACAGCTCATCCCCTTTGGATCTGGTGAAGTTGGAGGCAGGAAAGCACAGAAAATATTTGGAACAAAAACGACAGATGCATGTTCTAGTAGGAATCCAGGGCTGTCACTGATGGCTGACCTGCCATATTACTCAAGTCAAATCTTACTAATTCAGCCCTTATTAGATAATATGGAAAAATACATTATTGTTTAAAGATCTATTTAAATGTGTATAGCTTTTCAGTTTCAACCAAGGTTAGTTTGCCTTTGACAGAAAGCTTAATGATAAGAGAACTTGTTATGAACAGTGATATGTGTGTGCGTGTGTTTATGTATAATTAACTGGAAAGAACCAACAAACTTGGATTTGAATACTAACTGGTGTTAAAGTTAAAGGTAAAATCATGACTCTCATGAAAATATATAATGAATGCAAGCCAAGGATTTTATTTAACTTATTAATTAATGAGGAAACTGGTAAAATGTAAAAACAAGTTCAATGAACACACACATATAGGCAATCAGGTATTGGAAAGGAATTTGCATATAGATGCAAAACAAGTTGTGTCCACAGGGCAATAATCAATTGTATCTTCAAGGCCCAAAATTGATTTGCATTTCCATGGACAGGAATTATTTGCATTACTTGCATTATCAGTTTTCTTCAACTTATAAAGTTGTAAAATAGCACAAAGATGTTCAGAAAGTGCAGATAGCTTGGAAGGATGCTCTAGAAAGAACACTCACTAGTTTGCTTTTTCCCATTTCAAATCCTTGCACAGTCTTTTCCTGACAGTGGTGAATGCCAGGATAATGGCTTTGGGCACGTTGTTTAACCTCTCTGAGTCTCAGTCACCTTATCTATAAAATGGGGCTGATACTTTTTCACTGGACTGTCCTGCAGATTAAAAGTGATAATGTGGTCATGCACCACATAGTGACGTTCTGATCAGTGATGGACTGCATATGTGACAGTGGTCCCATAAGATTATAATACTGTATTTTTACTGTACCTTTTCTATGTTTAGATACCTAAATACTTACCATTGTGTTACAATGGCCAGCTGTATTCAGCACAGTAACATGTACATATATGTAGCCTAGGAACAATAGGCTATACCATATACCCTTGGTGGGTAGTAAGCTCTACCGTCTAGGTCTGTGTTAAGTACACTCTATGATTGCACAATGACGGAATCACCTAACAATGCATTTCTCAGACCATATCCCTGTTGTTAAGCAATGCATGGCTGTATATACAAACTTCCTGACACAGAGTACATATCCAATCAGTATTAGGTCTCCTTCCTCCGTAGTTTTTTTTTTTTTGAAATGGAGTCTCGCTCTGTTGCCCAGGCTGGAGTGCAGTGGCATGATCTTGGCTCACTGCAAGCTCTGCCTCCCAGGTTCAAGCCATTCTCCTGCCTCAGCCTCCTGAGTAGCTGGGAATACAGGTGCATGCTGCCATGCGCGCTAATTTTTTGTATTTTTTTTATGGTAGCTAATAAAATGTATTATAAAATTTTAAAGAGATGATAGAATCTAATTTATAAAATAATTAAACTGGAAGACATTTACCTACAGAAGGTTAATGCAACTTTGCCTAAACTAAGTTTATTTATTTTATTTTATTTTTTAATATTTCTTACATTTTATTTCTTTATTTTTTTAATATACATATATTTATTATACTTTAAGTTCTAGGGTATATGTGTACAATGTGCAGGTTTGTTACATATGTATACATGTGCCATGTTGGTGTGCTGCACCCATTAACTCATCATTTACATTAGTTATATCTCCTAATGCTATGCCTCCCCTCTCCCCCGACCCCAGAACAGGGCCCAGTGTGTTGATGTTCCCCTTCCTGTGTCCAAGTGTTCTCATTGTTCAATTCCCACCTATGAGTGAGAACATGGCAGTGTTTGGTTTTTTGTCCTTGCGATAATTTGCTGAGAACGATGGTTTCCAGCTTCATCCATGTGCCTACAAAGGACATGAACTCATCCTTTTTTATGGCTGCATGGTATTCCATGGTGTATATGTGCTACATTTTCTTAATCCAGGCTATCACTGATGGACATTTGGGTTGGTTCCAATTCTTTGCTATTGTGAATAGTGCCACAATAAACATACGTGTGCCTGTGTCTTTATAGCAGTATGATTTATAATCCTTTGGGTATATACCCAGTAATGGGATGGCTGGGTCAAATGGTATTCCTAGTTCTAGATCCCTGAGGAATCGCCACACTGTCTTCCACAATGGTTGAACTAGTTTACAGTCCCACCAACAGTGTAAAAGTGTTCCTATTTCTCCACATCCTCTCCAGCACCTGTTGCTTCCTGACTTTTTAATGATCACCATTCTAACTGGTGTGAGATGGTATCTCATTGTGGTTTGGATTTGCATTTCTCTGATGGCCAGTAATGATGAGCATTTTTTCATGTGTCTGCTGGCTGCAGAAATGTCTTCTTTTGAGAAGTGTCAGTTCATATCCTTCACCCACTTGTTGATGGGGTTGTTTTTTTCTTGTAAATTTGTTTGAGTTCTTTGTAGATTCTGGATATTAGCCCTTTGTCAGAGGAGTAGATTGTAAAAATTTTCTCCCATTCTGTAGGTTGCCTGTTCACTCTGATGGTAGTTTCTTTTGCTGTGCAGAAGCTCTTTAGTTTAATTAGATCCCATTTGTCAATTTTGGCTTTTGTTGCCATTGCTTTTGGTGTTTTAGACATGAAGTCCTTGCCCATGCGTATGTCCTGAATGGTATTGCCTAGGTTTTCTTCTAGGGTTTTTATTGTTTTAGGTCTAACATGTAAGTCTTTAATCCATCTTGAATTAATTTTTGTATAAGGTGTAAGGAAGGGATCCAGTTTCAGCTTTCTACATATGGCTAGCCAGTTTTCCCAGCACCATTTATTAAATAGGGAATCCTTTCCCCTTTGCTTGTTTTTGTCAGGTTTGTCAAAGATCAGATAGTTGTAGATGTGTGGTATTATTTCTGAGGGCTCTGTTCTGTTCCATTGGTCTATATCTCTGTTTTGGTACTAGTACCATGCTGTTTTGGTTACTGTAGCCTTGTAGTATAGTTTGAAGTCAGGTAGCGTGATGCCTCCAGCTTTGTTCTTTTGGCTTAGGATTGACTTGGCGATGCGGGCTCTTTTTTGGTTCCATATGAACTTTAGTTTTTTCCAATTCTGTGAAGAAAGTCATTGGTAGCTTGATAGGGATGGCATTGAATCTATAAATTACCTTGGGCAGTATGGCCATTTTCACGATATTGATTCTTCCTATCCATGATCATGGAATGTTCTTCCATTTGTTTGTACCCTCTTTTATTTCATTGAGCAGTGGTTTGTAGTTCTCCTTGAAGAGGTCCTTTACATGTCTTGTAAGTTGGATTCCTAGGTATTTTGTTCTCTTTGAAGCAATTGTGAATGGGAGTTCACTCATGATTTGGCTCTCTGTTTGTCTGTTATTGGTGTATAAGAATGCTTGTGATTTTTGCACATTGATTTTGTATCCTGAGACTTTGCTGAAGTTGCTTATCAGCTTAAGGAGATTTTGGGCTGAGATGATGGGGTTTTCTAGATATACAATCATGTCATCTGCAAACAGGGACAATTTGACTTCCTCTTTTCCTAATTGAATACAGTGTTGGAAGTTCTGGCCAGGGCAATCAGGCAGGAGAAAGAAATAAAGGGTATTCAATTAGGAAATTTTTTTTTTTATTTTTAGTAGAGACGGGGTTTCACTGTGTTAGCCAGGATGGTCTCCATCTCCTGACCTTGTGATCGGCCCGCCTTGGCCTCCCAAAGTGCTGGTATTACAGGCGTGAGCCACCATGCCTGACCCTTCCTCTGTATTTTTTTAAAAGCTGATATGAGGACTTGTTTCCAACACATCTCTTCATTCATTGCATTTGCTTATTCGACATTTGCTGAAGGCCTGTTATACCAGGCATGTGCTAAGCTAATGCACAGCTAATGACCGCACAGTGAGCAAATCACAGACTTTAAGGAGCTTGTAGACAGGTAGTAGGGGTAGTGGAAGAGGCAGGCCAATCAGTAAGTCATTAGTTATGATTTGTTTGGCTCTCAGTGGCGGGAATCCCGGGAGGGGAGCCCCTGGGAGCGTGCATAGTGGTTGAAAGCAGCGACTCAGAAGCCGCACTGCTGTGGCTCATTAACTGCATCCTTGGTCAAGTTACTTAGCCTCTTGGTGCCTCAATTTCTTTGTCTTTGGAATAAAGATGAAACCTGTAGGCTGTGGTGTGGCTGAAATGAGTTAATACACTTGGAACAGTGCCTGGTGCATGTTAAGCACCATCTAAGTATTTGCTATTATTCCTATTTTTTTCCAGGTGAAGTCTCGCTCTGTGGCTTAGTCTGGAGTGCAGTTGGTGCTTTCTCGGCTCTGCAAACTCCACCTCCTGAATTCAAGCAATTCTCCTGCTTCAGCCTCCCGAGTAGCTGGGATTACAGGCACACGCCGCCACACCCGGCTAATTTTTGTATTTTTAGTAGACACAGGGTTTCACCATGTTGGTCAGGCTGGTGTAGAACTCCTGACCTCCAGTGATCCACCTGCCTCAGCTTCCCAAAGTGCTGGGATTACAGGCATGAGCCACTGTGCTCAGCCCTTGCTATTATTATTTAATGAATATAATGTGCCTGTATTGGACAAAGAGTAGTTTCTACATAAAAACCCAAGTTAGAGAAAGACAAAATCATAAAATAAAATGCACACATCCTTGTGGCTAAACTGAACTGTCAGACTATGCTCAGGCGTGAACTTGACTTTTCTGTGCTCTTGTGTTCCCTCTAACAGGTTCCCTCGGCATAGTCTCAGCTCTGAGACGTCTCTTCTCCATCCTAGCCCTCTGGAGATGTTTGAGGAGCCAACTGTTCACCTGTCTTGTCTACCAAGCTCAAAGTTCCTTGTTTTACCTGTTCACTGACTTCTTACTGTTGGGAAACTTCCCTCAAAACAAAGGCTGCCTCCTCTTTATTAGCCCCTGTGTTCTCAGAGAGAAAGATCTTTTAGTCTCATTTTAGACACTTTCAGTCCTTCTACATGCAGTGGGGCCCCCAACACTTATACAGTTTCTTTCATCCTGACCACAGCTGTGAGGGCAGTTGGGCCTTGGTGGCTCAGTGGTGGCCAATTCTGAACGCAGTGGACACGTGACTGCCTGGGTTTAAAACTGACTTCACTGACAAGTCTCCAACAAGCACTCAAGTACCCAGAGGAAGAGTGAAGGCATGAACTCTAACCTGTTGTCTACCCAAATGGGTCTGCTCTTGTCAGATCTGTAGACCTCAGAAGGCATTTTCAGGAGTCTTCGTGTATTAGTCCATTTTCATACTGCTATGAAGAAATACCCAAGACTAGGTAATTTATAAAGAAAAAGAGATTTAATGGACTCACAGTTCCATATGGCTGGGGAGGCCTCAAAATCATGGCAGAAGGTGAAGGAGGAGCAAAGGCACATCTTACATGGCAGCAGGCAAGAGAGCATGTGCAGGGAAACTGCCCTTTATAAAACCATCAGATCTTAAGAGACTTACTCACTATCATGAGAACAGCATGGAAACAACCCACTCCCATGATTCAATTATCTCCCACTGAGTCCCTCCCATGACGTGTGGGGATTATGGGAGCTACAATTCAGGATGAGATTTGTGTGGGGACACAGTTAAGCCACATCACCTTACCTTATTGGGAAAGGTACTGCTGTTTTTCTGTTTGTTCCATGGCCTTCAGTATATAATTAAAAAAAATTGTGGAGGCAGCATCTTGCCCAGGATTAGAACTGTAGGGGAGAAAGATCATCCTTGGGCCAGGGTGAGGTGACGACTGCTATTGTGATAGTGGTTTATTGAGCATCTATTATGTCAGGTACCATGATAGGTACTTTATGCTTCTTACAACTTAATTCTCAAAACTGTCCCCAGGGTAAGCAGAATGAAGGCCCTGGGCATAACTTGAACACCCGAGGAACTTGAACCCAAGGCTGGCACAAAAGCCAGAAGGTGTTACTCTCCACCAGCTCAGGGATTGTGAAGATCTCTGTGCAGACTCCACTCTGCGGTTGGACAGCATCCCTGAGACATGCATTTTGGGTAAGTGGAGGGGCAGGCGGGACAGAGGCAGGGCATGGCAGGATGAACTGCCTCCCTCCCCCGAGGCTTTGTGCCCTGTTGCCGGGCCTTAGCGATGCTGCTGCAGGTGATGCTGCTGCTAGAGCAGAGCCTGTGTTTCTGAGATGACGAGGCAGAGTCCCGTACAAGCTGGACAGCCTCCCTCTCATAGCCCAATGCTCTGCAGATGCTGTGGAAACGGTGTCCAGGCTGTGTGATGTGCACAGTGTGGGGTATTGGCAACCCTGGTTTGGGGTTTTTGGAGCATCCACTACATATCTGGCACCATCACATGATAGAAGCTCATGTTTCTGCCCATCCCCCGCAGCCTGTCCTGTCCCCAGGGCTCTGGCTCAGGGTGTTTCATGCTGGGTCACTGACCAGCCTCTTCCTAGGCACTGGGCTTCCAATCCCTGTCCCTGTGATTTTCTCCCCAGTGCACTCAAACTGATCTTCCTCTCCTTCAGCTGTTCGCTGTTTTCTACACAATAATGCACAGGTCTCAAAGGGCACCTTGTCCCAGGGCTTATTGGCCTGCCCCATGGCAGCCACACTGAGCCACCGGACCTCCGGCTTAGCCCACTCTATGCTCTATTTCCTCCATGTGGACCTTCAGGAACTATTTTTTGAAAACGCATCAAAACAGCTTCCAGCTGATGCTTTCTATCTCCCTGCTCGTTCAGTTGGTTTCTGCTATTATTCCTGGTGGTGGAGTGCAGAGACATCAGCATGATCCCGGAGGGTCACAGCAGAAACAAGCTGGAAGGTCTCGGATTGATGGGCTGAGACCTGCCCTGAGTGTCGGGAGGGAGACCCGTTCTCATGCCCGGCGTCCCTTCCGGAAGTCCCTTCTCCTCTCTGGGCTTCTGTTTCTCCCCATTACACTGAAAGATTGGCCTGGTTGGTGGTTTTTCCCAGGTGGTCTCTGTCCCATCACCTCGGAACTCCTTAGAAGTGCAAATTCTCAGGCGCCACTCCAGACCCATCAGCTCAGAAATGCAGGGCACGGAGCACAGTAATCTGTGTTTTACTA
This sequence comes from Homo sapiens, assembly GCF_000001405.40. NCBI lineage: Eukaryota > Metazoa > Chordata > Mammalia > Primates > Hominidae > Homo > Homo sapiens. The sequence continues at coordinate 11,849,796 of NC_000002.12, forward strand.
AACCGGGAGGATAGGGAGGGTGTTCTGGTACCGCCTAAAGTTTAAGAACCACTGGTTAGGTAAATTTTCAGTCCCCTTCTGACTCTGATAGTCTGATTCTCTGCTCTGATCTGTGAAGAGGACAAATTGTGCCTATTCCTGATGACATCTGGGACGACAATGGGCGAGAGAGGGGTTCCCACAAGAAAGTGAAACTCAGGCGGCTACAGAAGTTCCTTTCGAGCAACACCTATTATCACGTTACTCGGATTCCATTTGCTAATTAATTTCAGTGAAAGCTGAAAGGAGCCCCGTGGGAAGGTCTTGATGGCCCTGCAGTGGACACATTAGGAACAATTCCCGGCTGTCCCTGAAAGGCCCCTGGAAGGCTCCCTTCGGCAGCACCTGGAGAGGGAGGCTGACAGCAGCTTTGTGCATCTCAGAGTGGATACTGTTTCTCCCATTGGTCCTTCACACAATTGGGCGAGTGTCCGCGGCCCGGCTGGCCTCCAGCTGCGGCTGTGTGCCCAGCTCCCCTGGAAGTGTGCCTGCAGCCCGAGAAGGGGCGCCCTGTTTCCGTGGGAGGCATGCCCGGCTCCCGTTGACAGGTCTGCAGCTCACTCATGGAAAGGCCTGCTTTCCGGAGCTGGCCTCGGACTGAGCCCGGAAACAATTATCTCAGGGCCCAGTGTGTGGCTCGGGGGCTGGTGCACAGTAGGTGTGCTGAACAACAGCTGATGCCAACTTGAGGTCTGTTGGAT